>NC_000008.11:10711939-11016420 GCF_000001405.40 Homo sapiens | reverse complement strand
CTGCGTCCGGTGGCACTAGGACCCCGAGTCCCCGGCGTCCCCGCGGCGCACACTCCCCCAGGGTCCTCAGCACCGCACGCCAAGTCGCCCGCAGCCGTCGCGCTGCCTCGCGGCGCGGAGCCCAGACCCTCCCCATCCAGGGCGCGGGGCAGAGGGACGCAGAGGCCCCCGGCCAACCTCCGCGTCAGGGTGCGGGGAGGAAGGTCCCGCCCGGGGACGGGGCTTTTAGTCCAGCTGGCCGCCCTCTCCCACCGTCGGGCTGTGCCAGGGGAGCTGCACCCCCACGGTGGGATGCGAGGGGGCCACAGAGCGGAGCGCCGCGGGGAAGGACTGGCGAGCTCGGGGCTTGTGGGGGCGCAGTGGAAGGGGGCAGGGATCGCCGACGGTGCGGGGCGTTACCGGGGGTCTGCTGACCAAACCGAGCCGGATCGTCTGAGCCCTGCTGCCCGCCCTCATGGAGCCCGCCTGCAGCCGAGTCCGCAGGAGTCGGGACTTGGACAGAGGCGTGGGTCTGAGCTGGCACCGCCGCCCACCTTTGGGGCGCCTCGGGCACAGCACTTCCCCGGCGAGCCTCAGCGTCCTCCGCGGACTGCTCTAGATACGCCGAGCCCACCCTCAATTCCTCTCGGTTTCCCTCCTTCCCCTCCCACTTCTCACCTTAATCTCACTCCCTTCCTGTCTTACCCCGAGCCCGCCCCCGGCTTTCTCTGCTCCCTCGCTCCTTCTGGTTCTGAGCTCAACCAGTCTTTGGAGGGCCTGGGGGGCGCTGGGTCCCGAACGCAGCCAGCCCCGCTTCTTGCCTGAGGCCGGAGAAGCCCAGAGCCCCCTGGCTTCAGACACTCATCCCCTCGGTCAGACCTGGCCGGCTTTCTCTGCCAGCGTCCCCCTCTCCTCCCTCTTCCCCTAACTCTCTTCAGAGTCCCTCCCCGAGGTGGGGGTGGGGGGTGGTTTCTAGCAGATGTGGGAGTTCCGGGCAAAGAAGCCTCCAGTGCGTTTAGACACGTCCTTGTTGCTATAAATATTCTCCTTCCCCTAAACCTTTCCTAAATAATCTCAAAAATCTGGACCGAAAAAAAAAATTAATCCCTCTTTCCAGAGAGTTGGGCATCCCGGATGTGCTCAGAAGAGTAAAAATAAAAGTGCAGCATGAGAGGATTTCAGAGCAATGCTAAGGAAGTTGAAATTGGAACTAAAAGAATTTGGGTTACTTAAAAAAAAAAAAAAAGTGCAGCTCACAGCATTTCCCGAGTGAACACGGCCAGATGCAGGGCACCCATATCACGCGATCAGAGGCGCCCCCAAGCGCCTCCTCCCAACCCAGGTCCCGGCTTCCCTGATCGTAGATGAGTTTTGTCTGTTCTGGGAATCTGAGGGAACAGAATCATCAGTCCCTGTCCTCTCACGTCTGCTTCTTCGGCTCAGCATCTTGTTGGCAAGTTCCATCTGCGTTTTGCCTGTGGCTGAAGATGATTTGGAATTTGGATAACCTTCTGATGAAGACATAGCTTTTCTCTCTGAGACAGTGGAGGGGCAGCAGTGTGGGTCCATCTTGTCTTGGATTCATGTTTTTCATTATTAATTTTGGATTCAGGGGGTACGCGTGCAGGTTTGTTACATGGGTATGTTGCGGGATGCTGAGGTTTGGGGACCCGGAGGTCCCAAAAGGGCTTTTTCTCACGGTCTTCTGGGTCTTATGACTAACAGAGGATCCACGCTGCTACCCATGAGGCAAAGGCTTTGCCCCATATCTGTGTTGAGTGATCCTCAATCATGGGACCTACATTTTGTTAGCAAATTGCCTTTCCTTTCCCCCAGGGAAGACTTTGAGCTGAGACTAAACCTGGGAAGGTGCTGCTGAAAAGCTGTTGGGGGAACCTGCCTGCACCTCCTGGCCTCCAGGAGGGAACCCATAGGAAAGGGGAGGCTCCAACCTTACTGGAAGTGTTTGCAGGGCCTGTTGTGTAATTAGTGTCCTTGGGGAGCCCGCAGGGGGTTTTCCTGCCTTTACGGAAGGATCATTCACAGGCCAGCACAGGTTAATAGTTTTCCTTTAGAAACTTTCCTTTTGTGGTTGGTCCTGTGCCTGCTTTTGAAAATCTGGTCATTTTTAAAACAGTTTTTCCAGAAGGGGCGCTAAGGGCCGCTACACTCCTTTGGAGTCTTTTCTTCCTCACACTTAATAAAGATTGAGATTACATAGGGAGGATGAATGCTTAGGGGCTCTGAAAATATGGATTATGCAAATGAGCTATTTAAGGACCTTTAAAAATGCTGACCCGGTACCAGAGTATTTACTGGCTGTTAAAAAATGTGGATTGTCTAAATGGGCATTTGGGGACCTTTAAACACAGATTATGATGGATCTAGAGAGCCTAACAAATCCCTTCTGGCCCGTTAGGCCTGTCTGCCGTGCGAGTAAAGGCACGTTTGGACAAAGCTGACTTTTTAACGCAGTGACTGGGAATGGATTTGGGTCTGTCCTGCGGGCCTGGATGTTGGTGGCTTCACAGGGACCCTCCCATGAGGGGCTCCGGTACAGGTGGGCTGGAAGGCAGGGCCGTGGTCAGGATGACTCAAGAGGTCCCAGGACTTCACACAGCAAATTCCTTCTGTGTAAGGAACCCTGCTGAAGTAGGTTTTGACTTTTGTTTAATTCATTCTGCCAAACATGGGTGGGGAATTGGTATAAACATGAAGGTGCTGGTTTCCAAACCAGCTAGGGGAGGCCCTCCCATCCCCGCTAATTCTAGGAGCACTCAATTAATGGATGGGGACATTCCCACCAGCAACACAGATCCGGGGCCAGATCTAGGCACTGCAATTTTTAAAAAGGGGGCGTATTATATTATGTGTCTCAATGAATTTGTGGCAACAAATTGCTGGTACAAAGACAGTTAAGTCCTTTGCCATCTGGAACCCACCTCTGCCAGGCTGACCCAGACAGAGTCCCTAGAGGCAGCTGGGGAAACCTAACACATATCTCAAATAAACATGAGAGCCGGCATCCTGAAGCTTCACCTCTGTGGCCCTCAGGGTTCATGTTCTTAGATCTCACTTTGTGATGGGCTAAAGTAAACCTTCCTCCTGTCTCTCCTCTCCTCTCCTTAAAGGAGAAACCTTTAGAAAACCACATGGTGGTGAAGGTCAGCCTCCTCAGCCTCATCTTAGAGACCATGGGCAAGTCCTTCAACCTGTCCAAGCCATGGTGCCCTTGTCTGTACAATGAAGATATAGATGGTATCTGCTCTTAGGGTCACTATGAGGATTAAATGCCTCATGGTGTTAAGGGCTTAATACATGTTAGCTTGGAAACTCCTGTTCTCATCTGAGCTTGGCACCCAACCTGCTGTGTGACCTTGGGAAATTCACTTCCCCTCCCTGGGCCTCGTTTCATCTTCAAGCCGAAGGATAAGGCATGTCTACAGGCAAATATCTTGTTAGAGCTCTCATGACTCTTACATGCCAAGATACTACAACTTGGCAAGACACCACCTTTTTCCTTGGGGTATCTGGGATGTCAGCAAGGCATTGGACGAAAAGTGTCCTGAAAGTGCAGAAGCTTGTTAGAATGGAGTTGCATTTATTATGGCCATTGATTAGACATGGCCTGACATGGGATAAAATGTATTAGTTTGTGGCAGTTAATGAGCTGTTAGTGTACTTCTGGATGTGTTACATCGGGGCCAGGATGAATCCAAAGAAAAGATTAAAACAAGATTAGCCCAGAAAAAAGGAGGGGATGCAGATTGGAGGAAAAGGAGAGGACAGTGGAGGGGGCCTGCAAGCTAGGGGGAGGTGAGGGGGGCACTTTTTCTATAGTTTACATTTCCCAGCTCTTTTCCTCCCCCATGGTACTGGAAATGTCTGGGTAGACTAGGGATGTAGCCAGGGACTGCTGTCGATGGTGATGGTGATGGTGATGATAATAGCAGCCGTAACAACTACACTCACAATGATAGATACTAACAGTTATTGAACTCCTGCCACATGCAAATGGTGTTATGAACACTTTACATGTATTAACTCATTCAGTTTTTCTTAAGATATAGGTGCTGTCATTATCCCCATTTTACAAATAAGAAATGGAGAGCCAGAAAGGTTAGGTAACTTGCCAGGTTAAATTTATCTGCATAGCAGTTCCCTAGCAGCTGAGGTCCCAAAGGGGCTTGGGGGTTCATTACTGCCCCTTCTGTCCCCATGCTGGCTGTCAGGGCTGGGGAGTGGGGTGGGGTCCTGTGACCTGAATGACAGATGAGTGGTAGCTTCTGCAGTGCTGGCCCTGGGCACAGTTGAGGTAGGCGGACTCCTCCATCTGCTTAGATGGGGACTGCGAGGCCCTGCCTGTTGTGTCCCAAATTCTCCTCTTCAGAGTCCTTAGTGGGGCTGAGAATAGCTCAGGGCTCCTGTCACAGACATGTGGACACCCCACCTGTGGAAGCATTTTGGCTCATTTGTTCCCTGCCACCTCCTGCACCATCTCCAAGCTTGTGGCTTCCAGCAGGTGCACACCTGAGCTGCCACACTGCACTGGCCTCCCTCCCTCATGCTATCCCCCTCCCCAGTGCCATGTGCTGCCCTGCAGTGGACCCAGAAGCAAGTCCCAGCTCTTAGCTCAATGGCTTCTGCCTGAAATATTCTTCTCCTGTCACTCCCACAACCAGTTCCCTTCCTCCTTCAGCTCTTTACTCAAACATCTTTTGAGGCCTTCCCGCATCGCAGCCTCTGTCCCCAGGCATTCCCTGTCCCTTTCCCTGCTCTATCCTTCTCTGCAACACTTATTGCCATCTCTATTACTTACCTATTTGTTTGCTGTCTCTTTCGTGTTAGATTAAGTTCCACATAGCCAGAGGTTTTTGTCCTGTTTCTTCTCTGCTGTTTTCTTAGTGTCTGGAATAGACGTGGCACTTAGAAGAAACTCTGTAAATATTTGTTGAATGAATGAATGAACAAATAAAAAATGAAGGAAAATGTTCAGGACCCTCCTCAGCCTGGTGCTCACCTGCTTTCCAGCCTCGTCCGCTGTGTACCTGTACCCTTCTGGTGACAGCCTATCCACTCTGTCACTGCAGAGCAGGATGCCACCTCCCCCGGGAAGCCTTGCTGGCCACCCCAAGAAGGGCTTCCTTTCTGGTGGTTCCTGTGCCTCTCCTGCGTGCTGTGTGATGGCACTGATGTCACTGTATTGTTGAAATGCTTGTTTCTGTGCTAGTCCATTCCTGTAGGTGGGGACTCCTTGAAGCAGGGACAGTGATGTAGGGAAAGGAGCATGAGTTTGGAGCCAAGTTCAAATCCCAGCTCTGCTGATGACTGCTGTAGGACTTCAGGCAAGTTACTGAGCTGGCCCAAGCCTCAGCTTTCTCATCTGTTAAACAGGGATAATAATAATCTTGACTGATTGGGTTGCTGAGAGATGCGGAGACAATGTATACAGTGTGCTCAGCAAAATACCTGGCATAGAGAAGGCGGTCCTGGCCCTGGGCACAGTTGACATAACCAGCGGTCACATGAGTGAAAAGGAGACACATCACTCAAGCCAGTCTTCAGCCCCACTCATACCACGACTGTGGTGGGGAGCTCCGTTCTTTGCCTCTTGTGACTTCCTGGTTTAACTTTGTGTCAATGTCATGACAGGAAAAAAAAAAAAGGTGGGGAGGGGCCACTGTTTTAGAAAAAAAGGTAGTAAAGAAGACTGTCAATGAAATGGAAAGCACGAATCTTGGAACTGGGGGAAAAGTTGTTTTAAAGCTATAAAAATCATTTTGTGGAAAATTACGAAATGTTGAATATTGACTGGTTGTTATTTGTTATTATAATAAATCAAAGATAGATTTCTTGGTTGGGATTTTAAAAACAAATGTCTGATGAGTGTCAGTTGTGTGCTAGGCATTGTGCTAGGGCATTGTGCCTGTGTTGCATTACTCAGTAGTCACACCAACCCATGAGGCAGGTACTGTTGTCTCATTTTATAAACAAGAAAATGAGGCTTAGAGAAGGGAAGTCATTTGCCCAAAGTCATACCACTAATAAGTGCCTGGGACCAGTTTTTACTATTACTATTATTATTGGTATGGTTTGGATTTGTGTTCCTGCCCAATTCTCATGTCAAATTGTAATTCCCAATGTTGGAAGAGGGGCCCGGTGGGAGGTTATTGGATCATGGGGGTGGACTTCCCCCTTGCCAGTCTTGTGATAGCAAGTGAGTTCTCATGAAATCTGGTTGTTTGAAAGTGTGTAGCACCTCCTGCTTCTCTCTCTTCCTCCTGTTGTGGCCATATAAGAGATGACTACTTCCTTTCACCTTTCACCTTCCACCATGATTGTAAGCTTCCTGAGGGCTCCTCAGCCTTGCTTCCTGTACAGTCTGCAGAACCAAGAGCCAATTAAACCTCTCTTCTTTATAAATTACCCATTCTCAGGTAGTTCTTTATAGCAATGTGAGAACAGACTAATACAATTATTTTATTTTTGATAAACACTTTAATTTAGAACAGTTTTAGATTTATAGAATTGTTACAAAGGTGTTACAGAGAGTTCCCCTACACTCCATACCATTTCCACTCTTAATACTTCACATTAGTGGGGAACATTTGTCAATGATTAATGAAGTAATATTGATACATTAGTGTTAATTAAAGTCCATGCTTTATTCAGATTTCCTTAGTTTTCCCTGATGTCCTTTCTTCTGTGCCAGAACACCTTCCAGGATGCCATCATGTCTCCACAGACTCCTCTAGATTCTGGTAGTTTCTCAGACTTTTCTTGTTTTTGATAAGCTTGACAGTTTTGAGTGCTGGTTAGACATTTTACAGAAGATCTGGGACCAGTTTTGAACCCAAATTTGTCTTAGTTCTAAGCTCATGCTATCTCCATCAAACCTATAACTATTTTTTGGTTGTGTTTTGCCTTTTTTTGAGACAGGATCTCACTCTCTCACCAAGGCTGGAGTACAATGGTATGATCTCTTCTCTGCAGCCTCAACTTCCCCAGGCTCAGGTGATCCTGCCACCTCAGCCTCCCAAGTAGCTGGGACTACAGGCACACACCACCATGTCTGACTAATTTTTGTATTTTTTGTAAAGACAGGGTCTCTCCATGTTACCCAGGCCGGTCTTGAACTCCTGGGCTCAAGCAATCTGCTCACCTTGGCCTCCCAAATTGCTGGGATTACAGGTGTGAGTCACCATGCCCGGCCAAACCCTATACCTTTTCAATGAGAGGGCGAAAGAGACATGCACCACTTACACACACGGAACTTGATTGATTGATTGATTGACTATGGAATGATTAGCTAAAGATCAAGAAGCTCCAGAACAGGACCTCCCACCCCCCTCCCCACACAGCTGCTGACTACCCAGGAGAGGTGTAATTTGGGGCCTGGCTTTTTGTCTGTGGTAACAACACCCCTATATGCCACTTTAGACAACAATCTAAAAGGAAAGGATCCTTCAGGTCCTTGCTCTTTCTGAGTTGGAAGACCTTTGTGCATGTCAAGAGATTTCCCTCAGCCTTGGTAGAGGGTGATGGGACCCAGGCTGTAAGAGCCCTAGCAAGCTACAGTGGTTGCAGGGCCTCATGCTCCTTGGGCGGGGGGGCCTGCAACCAATGGCATTCAGTGATATGAGCGCTTGACCGTGGCTCCATCAGGGCTCCTGGAAGCACTCAGCCCAGACATGTGTCCACCGGTGAACCCTTTGGAAAGTCTGGGGAGGCCGGGGTGGTGGTTCACACCTGTAATCCCAGCACTTTGGGAGGGCGAGGCAGGTGGATCATTTGAACCCAAGAGTTTGAGCCCAACCTGGGTAATGGGGTCGTATGTACTAAAAAAAGAAAAAATTAGCCAGGCATGGTGGCATGCACCTGTGGTCCCAGCTACTTAGGAGCCTGAAATGGGAGGATGGCTTAAGCCCAGGAGTTGCAGGTTGCAGTGAGCAAAGATTGTGCCTCTGCGTTCCAGGCTGGGTGACAAAGCGAGACCCTGTCAAAAAAAAAAAAAAAAAAAAAAGCCTGGGGAGCCCCCTTTAGGGGATGCGTCCAGCCTGAGGAAGAGGGGAACAAAGAAGGAAAGAAGGCCTGGCTGTAGTCTGTGGACTTTTCATGCACTGCCTACCTGCCTCAGTGTCCGGGTGCTCAGGCCACCCTTGGGCCTTTTTGCATCATGTTGGAGCCAAGTGGCCAGTGAGGCTGGTGGGGTGGGATGGATTGGGGAAGACAAGCTAGAGAGATTGGGCTTCATTCTGTAGACAGCAGAAGCCACCGAGGGTATTTGAGCAGGACAGGGCATCGTGAGAGTAAAAGGAAAGAGTAAACGTGGCAGCCTTCCCCCAGGTGCACAGGTGAGGTCCTTCACTGCCTTGCCCCTGTGTGAACGCCTGAATGCTACAGTCAAAAAAAAGCAAACGCCTGCTTCCCTGTCTTCTCTCCCAGGGAGCACCCACACATCCAGGTCTCGCCCCATGCTGCTTTGCTCTGCTCTGCTCTGCCCTGCCCTCCCCCCACTCTGCCCCTGCCATCTGCTTCCAAGGGCTCAAGCTCCCTGCCTGCTTGTTGTGCACTCCCGAATTTTACCTCTCCTACCGCTAGGAAAAGATACAAGCCCAGAGAGGAGAAGGGGAGCTGCAGGAAGCCAGGGGACACCAGAGATAGACTGCAGGCACCTTGCCCTGCTGCCTCTGTTCCTCCACCCCCAACCCTTACAGCAACCAGGAGTAGGTAAGATCTGGGTAGATTTCCTTTTGCTTTTTTGTTTGTTTGTTTGTTTCCTGCCTCTTCCACCGAGTGTGCTTTGTTTTGAGAGGGAAGAGCTGACTCCTCCAGTCTGCCTTCCTCTGTGGGTCAGGCATAATCTGTGCTGCACGTGACTCATCAGTATTGATGGCGATGATGAGGAGAGATGAATGGAAACGACATTACTGGCTGTGTTTCTTCGTCCATGCGAGAGGCCGCAGTGGAGGTCTGTTGCTGTAGGCATGATTTTGGCTTTTAGGCATCAGATGATCCTTGAGACCCAGGCTTTGCTGCTGAGCGACAGAAGCTTGCACATTAGCCCCTAGTCTTGAGGCAGGGATATTGCTTAAGATGCACTTGGCTGCAAGGAACTGAATGCTGAAGAGAGGCTCAAAAACAAAGGCATTTAACTATCATACATGACAAGACACTGGAGATGGACAATGCCAAGAATGGTCTAGCCATTCCAAAGTGTTTGGATGTTGAATTCCTATCTCTATGACTCTCCTGACCTATCCCTCATGGTCATACATTGGCTGCCACAGCTCCAAGCATCAGAACAGCATCCCAGGCTGGAGGCAAGAAGACAGATACAACAAGACTTTTTTTTGTAGCAGCTCTTTCCTCTTATTCAGGAATTAAATCCTGATCAGAAGCCAACTGGTAGGGTTCCTCTTGGGGTCCATTACCCAGAATTTGGTCTTATGTCTGTCCCTACGCTAATCATTAGTAAAGGGAAACAGGATGAACTGCTTGACTTGGACCAATCATATTCACGCCCTGAGGCTAGGGAAAGAATCTACACTCTGTGTTGCAGCTAGAATAGAGATGGGCTTCTATAAACAAAGAGAGAGGAGGCAGCTGGTAGCTGGTAGGGTAACCTGCAGCGGCAGCCACAGGGAACTCCATATCCAGCTAGAGAGAGCCATCTGGCTTGGTCTGTAAGGTCTCCAAGGACAGAAATCCTACAAATTCTGTTTGTAATGGCCCACTTAGCTCTCTGGGTCCTCTGAGCCTTTGCACATGCTATTCCCTCTGCTTGGAACACCAAGCCTCACTGCCCTGGGCCCAGCCTGCATGTCTGCAGACACCAGCAATGCAGGGACATTGTCTTCACTCTGTGTGTACCCACAACCCTGTTCATCTACAGATGCCTTACTCTATTCCACTTGGTGGTTTACTTTTCTGTCTCTCATCAATAGAATATACATCCTCACAGGACAGAAAAAGTATGTTGGTCATTGATGTCTCCAATGACTGGCATGTCTCAGACATGCAACATACGATAAGGGATGGATAGTGACAATTGTGACCATAGGGGCAGCACACTGTTCCCTCCACCCTAATAATACCCAGGCAGAAGGCCTCCTCTCAGTGCCACATTGTCCACAGTAGGCGCTGAATGAAGGAATCAGTGTCCTACTAGGCCACTAACTGGCTCTTCTGCTTCCATTTGTTCTCTCCCCAGCTCATTTCTCACCCTACTCTCTAGTGAATCAATCACCAATTAATCTCTTATTTTTCTTTCTCTCCTCTTTAATTGAAAAATTTTTAGTCAGTCACAGTGGTTCACGCCTGTAATCGCAGCACTTTGGGAGGCCGAGGCGGGCGGATCACTTGAGGTCAGGAGTTCGAGACCAGCCTGGCCACCATGGTGAAACCCCGTCTCTACTGAAAGTACAAAAATTATCCAGGCGTGGTAGCGGGCATCTGTAATCCCAGCTACTCGGGAGGCTGAGGCACGAGAATAGTTTGCACCCAGAAGGCAGACTGTGCAGTGAGCTGAGAATGTGCCACTATGCTCTAGCCTGGGCAAAAGAGGGAGACTCCATCTCAAAAAAAAAAAAAAAAAAAGAAAGAAAGAAAAAATATTTTTATTATATATGTCTATCATACAAACCTTGAAAACTGTAGATATGAAAAAGAGGAAAATAAAATATAATCTCAGCATTCAGAGATAGCCACTGTTTAAATTTGATTCCTATCTTATAATATTTTTGCTAGCAAATTCATATATAAAATGGGATTACAATGTGATGTATTTTTCCTTAACGAACACATCGTACCATATTTGCATGTTAATACACACTCGTATCATCATATTTCATTGTGGGAAATTATAAATAACAGAAAACTTCCCATTTTAACAATTTTTAAGTGTACAGTTCAGTGGCATTGAGTACATCCATGGTGTTGTACAACCATTACCACCGTCCATTTCCAGAACATTTTCATCTTCCCAAATGGAAACTCCATGCCCATTAAATAACTGCTCCCCATCCCACTTCCCTCCAGCCCTTCCATTGGAGATATGTATATATATATATATCTATATCTACTACAGTCACTTCTTATCCAAGATTTCACCTTATGTGGTTTTAGTTACCCAAGGTCAACCATAGTCCAAAAATATTAAATGGGAAATTCTGAAAATAAACAATATATGAGTTTTGAGTTGTGTGCCATGTTGAGCAGCATGATGAAATCTTGCGTCATTCTGCTTGGGATGTGAATCATCCCTTTGTTCCACGTATGTATGCTGGACACACTACCTGCCCTATACAATGTGACTGTATGAGAAAAAAACTTAGTATATATAGAGTTCTGTACCATCTGTGGTTTCAGGCATCCACTGAAACGTATCTCCCATGGATAAGGTTGCAGAGGGACTGTACCACATTCTGTTCTACTTTCTGTTCCTATGAATTTGACTACTCTTGGTACGTCATTTAAGTAGAATCATACAATTTCTGTCTTTATGTGATTGGCTGATTTCATTTAGCATAAGGTCTGCAAGGTTCATCCATGTTGTAGCATGGGCCAGAATTTCTTTCCTTTTTAAGGCTGAATAATGTTTCATCATGTGTGTAAACTACACGTTTATCCATTCATTGTTTGATGGACACTTGGGTTGTCTCCACCTTTTGGCTATTGTGAATAATGTTGTTGTGAACATGGATATACAATTATCTGTTTGAGTCCCTGCTTTTAATTATTTGGGATATAGCTTCAGAAGAGGAATTGCTGGCTCATAGATATAATTTTTAATAACTGCAGAGGGTTCCACTGTGGATGAGCAACAAGTTTTGTTTAACCAGCTCCCTGTTGCTGGCCTGGTAGGCAGTTGCTACTTTTTGTAAACATCAGGATAATAAACCACCTGGTCAATATATCTTTGTCCCACCGGAGCTTTATTTTTTATTTATTTATTTATTTATTTTTGAGATGGACTCTCACTGTGTCGCCTAGGCTGAAGTGCAGTGGCGTCATGATCTCGGCTCACTGCAACCTCCGCCTCCTGGGTTCAAGTGATTCTTCTGCCTCAGCCTCTTAAGTAGCTGGTATTGCAGGTGTGCGCCAACATGCCCGGTTAATTTTTGTATTTTTAGTAGAGATGAGGTTTCACCATGTTTGTCAGGCTGGTCTCGAACTCCTGACCTCATGATCCACCTGCCTCAGCCTCCCAAAGTGCTGGGATTACAGGCGTGAGCCACCACGCCCGGCCCCACAGGAGCTTTTTAACATAGACTTGAGCATTTCACTGCCCCAGCCCAAGACTCCCAGGGCTCCTCATAACTCCCAGACTTCGCTCCATCTCTGCAGCTCAGGGCTCAGTGGACAAGGTCCTCATGTTCTAGTCCTGCTGTCGCTGCTCTGCTCACTCACTCTTGTGATGCCCCAGGACCCACTACTCCACAGCCACCCGCCCTTCCTTCGCCACTCTCTGCTTTTGCACCTGCTGTCTCCTCTCCTTGAAGTATATGGCCATCCCTCTTCCCACCAGGAGAACTTGAAAGCCCTCTGGACGGTTCACCTGGACTCTTTTCTCCCTTGGGAACCTTTTGCTCTCATCACAGGCAGAATTAACCACACCCTTCTCTGTCCTCCATACATATGCCTGTTAGAGCATTTATTATGTGTTAGCATAATTATTTGTTGATGGAGACAGCTTGGAATGACAGAAAGAGGGCAGAGTCTGTAGTCCAAAAGACCTGCTCCAGAATCCCAGTTCTTACAGTTTGACTTTGAGCAGGCTGCATGGCTTCTCTGAGCCTCACTTTGCATTTGTAAAATGAAGATAATAATTCCTACTTTAAAAGGATTATTTGAGGATTAAAGACAATGTATTCCCCAGTACTTACACAGATTAGGTATAATAGTATTAGTATCAGTCTGGTAGCTATGACAGTGATGACTGACACTGGTGAAGATGGTGATGGTGGTGGTTGATGGTGATGATAGTGACTATGATTGTGGTGATGGTGATGATGTTGATGATAATTATGATAATGGTGATAATGATGACATTGTTAGTGATGTAATGACGATGATGGTAGTGATGATGGTGAGAATGGCTGTGATGATAATGATGGTGGTGGTGGTGATGGTGGTGATGATGAGGTGGTGGTGATGATGATGGTGTTGACAATGATGTTGTACTTGTTCTTCTGTTAGAACCTGATCACTACAATGCCAGGTGGTGTGCAGCTTCATCTGTGCCTCCTTGGTGTCTGACATAGAGTACGTACTCTATTATTTCAAGGCTCACCTGCTTTGGCAGGTGGTGGGTTGATGCTTCCTGAATTAACCTGGTTGGCTGAACCTTCCTTCTGAGTCCTCCCCAGTTGCAAATTTTGTGAGCTGAAGCAGGGAGTGTCCCTGACTTGGAATTGTTAGATTGGAGGTTTTTTTTTTTCAGTGGTCCCCTTAGCCAGTGACCCCCCTTCTCTGGGCTTTGGTGCCCCAACAAGGGCCTCCTATCCAACATCTGATTCAACATCATGATTTTCATTCAGAAGTGCCTTGCTCTGTAACCATACCCAGATTATTTCCACCGGTGACTTTTATATCCCATCTGGAATAAACATCAGCACCTGAGGAGGGAGACTGTGTTTATTTCCCTTCTATCTCCTTTCTGCAGTACCATCCTTAGCACTGAGCCCGCACCTTGTCTATGATGGTGGTGGAAGAAGACAATGCTTGGGGCCGTTGAACTCGCACCACCCCCTGGGCCTGGGCCATCCCATGGTTGGCGTGGTGAGAATGATGACTTGTCACGTCTGTGTCCCCCATCAGGCATATTACCAAAGGCCTTCCTGTGCTGGCTGGGAGGGTGACCAGATGGCAAAGCCCCGCCCAGCCACAGGGCTCTGGGTATGCACCACACCTTCCCCATTCCTGCTTGCTCAGTGTATCGGTTGGCTTTGATTCTTGAGTCTTTTTCTCCTGCCTTCTCCTGGAGATGAAGAGAACTGCAAACACTGTGTACTGCTGCACGCGGGCCTCCCCCAGGCCAACAGAACTGCTGGGTGAGTGCTGGCTGAGCCTTCCCCTGCAAAGGTCATGGTCCAGCCTTTCCAGGCTATGCATCTTACTTCCATTCCAGCTCTTCACATCTGATTAAAGATGAACACAGTCTTTACAATACAAGGAAAGTGTGCCATGGGATGCTTGTGGAAGTCAGAGGGGAGTGGCTTTGTGGAGGAATGGTGCTGGCCCTCTCAGGATTGGGGAGGGTGAGGCATTCACAGCAGGGTGATGCCTTTGACAAAGTGCACAGAGGCGGAAGCATTTGCACTTTCTTGGCAGGGACCTGGAAGGAGGTTTTTTGTGTGTTTTTTTTTTTTTTTTAACTCACATGGTAACGACATGGATTTGTCTTCTTAGGGCATTTCCTAAAGGAGAAGAGAAGACTTATCTCTATAATCCCATTGGCCTGGTTAGAAAACTGAGGTCTGCTGGAAGGAAGTGCTGTGGGGAGCAACGGGTATGGTGGGGCTGGAGAGGCTGAACAGCAGAGGGACCAGGGCTCTCCAAGGTCTCTCCAGGCCACAGTGAGACCAGACCCACAGCACAGTGCCGCTTGCCCCTGACCGGCAGTGAGCTGCTGGCCTGGGCTGCTCTGCCCACTGGGAGGCTGGTAGGTTCTGAAGGAGCCAGGCAGGAAGTCCTTGTGGACTTCAGCCAGCTTCTCATTAACACATGGGGCTCTCTCTGCCCCTCTGTTCTAACTCTGCCTGAGCTTTTGCGGTGCAGCAACGGCTACAACCCTCATCTCCAGGAATGGGGGGCCCTGCTGACTCTTGGGTAGTCCAGAGGCAGGGTAAGGAGAGGCCTGCCTGGCCCAGAATTGGGATCCAAGGACTGGCTATAGGGGTAGAGAGGAGTTTTTCTTTACATGTTAGACATGTTTCTGCTCAATTGGGATAAACTCCTATCTTTGCAGAGGTAATAGTTTGAATATTCGAGAGTCTAGCTGTGGTCCCTTCCTCACTGTCAACTTCAGCTTCTATTTGAGGGTGCCTCAGAGCAGTGCATTATAAAGAGGCCATTTCTTCACTAGCTGGCCCTAAACAACATTATGAAGAGGCCATTTATTCACTAGCTGGCCCTAAACAACATTATGAAGAGGCCATTTATTCACTAGCTGGCCCTAAACAAGTTAGTTTTTAGCTTTCTGAGCCTCTGTTTCTCCATCGGAAGGGGAGTTCTTCCTTCACTGAGTTGTGGTTGAGTAGGAGGAGAAAATTTGTGTATGGCACCTAACACATAGCACGTGTTCAACCAATTTTAGGATTTGGTTTCTCACTCCCCATGTGCAAAGTCATCCAATGAGGCCAGCAATTGTTCTGCATTTTCGCTCCTAAATCCAGAGTTCATACTTGAGGTTTGTTTCAGTTGGGGGTGGTGTCCACCTTCTGAATCAGAGGAAGGGGGCAGGGGACACTTGGCTGCCAGAAAAGCAAAGGCTGAGCCAAGGAAGGGGTGTAGGCATTGGTTGATGGCTGGAGGGATATACTCTCTGGACCACGTGTCCAGAAAGTGTTCGTGGAATCTCATCTGGGAATTTCCTTTCCCGGCTATGCATCTTACTTCCATTCCGGCCCTTCACATCCAGTTAAAAACAGCCTTCTCCACCATGAGAAGATGAACTAGCAGAGAGAGCTCTCGTGTAGAATCATGAGACCCCAAAACATGTAATATGTGCCTTTATTTTTATTTATTTATTTTTGAGATAGAGTCTGGCTCTCTTGCCCAGACTGGAGTGCAGTGGTGCGATCTTGGCTCACTGCAATCTCTGCCTCCTGGGTTGAAGCAATTCTCCCACCTCAGCCTCCCGAGTAGCTGGGACTACAGGCGTGTGCCACTGTGCCTGGCTAATTTTTGCATTTTTAGTAGACGGGGGTTTCACCATGCTGGCTAGGCTGGTTTCGAGCTCTTGACGTCAAGTGATGCATCCACCTCAGTTTCCCAAAGAGCTTGGATTTCAGGCATGAGCTACCACACCTGGCCTAATATGTGTCTACTGAAGTGGAATTATGTGCTCCACGAGGAAGAAAACAACATATTATGATGCATTGCTACTTGTTTCTCCTTTGCACACCATTTCAGCCTTGCAAACTGTTTCCTCACTAGAGGACACCAGTAAGGGGCTCTTTGGCTCTCCTGTCCTGTTGCCTTCTAGCTTTGAAGGAGCTTCTAGGTTCACCACCTAGAATGAGTAGAAGGAAGACAGGACCAGGGGTGAGGAAGTCTTGGTTCTTATTCAGTATTTCTTTAATAGTCTTGGTGCCTCTGAGAGAATTCATCCCATGGGTCTGTTTCTTTGTCTTTAACATGAGTGTGTTGGCTTAGGTGTTCTTCAGCCCTCCTCAAAGTGGAGTTTTGAAGTTGTCTTCACAGATGGAATGCCATTAGCCAAACCCACAGTCTGGGAAGTCATATGGAGACCGTGAAATCAAATACCTTCCTTGCCCATATTTCTCTTAATCCTTTGTTAGTTTATAAGAAACACTGGTGCTCTCCTAGTTGGTCTTAACTCTTGGCATGTGGGGAGATGCCTTCTTGACCCTGCCCCATGATTTGCATCATGGCCTGGAGCTGAGCATCTCATGCTGTCCCGAGTCACCTGCATCAACCCAACGGCATACAGAATAAGGCTCATTTCCTGATTCTTTTTATGCTACCTCCTTGTTTGGTCACATCTGCAGAACATCCTTTGTTGGAACTTTTATTTTGGTAGCTTGGTCACATCTGCAGAACATCCTTTTTTAGAACTTTTATTTTGGTTCTATAAAACCAATATATGGGAGGAGAGGATACTCCCTTCACCATAGCATTGACCAAACCCTTCTTTTCTGAAACTAGAATCTGGTGATCAGTGATTTATTTCTTGAAAAAATTTCTTCTGAAGATAAAGAAGTATATATAAAAAGAAAACTCTCACTAGTAAGTCCACTATCCAGAAACCGTCTGTCAACATTTTGCCTCATTTTATTGTAGCATTTTCATTCACATTAATGAGAACATATTCTAAATACAATTTGTATCCTGAATTTTTCTTTCAACACCATATTATGTGCATCTCCTTAGCCAACAGAATAGAATTGGAATGCCTGTGCAGTATTTTCATGCAAGAGGTGAATCATAACAGTCATTTCCTTAATGTTGGATATACAACTTGTTGCCACTTTCTCAATGGGCATAAATAATCCCACGATTGAGCCCTTCACACACATAGTGGGTCCTTAGGACTGAAATCCCTGTCCTGATATTAATGCATGCTTGATGGATTTGAAAGAATAAGGCAGCTAGACCTAGGAGGGAGAAGAAAACAAACGTTTTTGTAAGAATTTCTGTTTTCTTCCAAGCATTGAGAGGAGGGTACTTGGTCCTTTATGTTGACCCTCAGAACAATCACTGGAGCTAGGTTTTCCTGATGGGAATCTGAGACTTGGAGAGATTCAGGGGTTTGATTCTCAGGCTACACAGTTGGTCGACAGCTGTTTCAGGATTCCATCCTGGGTATATTGGGCTGCATAATTTTCTTCTCCCTTGCTGCCATGCTGCTTGGAGGCAGAAGGAACAGAATCTGTGGGATCTGGGACTGGTTGTAGGGAGCTAGTGAGTCCACCACCAAAAGGGGGTGGTCAGGTTTCAGGGGTAGGGGTGCTTCTCTGCAGAGAGCCCAGCGGAAATGGAGCTGGCTGGGAGAAGTGGAGGCAGTGAGTGTCCTAGCTGGGTGACCTGGAGAGAGCCAATCCCCTGGGGCTCAAGGCTGTCAGCCAAGGTTTGCAGCCTGCTCTGCTGGAGACAGAACCCAGGTCTCTGCCTCATCAGCTGCTGCTCTTGTCCACGCTTTGCTCTACCACTCCTAATAAATCTGAATCAAATTTTCTTGACATTATACTCATAAATTTGAAGTGGAGCTCTTACCAGGCCTGTCAGTAAGATGGAGAAGGGAGAGTGAGAAGGAGAGGTGAATTCTAGGAATTTGGGCTATTTTTAAACGCAGACTCGTTATTCTAGGGCTTGCAGGTCACTAGTACCAGAGAAGAATTCTGCAGATGTGACAGCTGGTGTTAAAACAATTAGGTTCAAAATGACAACTAAGAGGTGTGTGTGTGTGTGTATGTGTGTGTGTGTGTGTAGCCACTCCTTCTCTTTCTTCTCCTTATATTGTTGGGGAGCTTGCTTGGGAATGCCTTGTGCAAGGCTAGCTGTCTCAGTGGGAGAAGGGGTGATCTTAGAAGTGAGTGCTGGACGCTCTCTGGCGGGGGAAGCTGGCGAATCTTAGAAGTGAGTGCTGGACCCTCTCTGGGGTGAGCTGGTGACCCCCAATCCCCTGTTGTCCTGCTGCACGCATAGGTGTCTCTTCAGACCTGTTGCCTCTCCTCTGTGGCTTCAGCCTTCTCTTCTGTAAAATACAGAGTGGGGTTAGAATCTTTGTAAATTCCTCTTCAGCTATGGGAAGCATCCTGTGATTGAGACTGCAGGTGTCTCTCAGCATGCTATTTTAAGGTCAAGTTGCTTTCTTGCCTTCCCCCTCTGACCCCGGTTGTGCCTGACATTCTAGTCCACAGTTCCAGGCAGCGCTGCTTGTGAACGTGGAGTCTCTGGGAGGGATGGGAGACAGCTTTGTTTAGCTCCTGCTCCTTCCTTGTCTTCATCATTCTTCATTATCTGGACCCAATCCCCCTAGTAGTTTTAGTTGCCAGCACCTCCCACTTTAGCCTCATTGCATTTCCACACCCTCATTGCATTTCCACACGCCTCCTGCAGAGGCTCATGACTCTAGGCTGTGCCCTGGCACATTCTCTCCCCTGGAATGGCCTCCTCTCCATAACCCTCATCTCATTTGTAAGGAGAAACTCTGTACATGCATCTTAATCATTTTTTCCTATGGCTATCTCACCAGCTAGAATAAGGCAGGGTCTGTGGAATGCTCTGAGGGGGCTGAGCTCAGACCGCCACCCCTGCTCTCTGGGTTTACATCCTGGCTGCCCTATTTGTTGGCTATGTAGCCTTGGACAGCATTTGTACCCCATCTCCCCAATCTGTACAATGGAAATAGTAACAGTGGTCACCTCAAGAGGTTGTTCTGAGGATTAAAGGAGTTAAAACAGGTCAAGTTCTTGGAGCACAGAAAAAAACAGGTATGTATAAGGTGTGTTGTTGGGCTGAGCATGGTGGCTGGCATGAACTTGGTGCTCTGTGTGTCTTTGCTAGGTGGGGTCATTTATAATAAAGCATACATAAAAGCTACGAAGGTTGTACTGATGATGGAGTTTGAGAAAAGAAATAATGAGGACACTGAATGACCTTGTTGGAAAGAAGGTGCAGACGATGAGAAAGGTTGTGGCGTACATGTGTGTGTGTTTGTTGATGTGGGAGAGGGGCAGAGTTAAAAGCAGACATTTGTTGTTATTTTATTTTATTTTTTAAATAAACGCAGGGTCTCTCTCTATTGCCCAGGCTGGAGTGCAGTGGAGCCATCATAGCTCACTGCAGCCCTAGACTCCTGGGCTCAAAGCCATCCTCCTGCCTCACCCTCCTGAGCTGCTGGGACTATAGGCATGTGCCACTATGTTGCTTAGGTAGGTCTCAAACTCTTAGCCTCCAGTGATCCTCCCACCTTGGCCCCTCAAAGTGCTAGGATTACAGGCATGAACCACCATGCCGAGCCCAGACTTTTCTTGTTAGTGTCTTCTTTCCCTAAAGCCAGCCCCTTTTTTATGGACCAGAACAGTCTTCACCCAACACACCCATCCCTTACCCCTGCCCCTCACATATATTCCCATTTACGCCACTTGTAGATACAGCAGACAAAAACCTAAGAGATTGGAGCTGGGGGTGTATGGTGTTCTGTTCTTCAAAGAGGAAAATTGCAGAGAAAACCTGTAATTGGGAAAATTTTCTTTCTTGCTCTTAGCAGTATAGAGATGTGCTCTGGTCCTTCTCACTTAACTTCTGCTGCATCCAAAGAAGGTAAGAAAAAAAGCAGAACATATAAAAGCAACTGAAAGCTTTCCCTCAAATTACCTGGGAGCAGTAACAAGATATTGTCAGCAGCGGCAGAAATTACTGAACAAGGAGGAGAGGGCCCGCCAGAGCTTTTGACACCAGCTCACATGCAGCTGAGGGGGCCCACTGTTCCACACACCCCCAGGAGCACCTCTTAGTAGAAGTAAAAAAATCACAGTGGGTTACAGTGCAATATTTTGGTCAATTTCTATGAGAAAGATTATTGACCTGAGAAGTTGGTAACAGATAATGATTACTGAAGAAAAGTATTTCATTTTATAAGCATTGCTGTCTTTAAAATCCCTCTCTCCATTTATATCTATATGAATCTGTAGTGTAGAATTCCAGATCCTTGGTTGTGAAAGGCGTTATAGAGAGGATCTATTTAAATCCCTTTATATCATGTAAACAAGGAAATGGAGGCCCAACAAGAGGTGGCTTGCCCAAGGTCATGGGCCAGTATAAGTTGCAAGCCATTCGTCTGATTCAACTACAGGTGCTCAGGCCTCATCTCACCATGATGGTCTTCACCAAAGAGGAAGGATTGCCCTCTCACATTTGCAGCCTCTGGCCTGGAAGAGTCTCCTTTTCCTCCATTTACTTCACCCTCTGGCCAGGTGCAGCCTTCATCGTAGGCAGCTTTCCTGATTTCTAGTTCAGCCTTGAAAATTAATGCCCTCAATTTTTTTTTTTTTTTTTGGTGGGGAGATAGGGTCTCACTCTGTCACCCAGACTGGAGTGCAGTGGCATGATCACAGTTTACTGCAGCCTCAACCTCCCAGGCTCAAGTGATTCTCCTACCTCAGCTTCCCAAGTAGCTGGGACCACAGGCGTGTGCCACCATGCCTGGCTAATTTATATATATATGTGTGTGTGTGTATATGTGTGTGTGTATATATATATATATGATATAGGGTTTTATATGTATTATATATAATATATATATTAGATATAGGGTTATAGTAGATATAGTAAATATAGTAGATATATATATCTACTATATATATCATATACATATATCATATATAACATATATATATATGTGATATAGGGTTTCATCATGCAGTCCAGGCTGGTCCTGAACTCCTGGGTTCAAGTGATCCACCTGCTTCAGTCTCCTAAAGCACTGGGATTATAGGTGTGAGCCACCATGCCCAGCCGACACCCCAAATTTAACAGCTCACAAATGGATTTTTCCTATCTCCTGCCTCTTACCGGCATACACTGATAGATAGTAAAGGCAAAAATGCTCTCGTCTATACATCCTGTGTGATCATGAATCATTAAGGCTTTTTGCAATGTTGACCTAGCCTGAGTCTCGCTAGCTGCAGGGCCTTCTCAGACAATGCTGTTCGTACAAGGAGGCCCCACCATAGACGGGTGAATGTGACACAGGGCTTGAGCTCATCTCTCTTTGTGTGGCCTTGGCTAAGATGGGACTTGTGACACTGGAAGTGTGTTTTCTGTGTATCCCCGTCTTCTCTTCCCCCATCCACATGTTTTTGCTGTCCCACCCACTGCTGTCCTTTTTCTGGGCTAAAATTTAGGGGGAGGCCTCATGAGCTTTGGAATTTGATTTTTATTTGCATTCTGGCTGTATTGTTAATTAGTTCCATAACTCAGACAAATTGCTAAAGTCCCGAGTTAGTTTCCTCATCGATAAAATGGGTATTTTTTTTCTTCCATAGCTGTTCTGCTGATTAAATGGAGTAAGAAGCAGATAAGTGGAGAGTACACACTCAATGCACATTAGTTTCTTAAGGCTCGGAGACACCTGAGTGTGGAAATAACACACAGGTTACTCCCAACTCTGATCATGGACTCTGGTTCCCAGATTTGATTCTTAGAGCAGATGTGACCATGTGGGGACCAGGCATGAGGACAGGCGCCTTGCAGAGCCCACCTCTGCCCTTCCTCTGGCAAAGAATCTTGCTGCTGGTCTGCCACTCACCCTGCATTTTGAGAAGCTGGAACTCCACAGACCTAAGCCCAAGCCCTCCAGCGCTGCATGGGGGGTGTCACATCCAGAGGATGCAGCTGAGTGCCATCCCCAGGAGAGGGGCCTAGAGCCAGGCTGGGGGAGCTGGCTTAGCCGAGGCTGACTCTGAAGACAGTGCAGCAACTCAAAATGAGAGGGTCTGAAGGTGCACGAAAAGCTCAGGGTGGATTCAGATTGGTGGCAATTTCTCCAGGGTTTAGTTCTTAGGAGCCCCCTGGCAGGATGACAGTGGGAAACCCAATTGCATGGTGGGTTCTTTGCAGGGAGGACTTCAGCTATCAGTTAGAGGTTGGGGAACCATGTTCAGGGGGTGGCAAGACTTTCAGGGGCCCAGCCAAGGGGACTGCAGTTTCTAGTGGATCCCAGCTACTGAAGGTAACTGAAACACCAAACAGGATATAGGCCTCATGATAGGGCAGAGCAAGGCTTGGTGGGCACAGAGGTTTGCTGAGTTCAGGTCTGCAGCTGCAGAATTCACTCCAGGCCCTACCCTGATTGCCATGGGGTGGGCTGAGGCTGCAGGTATAGGGCTATATAGCTAAGGCTGAGTGAGGTAGGGAACCCCAGCCCCTCTTTGAATAACTGGGCTTTGGGGGCAACTGAAGCCACAACAGAAATATTCTAAAGGACCACAGAGGAGGAGCAGGAGTGGCATGAGTGGGTCAGAAGTCAAGTGGGCTGGGGGCATGTTGCTGGAAGACAAAGGGGCTCCCAGTGTCGGGTGAGCTAGGAGCAGGGCAGAAGGGAGATTCAAGGGACAGCCCCCAGCCTCTCCCCTGCTTAGTACCAGCTCCTCTGCACCCGGCCTCAGTAGCCGCAGGTGCAGGGCCACCTGCTTTTGGAACGGCTGAGCACTGCAGCGTGTCCACCCTGAAGACACAGGCCCTGGGCCCGCTCAGTGTTCAGCCTGCCACCTGGCTGAGAGCATCATCCAGTTGAAGGAGGCATGCAGAGGTGTGGGACAGCTGGGTCCCCGCCTCCTCCCTCCTCACCAGCTCTTCCCACCCGCTTTCTTTCCTTTCTTCCTTCTATGATGTCACCTCTCGCCACTGCCCTCACACCCCCGTCCCCTTGGCTTCCTGACTGCAGGGCCGCTGCTGCAAGTGGTAGGTGCTGATTAAGATGGATGGATTGGTAAGAGGCATTCAATGTGACTTGAATAAAAAGCATCCCAGCCTCGCCTGGGCGCGAGAGCTACCAGCCAAAAAGTGGCGTCACTCAGAAGATTACTTTACTACTGGAGCTTGTCCTTAAAATAGTAAAAGCCCTCCGTGTTCCATTCTGGTTGCTATTTATATAAATGTAGATACACACACATATACACTTTTAAAAATAATCTTGCCTCTCTTTCCCACCTCCCACTTCTCTTTCTCCGTGTTGTTTGCTACAGACCAGACACCCATTTTTAAAAGACATGTGAAGAATCCAGTCATTGGGAAAGGTGACATTCTATGACCTTCTCAGGTAGTTTGCCACCTCAGCTCGGCGTGGTGGTTGGTTAGCACCATTCGGGAACTTCGTGAGATCATGGAGACATCCATTTGGTGGCGTTGTCCCAGGGGCTGTGGACGTGCCTCAAGGACCATCTCCTCTTCCCATCTCCTGCGTCAGTTGCAGCATCACTTGTCTCTTGGAGACTTTCTCTCTAGATGCAGAATTGACTTGGTGCACAGTCACTGCTTGGCTAACAGGAGGGAAGAGGTCAGGGAATTGTTCAAGGTCAATGGTGAGAGGGGGATCTGCTCTAGGTTCTTTCTCTTGATGTCCAATCTAGGTCTTCCTTCATGATAAGAACAAGAGGGATTAGAGTTCCCTTTAACAAGCGGATCTGTCTGCAAGGTTTGCAGGCTGCTGCTCATTCAAGGTTGAGCCCTGAGTTTCTCACTGTCTGAAGGAATAGAGACCTTGTTTAGAAGCAGTGCCAGTGAGCTGATGAAAGAAGCACATCTGCCCCTCCACACGGAGAGGGAATTAGGGACCAGTTAGACACAGAGATCTGGCACAGTCAGAGGGATGGGCTTTCAGATAGATGGAGTCTTCATTCTAATAAGCAGCCACTAAAATCTGTTGGTCTCTGGTGTGTGAATGTGTGTGTGTGTGTGTGTGAGAGAGAGAGAGAGACAGAGAGACAGAGAGAGAGAGTTAGTTTATGGTTAATGGGGCTGTAGAATTTACCACCATCTATTAATTTGTTGTAACCTCCTTTAAAAACATTTGACAGCTGAACAGCAACAGGCAGGGTGATGATGATATCATCAGGCTGCTATTTATAGATTTCCATCCCCTGAATAGTGCAGACCTTGGTATTTAGACTGTGGAGGCCTGGCGGCAGGACTCACGGCCAGGTCTGTTTCCTGCTGTACTATCACATGGCTGTCTCATGACATCTGTTGTTGGCCACCTGTATATAGACAGGAAGTTAGAATGTGGATACAGAATCTAAGTGGGGAATAGAATTATCCAGGTTTATTTTTCTACTTTTGTTTTTATAGTAGGCTTTACCCATTTCCTGTATTTGGAAGCAAAAACAGGGAAGAACAGTGTTTGAGACAATTCCAATTTAGATACATGGTCAGGTGTAAAAAGAAAAATGCTGTTTTACACAGAATGGGGCAAGAAAATTGAGAGGCAATGGGAGAAAAACATTGAAGGAATTCTGCAACTCTACCTTTAAATAAATTTAGAAATCATGATTCTGGTCTGATTTGGATCCAGAGGTTAACCACTGATTGCCCACTCAAGTCCACAGAAAACCCTGCTTAAACCTGGGTTACACTTCGCCTGGAAGATTCCATAGAGTATGCTTTTATATTGATTTGAGCTGTTGTTTTGCCTCAAGTTAAGACCTATGGCAACCCCGAGGACCCAGAAAAGATAGACTCATCGTGTTCCGGCCTTAACATCCAAATTAATCTTGAAATAGAACCTATTTCTTTGGATAGCTTCTGAATCATAACTATCCTCAGGCCAGTCAGTTAACCAAGTAAGCAAGGAAGAGCTAACTGGAATCCAAAGTGAAAGAGGCAGTTGCAACTACAGGAAAGCTTTGAACGCTGAGAACTGGGCTGAGTCACAGTGGATTGTGACCCTGGACAGCTCCCATCAGCACCAGAGCAGACTTTTCTGCACCATGACCAGCATTTCCCCCCTACTCTCACCTACTGCGGATGTGAAAAAAACAGTAAGACATTCCCAGCTGGGGTGGCTCACGCCTGTAATCCCAGCACTTTGGGAGGCTGAGACAGGTGGATCACCTGAGGTCAGGAGTTCAACACTAGACTGACCAACATGGTGAAACCCCGTCTCTACTAAAAATACAAAAATCAGCTGGGCATGTTGGTGGGTGCCTGTAATCCCAGTTACTCAGGAGGCTGAGGCAGGAGAATCGCTTGAACTCCGGGAGGTGGAGGTGGCAGTGAGCTGAGATCGTGCCATTGCACTCCAGCCTGGGTGACCAAGTGAGACTCTGTCTCGAAAAAAAAAAAAAAAAAAAAAAAAGACATTCCCCAGTGGCCGGGCATGGTGATGAACACCTGTAATCCTACCACTTTGGGAGGCTGAGGCAGGTGGATCGCTTGAGCCCAGAAGTTCGAGACCAGCCTGGGAAGCAGGACAAAATCTCGTCTCTACAAAAAAAAATTTAAACATTAACTGGGCATGGTGGTGCATGCCTGTGGTCCCAGCTACTCTGCAGGCTTAGGTGGGAGGATCGCTTGAAGCTGAGAAG
Source organism: Homo sapiens (assembly GCF_000001405.40). Classification (NCBI taxonomy): domain Eukaryota; kingdom Metazoa; phylum Chordata; class Mammalia; order Primates; family Hominidae; genus Homo; species Homo sapiens. The sequence goes on along the minus strand of NC_000008.11, from coordinate 10,990,666 downwards.
TTGAGGTTACAGTAAGCCATGATTGCACAGTTGGGTGACAGAGTGAGACCCTGTCTCAGCAATAACAGCAACAACAACAACAACAACAAACATTCCCCAGCAGCTCCACACTCTTAGTATCTTCCAGCCACAGTGTGTTGTGTCCATGGACAGCTCCCACCAGGGCCAGAACAGGCTTTTCAGCACCATGGGCAGTATTTCTTCTCCAACTACTGCCGGTGTGGAAATAACAGACATGCTCCCCAGCAGTTCCACAGTCTTAAAATCTCCCAGCCACGATGGGTTGTGACCATGGACAGCTCCCTTTGGGACCAGAGCAGGCTTTTCAGCACCACGGCCAGTACCCCAGCCCCAACTTCCCACCTGCTGGTCTAAGAGTAACAGTAAGACCTCCACAGCAGCCTCCTTCTCTAAGAGCTCCTGGATAGAGACGCGTTTGTACTAGAGCACGTCTTTGCTGCCACTGCACTGAAAATCACATGCAGGTATAAACCTCTACTCATTCAAATACCTGACTGTCACAAAAGTTTTTGTTTGCTTGTTTTAATATAGTGGTGGGGACACTGCAGTCTCAATCAGCATTTACAAGGTGCACCACTGCTGTCTGGGAGATAATGACCACCTATTGTAGATCACACGCAGAAGCAGTGTCCATAACCCGACTCCCAGTTTGGCATCTGCTCTGCAGACCTCTGATTCCCTAGATACAGAATGAAGCATGACACACTTCGTCTGATCCTGTTACACGTGGCAAACAGAGCTCAGTCAAAAGATACCAGAAGTGACAGATTAGTATGGCTAGATCATTTTTACATGACATCTGTGAGACTACTTCCCATTCATAAGGTGGCACTTCTTCCTAATAGTCTGTGACCCAGACAGAATATTTGCCTCCCATGTCACCAAAATGTTATTAATAATACTTCTGAACAGTGCTATGTGATAGGCACTATACTAAATGCTTTGCATGTATTGTTTAACATTCACAACTTCTGTGAGGTAGATACTGATATTGGTCCAGTGTTATTGATATATCTGAAATTAAAAGAGGCTAAGGAACTTACAGAATGTTACCTGTTCATCAGTTGAAACCCAGATTTAAACCTCTTCTTCCAACCACTCTGCTATATGGTGAAAGCCATCATTTTATCCTTTTCTCTTCTTCCCTGGGACTTCTTTCAATTCCCGAAATGGATTTGCTTTTTTAAATTAAACGTAACGTAGATATCAATCATCTCGGGTCTCATATGGTTTGTGATTTCGGGCTAGTTAAGTTTTAGTTAACTATGAGGTCCTATGGTAAATCACCATGGAATGGCCCTTCTGGCTGTCTTGTTTTCTTACAGACAATTCAACGAAAGGAATTATAAGAAAAGTATTAGCCCATGTAAAATTCTGTCAGCCTTCATTTTATCTCACTACTCATTTCTGTTAATCCAAGCAAATAGGTCTTTTATTCAACCACTGGGCTCTGACTAGACTTACCTGAATATTGCCCCTGTGAGGCATCACCCAGCTCCTTGTATAACCTCCACAGAGCTCATGCCCTTCCTAGGCTGCAGACATCACTCCACTGTCTCCTTCTTGGCCCCTAACCCAGGTGGTCATGGTGAGTCAACATAAGCATGTAGCTTGCCTATGGGCATATTCAGTGATTGTTGGAACGGAATCTATTGCTCGTGTCAAGCAAGTATTTTATGTGTCCAGGATACTGTCCTCTGCCTTTTGCTGTGAGTTGCCTAAGACACTGTGACTTTGGGTCATCAAGAAACGTTCCACAAGCCACCGGACAGCAAAGGGAATCTGCACCTTAACTCCGCAGCAGGCCTCTGATAGAATCCAGACGTTGACTTTGTAGAATCATGGTTCACATGTTTTGAGGTTATGTTCTGTGACAAATTGGGACCATTAACTCTCTTTGATCTCTTTTCTTCCTTTGGTGCCCCAAGTTGGTGCCGATTTCTGTGACTGTGATACCTTCATTCTCCTTGGCTCTGAGCAGGTGACATGTCCCAGACAGGCCCAGGGGTGTGCCCTTGTCAGCAGTAGATCATGGACTCAGTCCTGGTCCTCAGTAGCTCTCGTTTCTGTGTGGACCTTGCATGGAATGGAACTGTGCCTAGCATTCCTTGCCTTTCTGATCTTCAGTTGCATCTACGTGACAGTGGGGGTTCTCAGTTCTCCTGCATATGGAGGTAGTGTCTGTGTGTGCTCTGTAAGGCACGCCAGGGATTTCCACAGAACAAAAAACAAAAGGTTGCAAAGGAGACCAGGATATACGAAACAAAATGACTGAGTATTTCAGAGAGAGCGACTGAGTTAATTCACCTACTCATTCATTGAAGAAAATTAATGGAACACCTACTTTGTGCCACATGCTGTGGTAGGTGCAGGGGAAACAGTAACAAACAAAACAGATTAAGAATCCATACCCCCATGGAGCTTACATTCTAGAAGGGAGTCAGATAATAGATAAAATCAATAAGGAAAATGTTAAGTGGGGGTAAGGGGCAAAAAACAAAGCAGGGGATGGGGATATGAAGTTGGCAGGTGGTTGAAGGGGAGGGTGAAACTTTAGAGGGGATGGCCCGGGAACAGCCCATTAAGTTGATTTAAATAATGTTTTTTGTTTTTTGTTTTTCAGTGGAAAACAAGGGGACAGCCCTGGGCCTGTCCAAAGTAGGAAGGACAGCATCATTAACCCCTGGGTACTCTCAAAAAAGTGGTTCTTGAGTAAAGACCTGAGAGAGGTGCAGAGTGAGCCCTGCAGGTGCTGTGAGACAGTAGCCCAGGATTCTGCTAAGAGCCATGGCAGGAGCTTGCCTGAAACATTGGAGGACCAGAAAGGAGGCCATTTGGGAAAGACTAGAGATGACAGAAGTGGTAGACAGAATGTCCTGGAGAAAACTGGGCCCATATTATGGAAATCTTGGGGCCATAGTAAATGCTTGGGGTCTTAATCTAGGTGAAGTGGGAAGTCATGGTAGGGCTTTGAGCAGAGAAGAGACAGGGTATGATTACAGTTTAACGTGGTCCCTCTCACTGTGTCCAGAATACACTGTGGGAATGTGGGGAGGAATGGAAGCCAGTTAGTGTCCACTGCACAGCAGTAATCCAGGTGAGAGATAGGGGTTGGTTTGTGCATAGTCACACAAGGGATGATGAGAAGTGGCTGGAATCTAAACATATATTTGTGGCCAACAGTATGTGATAATACATTGGATATGGGGTGTGTGAGAGAGAATTCAAAGTTGACTCTGTGGTTTGGTGCCTGAACAGCAGAAAGAATAGCTTCCCATTTTTCTCAACTGTAAATTGATAATGATTCTGCTCTTATCCAGTGGACTATTGAGAGGTTTTGAGTGAACTGATCAACTAGTAGTACCACTTTACATTTCCAGGACTGTAAGTGCCTCTTCAGGACAAAGAATTGTGGGATCCAGTTGTTCAACCCACACATAGATGCATCTGTTAACCATGTTCTGTAGTTTCTTTAAGACTTGAAGCTGCTTAAACATTACTTTCTTACTACATGGGTAATATTTATAGATTACTACATATCATGCACTTGGCTAAGGAGTTACATGCCCTTTAATCCTTAAACAAACTTATGACTTGGGAGGCTGAAGTGGGAGGATCACTTGAATCTAAGAGTTCAAGACCAGCCTGTGCAACGTAGTGAGACCCCCATCTCTAAGAGAAAACTATTTAAATGTTAAAAAAAAAAAATTGGCCAGGCATGGTAGTGCACACCTATAGTCCCATCTACTTAGGGGCTGAGGCAGAAGGCTTGAGCCCTGGAGTTCTATGCTGCAGTGAGCTATGTTTGCACTCCAGCCTGGGTGGCAGTGTCAACCCTATCTCTTAAAAAAAAAAAAGAAACAACAACAATAAAAACCTATGAAAAAGATCTTAATATTCTTACTTCATAGATAAGGAAACCGAAGTTGAATGAGATTAAAAGGAATATTGTCTAGATCATTCAGCTGATATATTTGATAGAACAACAATTTAAACCCAGGTATGTATAATTCTAAAGCTTGTTCCCTCAACTATGACATTCTACTGCCTCCCACACACTTTTTTCTTGCTCAAAAACTACCAAAATCTACTATTGCTGATCACAGAATTCCACCATCTTTTGTAAGAAAAAAATTCTCATTAAACTTTTCCACAGCCTTGAGATCGTGAAGTATAAAGATAATGGTGTCGCTTTTATCTTTCATAGTTGTTACAAATTTTAAAAACCATATTTGTAGATCCTTTTATTCTGGGCATCATGTTATATTTAGAAAGGCTGTCTACATGATGAGATTATAAAGATATTCTTCTATTTATTTTCTAATTCTGTCATTTCATTTTATGTTTACATAATTGATCCATCTGAAATTTATTTAGAATACATACGTTGTGAAGTTGGTATCCACTTTTATTTTCTCCAGATGTCGAATCATCTGGGCCACCATCACTTATTAAATAATCTACTCCTCTGATTTGAAGCACCACCTTTGTCATTTATCATATTCCAGTGTGATCTTCAGTCTGTTTCTGGTCTTTGTAATATCTCCAGTAGATCTGTCTACATCTTTTATGCAAGTACTATATTGTTTCCACTATTCTGTATCTTTGTAATATTTTTATCATCTATTAGTAGTCTCCTTCTCTCCTATATTTTTCAGAAATTTTCTAAATATTCTTGCTTGTTCATTTTCCCATGTGAATTTGAAAATCAGCTTATCTAGTTAAAAATCCACTGGTTCTGGCCAGGTGCAGTGGCTCATGCCTGTAATCCCAGCGCTCTGGGAGTCCAAGGCAGGTGGATCGCTTGAGCTCGGGAGTTCAAGACCAGCCTGAGCAACATGACACAACCCCATGTATTAGTCTGTTCTCATGCTTCTAATAAAGACATACCAGAGACTGCGTAATTTATAAAGGAAAAAAGGAAAGAGGTTTAGTGGTTACAATTCATGATCTCAAGGCTGTGGGAAAGTTTTATGAGAGGTTTTTTTGTTTGTTTGTTTTTGTTGTTTTTTGTTTTGTTTTTTTGCTTTTGCTTTTTTTTTTTTTTTAACCAAAAGATGGTAGAATTCTGTCATCAGCAAGAGTAAGTTTTGGTAATTTTTGAGCAAGAAAGAAGTGTGTGGGAGGCAGTAGAGTGTCACGGTTAAGGGAACAAGCTTTAGAATTAGACACACCTAGATTTAAATTGTTATTCTATCAAATATATCAGCTGAGTGATCTAGACAATGTTCCTTTTAATCTTACAATCATGGCAGAAGAAGTTCAGGAAGAAAGAGCAAAGGGGTGTCTTACATGGTGGCCTGCTGGCAAGAAAGTGGGTGCAGGAGAACTCTCCTTTATAAAACCATCAGATCTCATGATACTTATTCTCAATCATGAGAACCACACAGGAAAGACCTGCCCCCATGATTCAATTACCTCCCACCAGGTCCCTCCCGTGACATGTGGGAATTATGGGAGCTACAATTCAAGATGAGATTTGGGTGGGGACACAGCAAAACCGTATCACCCCCTCTCCACAAAAAATAGAAAAAGAAATTTAGCCTGGCATGGTGGTGTGTGCCTGTAATCCCAGCTACTCTGGAGGCTGAAGTGGGAGGATTGCTTGAGCCTGGGAGGTGGAGGTTACTGTGAGCTGAGATTGCACTACTGCACTGCAGCCTGGGGTACAGAGCAGGACCCCGTTTCAAAAAAAACAAAAAACCACAACAAAAACCCACAATCCATTGGTTTTTATTGGGATCATATTAAATTTATGAATTACCTTAAGAAGAATCAACAACTTTACAATGTTGGGACTTCCTAAGAACATCAGATGGCTTTCCATTCTTGAAGTCTGTTATTTGCTTAGTAGAGTTTTAATGTTTTCTTCATGCACATTTCTTCAAATATATATATATATATATATATATAGAGAGAGAGAGAGAGAGAGAGAGAGAGAGAGAGAGAGCCATGTATTTTATCTTTTGTGTTACTTTTAAAAAATGTTGTTTTCATTTGGAAAGCTGATGGATTTTTGCTTATTAATTCTGTACTCTGCAATCTAGTCATATTCCTTTACTATTTTAATCATTTATCAGCTGAGTTTCTGGACTCTTTCCCCTGAAAACAATGATAATTTTACCTCTTCTTTCTTAATTTTTATAATTCTTTCTTTCTTTTTCCCACCACTTGCTGCCTATAGATCTGTCTTTCTAATTAAGTTGAATAGTGCCCTCAGGCCAATGCTAAAAATCTGTATTGATAATAGACGTTCCTAGGAAACTTGTAGTGTTTCCCAAATAAGCGTGGTACAGCCTTTTGAGTTGAGGGGTGTGTGTGATTGTGTATCCATGTAAGAATTTTATTATGTTTTACAATAAAGAGTTTTATTTTGATTGAGAATGGATGTTGAATTTTAGAAAATGCTTTTTCAGTAGCTATGGAGACGGTTGTATAATTTTTCCCTTTTGATCTATTAATATGTAAAGTTATGGTAATAGGTTTTCTAATACATCCCTGTATTTGTGCAATACATGCCTCGTTTGTCTAAGGTATGTCATTCTCTTGCTGTGCTGGTAGATTTTGTTTGCTAATGTTTTATTTAAGAGTTTTGCAATAATATTCCAAGTAAGATTGGTCCATAGTTTTATTTTTTATTTTGGGGAGTTTGATGTCAATGTGATGCTAGTTTTATAAAAAGAATATGTAAGGCCGGGCGCAGTGGCTCACACCTGTAATCCCAGCACTTTGGGAGGCCAAGGCAGGCGAATCACGAGGTCAGGAGATCAAGACCATCCTGGCTAACACGGTGAAACCCCAACTCAACGAAAAATACAAAAAATTAGCCGGGCATGGTGGCGGGCACCTGTAGTCCCAGCTACTTGGGAGGCTGACACAGGAGAATTGTGTGAACCTGGGAGGCGGAGCTTGCAGTGAGCTGAGATCAGGCCACTGCACTCCAGCCTGGGTGACAGAGTGAGACTCCATCTCAAAAAAAAAAACAAAAAAAAGAATATGTAAGCTTTTCTTTTTCTATAGTCTTGAACAGTTTAAATAGTGTTGCTGTTGTCTGTTCTTAAGGATTAGGTAGAATTTTTCTGTAAAACCTAGTGGGCCAAGTTCTTTCAGTGTGTTCTGCTCTGTGATGACTATTTTTTTCTGTGATAATTGTTCTCTTTACCTTTTCTATCTTTCCAGAGGTTGGTTTTGGTAATTTATATTTTTCTATAAGATAATTAATTTCATTCAGGTTTACAAATTGATCTTTACAGAATGGAGCAAATAGGCCTTGCAGGCTTCCTTTAAGGTCTTCACAGTCTGTGGTTGTTTCCCGATCACTGTTTCTTAATTTGTATGTTTGTCCTTTCTTCCTTTTTTCTTGATGATGTTAACTAATGATTTATTTTATTTTTTCCCAAAAAAAGCAGGTCTTGAATTTATCACTTCTACATTTAAAACATTTTTGATTCATTACTTTTTAATTTTATTAATTTTTAAATAATTTTAATTTTGCTCTTTTATTTTCCTTGGGTTATCTTGTTGCATTATTTTTTTCTCAAGATCCACTCTGAGAATATTTTTGTTCAGTATTATTTACAAATTGCAAGATGTTTTCATATATTCTTTCATCTGATGCTTACAACCCTGTAAGTTAATTGGTATGGGCCTTCATTTCACAAATAAGAAAATAGGCTTAGAGAAGTTAAATGGCTTGCCCAAGGCCATATAGCTAGGAAGGAGCGGAAATGGGGTCCCAGTGGAGCCAGCTGTCCCTGGTGCCCTTGGTTCAGCCTATCCTCAAACCCCAAGCCATGCCTCCCTGGGGCTGCGCTCTCTGAATACGTTCTTGTCCTTGTACCAAACTCCACCTTCCTTTGGTCACTTCAACACCTACAACCACAGCAGGTTAAGGTCACAGCATCTAGAATCTTAGAGAAACGCCAGGGCCTCTAATGCTGGCCACAAATCAGCTTCAGATTCTTTTGTAGACTTGCACCCACATCACTTTCTCATAAAACGATCTGACTCCGGGAAGATATCTCCCGGACTTCTCACCATTACTGAACTTGACAGCAAACAGAACATTTCTCCCGTTTTCCCTTAGTCACAACAGGGCTACTAATGTTCCTTCTCAGCCTGGGAGGTGGGTTAAACATACATCAAGGCCCAGGTACAGACTGTAGAGAAGCACTCATGTTGGAGGAAGCTGCTGTTAAAGAGCATTGTGCTTTCTCATTTTTAGAGGTGGGACCTGAAGCCCAGAGAGCTGATGTGCCTGTCATTTTTGAATGCATTATCCTATGACATCTTAGACAGAAAAAACAGAATACATAGGAAATCTCTTCGGACTTCCTTCTTTCTTGAGAAACCGTATCTTTCATTTGCTTTCTTGGAAATGATTTTCAACTGGGAGAAATCAAAGAGAAAGTGCCGTTCTCTTATCTTTTATTTTGTTTTACTTTGCTGCCACATATTATGCCACCTACCATTTGCCTTTGAAACAGAGCTGATAAGAAAGTCATCAGACAAGGGTTGAGTTGACGTGTGTAGACTTCATTGATTGCATTTTCTACCTTTAAAGCCCTTACCCTAGTAGCTGCCTCAAGTTGGGGTAGCAACTAAGGCTTCTGCGGTGATCACAGCCTTTAGTGCATGAAAGTTTATTTGAATGGCATGAGCCTTGTTTTATATAGGCAACTAGCCATTGGAATTGTGAATAGCCTTAATCCAAGCCATGAGCTTTTCCTAAACAATTAGCCTTTGGAATGAAAGCACAATTCATGGATTTGCCCATCTTTCCATTTATCAGCCATCACTTTGACATCTCTACTTAACCACAAAATGGTGGCACCTCCACTGGAGAAAGAAGGAATAATTGGCAAAAGACTGAAGCTAGAATATGAAGGATTAAACTTAGCTATAAGGAAGAAATTGCTTAAGTCATTAGACCAAGTTTTCAGGGGAAGCTGGGCAATGACACTACCTGGGCATCTTTAATAGAAGTTCTGTTATATTTTTTCACCTGGAAGTGCGGTCAGTGCTAAATTTGGGAGGCTTATTCTAGATCCCTGGGTCTATACATTTATTAATTTTTACATTTAGAAAATGGCAGAATATCTTTTGCTTTTGAACTACTTCTTTCCAATGTCTTTGTTAGTGGAATTCAGAGAGATCTGGCAACTTTCTGGAAACGCTTCATCTCTTTCCAAAGCTCGTCCTCCTCACCCGCAATCTGATCATCACCAAGCCTTGTTGACTGCCTTGGAAATATCTCCTCTACTTGGCCCTTCCTTCTGGTGAGGCCTCCATGGGCCTCACCTGGAACGTGCAGTGCATCCGAAAACACATGGACTATTGCTAGAGTTAATCCTGCCATGGGAGCAATTCATAACTTCACTCTCGAAAATCTATTTACCCCCTCGTATGCTCTGGGGACAAGCACACATTTTTCCATGGAAAAGTGGCCACAGCTGCCCATCTCTCAGTATTGCAAGAGCTGTTCCTTTGCTCACTAGCATTAATCTGTTGTCTGGGCCTGGTTGACAGTGGGAGAGTAGAAGACAACAAAGGCTTTGGGAGATAGTGGGGGTAGGAATTTAAAATGGGAAAAAGCATCTACAGCTACCTGGTATTTTGACCCTTCAAACACACGAAAGAACAATGTTGGGCTCTTCTCTTTTTTTTTTCTGAAACAGCTTATGGAGTTCTGCTGCCACCTCCAGTGTCCCTGTCTCTAATCCCTCCAGCCTGCAGCCCATCAGTCATGATCTATACAACTTGGGTAGGTCAGTAGATACAGAAATAGACAGACAGACAGAGATCATAATCCATTATTCATGATCCATGCAACAGGAATAGATATTGTTATCCATCAGTCATAATCCGTGGTATATAGATAGATGATAGATAGGTGATAGACGATAGATAGGTATCACAATCCCGAGTCATAATCCATACAACTTGGGTAGGTCAATAGATAGAGAGATAGACAGACAGATAGACAGAGATCATAATCCATAATCATGATCCGTGTAACATGGATAGATACCATTATCCATCAGTCCTAATCCATGGTAGATCGATAATAGATAGGTATTAAAATCCATCAATCATAATCCATACAACATGCTAGGAATGTGCTAGGCACGTTCCTGCTGTTAAGGAAACAGCAGTGAACACAATGAATGAGCATCCCTGTCCTCATGGAACTGACATTCCTGAGTGGCCTTTCCTACTTATAAGCCAGGTTAGATCAATCCCCTGTTTAATATCTGTTGATAGCTCCCTGTCACCCATGGGATCTGGTGTGGACATCTCTGCCTTGTATTCAGAGCCCTCCTCAGTCTGAACACAGGGGGCTTTTCTTACCCATCTGGCCCCTTCCCCTGCAGCCCCGCAAGCTGCAGCCCTCCCCAGACCTCCTGGGCACTCCAGAACCTGGCCTTCCTGCCTCTGCCTGGAAGGCCCCTCTCAGTGGGGAACTGCAGCCTCATCCTTAGTACCAAGCTCAGACGTTCCCCCTTCTTGAAGCTCCCTCTGAGGCCACTCCCTTTCTGGGCTCCAGGCCTGCATAGAGCATCTCATTCCAAGCTCCCCTGTCTGTTCATCTCAGATGGGGTTTTCCTTGGGACAGAGATGTCTGCCTCAGGGTTTGGCATGAGCCAGGACGGGGCAGCAGCAGGGTTGGGTTGTGGTGTGTGAACCCGAAGAAACCTTCCCTGCCTGTTGACTCTTCCCTTGGGGTCACAATAGATGTCCTTATAAGTCCCCCAAACACCAAGAGGACCAGAGACCACTCTGCCCTTGGAAAGACCTCAGCCTGGGAGTCTGTGCGTGACGGCACAGCCCTGGATCTCCCCTCCCCGCAGCACAGGGTCCTCACTCAGAGCTGAGAGAAAACCCCTACGGAGGGTCCAAGTAGCCACAGGGAACAGAGGGTCAGGAGCTGCTGTGGCCATTGTCCGTTTCAGGCAGCCTGACTTGTCCACAAGGGACCTGCAGACATATGATTTCGTGTGTCCCCCAAGGAGGAGCCAGGCTGCACTCAACCCACCTTACAGAGAAGGAAATGGCTTAGGCAGGTGAAGTGGCTTGACCAACTGTCTTGGCTGCTTCAGGGGCTAGAGGGTCGGGGGTCTTTCTAAAGGACCAGACCGGAGGAGAGACTGTGAAAGGGACTGGCTCTGGTGTGGAGGTCCTGCTGCCTTATCCCCTTGGAAGGTGGCCTGGGTTCTCGGCAGGTCCCCCAGGAACCAGGAACGTGCTGGCTGCCTGGGGCCACTGGGACCCCTGTAGCTGCTGACCCGAGCCTTCTGCTTGCTTCCTCATTTTTCTGCAAACACAAAGGAGCATTATTCGGTTAACTTATGTGTTCTTTCAACAAATTCCTATTGAGTTCGCTGGGCCCTTGGGGGTTGGGGGAGTAGGCTAGTGGGCCTGGCCCTTCCAGGAGCCCTTCCTAGTGGGAGGAAACAGGGAGGGGCAGAGTAGGATGTGCCGTGAGATCCCCAGAACCTCCTAGGGACAGTGAGCTCTTTCTCATTGGGGGATTCAGGGAAGACTGCAAGGAGGAGGTGACATTGAAGATGGGATTGGGTCCCTAAAGTCAAGCAGGCTTTGATAGGAAAAATTAGATGATCAGGAGGCATTCCAGGCAGGGGGTGGACAGATGGGTCTGGGCATGGCAGCAGAGTAATTTGCCCGAGGGTACGGTCTCTGTGAGATGACACAGGGCTGAAGCTGGGCCAGTGGCAGGATGACATCTGGGAGGCCTGGAACGTCCAGCTAAGCAATGTGGCCCTGCCCACAGGCCACGGTGGCCACTGAAGTTTCCAAGGGAGAAGAATGACATGGGACAAGGCCGTGCGTCAGCACGGGGGGAGGAGTTGTCTGGCTGCCCCTGGCCAGGGAGGGAGACTGGGGTCTATGGCTGAAGCAGAGGGTGGGCGTCTTTGTCAAAGCAAAGAACCAAGGCAAAGAAGTGAAGAGGGTCAAGCAAAGCTGGAGGAAGCTCATTTCCATCTATGTTAAGGGCAGAGAATGATCTGCATCTGGCTTAACTACCTTGGGCCGAGTGTCTTGGGGTGCCTGTTTCTTTCTCTGGAGGAGAATGCACGAGACCCTAATAAAAAGCCCAAGTGATAAAATACACCTGTTTCCCATCAAATCAGCCTTCAACAAATCGTCTTCCCCCTCCCCCATCACATCATCACATGCATTATTTAATTTGTTTGAGATGGAGTGCATTTCACAGGATGTATAAATCCATGGAAATTTATTAAGTCTTGACAAGAGTTATTGAATGTTATATTAAGTTTCTCAAATTGGCCAGTGTTGGATGGCTTAAACATTATTCATTAATGCATAACATTAAATACCAATAAATTGCATGGTGTAGTTATGAACTATCCTTGAAAGTCATTAAATATGCATATCAGGCAATAAATCTATTCTCTGCTATGAATCTGTTCTGAATCATGGCGAGTTAGGGCTTAGGTGGTGATGGTAATGGGGGTGGGGCTAGGCCCTCATTGAGTGTCACTAGGACCTCAGTGGGTGCATGGGAAATAGAGGCCAGTTGCTTTCCATTTCCATCATTCCTGCTGATGAAATGGGAAGGAGGCTAAATAAGGCAGACCCACTAGGTTTATAATGTTAATCAAAAGAGCAAAAACCTGAAAGCTGGAGACATGTGGGTGACAGTTTCTGCTCCAAAATGGTACGTTCTGGAGTCATCGCCTGTATCACCACCAGTTGCCAAGATAACGGCTGCCATTTATTGAGGGTCCACACTTTTTCAAAAATTAGCTTTTCAAAAGTTAACTTTTCAAAAATTAGCTCACTGGATCCTTCCACACACTTGGAAGGTATGTGCTATTACTCCTGTGACAGTGGTCCAGTAACCTTCCCACGTTACTGCCTGATTCCAAAACTTCTCCTCGTTCTATGACCCCTGCACTGTCTCTATCCCCGAACCCACCTCCGTGATAGACCTTTCGAGGCAGAGGGACATTAGCACTCATCTGTCTCTGAGAGCGGTCACAGCAACAGCAATTAGTCGGGGTGCCCAGCCTCAGCTGTCCTGGCTGTTGAAGATGGCTCATGCTAATGGGCTGGGGCTTGGATAGTTCTGTTGTTACATATTTTGGGTTGCATCCAGGGTTGTAATTTAGTCTCATCCCACATTCCTCCAGTGGCGGGGGACTTACTGCCTCCCTAGACCCACTGGCTGACTGCTTGGCTTATTAGAGAGTCTCATCTCTTAACCTGTGCAGGGGGTTAGGGAATTTGTCATTCTCCACATGTATTCTCCAGTTGGCCACCAGAGGGCAGGGTGTCCCTGGGATGGGGGAGACCAATGGACCCTTGAGGCATGGGTTCTAGGGCTTTCTTTGCTATTGAAAATCTCCATGGTTTCAGGCAGGCCACCCCTCCTGGGTTCCATCTTAGTAAAATGAGGGTGCTGGCCTGGACAACCTCTGCAGTGCACCCCAACCTGGGGAGGTCTTGAGGCTGCTTGTAAAGGGAGTGCCTGTGAGACGAGGTCTCTTGGGGATGCAGAGTCAGAAAACCTCACCAGCTGTGTGATCTTGGGCATGTCACCTGGCCTTTTTTGGATCTGCTTAGCCCTTGGCAGCTGTTCATCCTTTTCTGGTCCTGGCCTCGGTGTTGTGGTGGGATGGGCTGGGGAAGACGACCTGCATCCATGGCATGCACGCTCAGCAGGGACCACCTCCTGCATCTACACAGATGGCCTTGGTTCAGTGTAGCCCCCCAGCCCACTGGGGCTCAGGCAGCCAGATGTTTTCTTTCAGGGAGGCCACATCGCTATTGGAGGATTGCAAGTAAAATCCTAGGTAGCCTGCTCTGAGAGAGAGAGAGAGACAGAGAGAGAGAGAGAGAGAGAGAGACAGGCGAGGTAGCCTAGTGATATGGAAGCCACTGAACCACTTCCATGGCTTTGTGACATCCATTCATCCAGAAATGAGACACAGTGGCTGCCTCATTGTCTTCCTGGATCACGGACTTTGTACTCTTGAACGTGGAGACTGTCTTTCTCACCCTCCTGTGACCATCGTTTGGCACATAGCAGACACCTGGTAACCATGTGTTGTCCAAATGATTGCAGGCCTCCGTGCACAGGGAGCCCTAACACCACCCGGGGGGCGCAGAGGGACAGGCACCTGCAGGCGTATCTGGTTCTCAGGTCCTGTCCTGCAAATGGGGACTGGATGAGCTGCTGTCTGCATGCCTCCGGGTCTCTGGGAGCTGGTCTTCCCGGTGGCAGCTTTCCCTTCATTGAGCTTCCACCATGACATGGGGTCAGATGCCCATGGCAGGGGAAGGAAGGAGGACCCTGCTGGGGTCTTGGGTGGGCTTGTTTACAATCAGTCACTCATTCAACAAATAGACTTTTCTGCTAATGACCCCACTAAACCCTCCCACAACATGGTGGCGAGGTTGGGGGGGGGCACTTTTTTTTTTTCTTGAGATGGAGTCTTGCTCTGTCACCCAGGCTGGAGTGCAGTGGCACGATCTCGGCTCACTGCAAGCTCCACCTCCCGGGTTCATGCCATTCTCCTGCCTCAGCCTCCCAAGTAGCTGGGACTACAGGCGCCCGCCATTGCGCCCAGCTAATTTTTTTTGTATTTTTAGTAGAGACAGGGTTTCACCTTGTTAGCCAGTATGGTCTCGATCTCCTGATCTCGTGATCTGCCCGTCTCGGCCTCCCAAAGTGCTGGGATTACAGGCGTGAGCCACTGCGTGGTGGGCGCTTTTGATACCTCCGTGTTCCCATGAGGGAGGCTTGGAGATTGAGTGAATTGACCAAGTGTCAGAGCAGAATCTGAACCCAAGTCTCCCTACAGAATGTGGTGGAAGTGGCCAGGCCTAAGCAGACACAGTGTGACTCGGCCTTGCGGTCAGCTGGGCTGAGCTGGGATTTGAATTCTGGCCTCCCAGCCCCCTGCCAGTGCTGCTGTAATGGGGCTTTGTTTCCCCTTTAATTGAAAATCTCACTGGGACAGATGTCTCCATTTCCTCCAGCCCAGAGAGGAGTCACACAAATCCGCGAGACCACACGCGTTGTGCAGTGGCGTGGGCCCCAGCAGAGGTGTAATTTTCCTTCTTTCAGCCGTGTGCCCAGGGCAGGTGGTGGGCGAGGGCATGGAAACTCTCGCAGTGGGCAAGCACGTGGCTCTGGCTAGCTCGGAGGACCAAAGGCGGCTCTTGGCTGTTGTTTGCTTTGTAGGGCAGTGCACCTGCACCTGCCTTTAGGCGCGCTGGGGAGGACACTGGACTTGTTTTGATTGGTGGGCAGCAGCTGGCCTCAATGCACTGTGTTCTTTGCTTGGAGAAGTCGCTCGAAGCCTCCTGAAGGCTGGGTGATGGGGGAGCAGCCTGGGATGGTGCCACCCACACTCCCCCTGCCGGGGCAGCCAAGGGATCGTTGGCTGCAGGAGGGTGCTAGTTCCTCTCAGGTTCCCCATTGCTATCAGCACAACTGCCAGAGCTTTGTCTGGGTCCTGCAAGTACTGGGAGCATCAGGGCAGCAAGGACTGTGTTCCGGAGAGAGAAACCGAGGCCTCTAGGAGAGATAGGCAGCTCCCGAAGGTCACCTGCCAGCAAGGGGCAGAGGTGGGATTTGAAACCAGATGTTCTTTTTAAAAAAAAGCTTGGTAAAATATACATCACATGAGATTTATCATTTTAACCATTTGTAAGTGTACAATTCAATGGCATTAAGCACATCCATGTTGTCATGCAAGCATCATCATCATCCGTCTACAGAACCTTTTCACCTTCCCCGGCTGAAATCTGCACCTGCTGAACACCAACTGCCATCCCCCAGGAGCCCAGGAGTTCCCACCTCGAGCTCTGTGCGCTTCCTTCACTACTTGCCACATTGGCATCTTTTTCTATGGAAGCACCTCCTGGAGAAGAAGGAGAACCTCACTGGGGTAACTTTTCTTGGCAGGAGGGAGAGGGTGAGAATGAAGACAAATATGAGAGAGTTTTCCAGGTGGCCTGAGTGTTTGTTAACCCAGCCTCTCACTGTCACCTCTTCCTCACCAAGCTGGGAGTGGGGATGAAATAAAAAATTACTTTTCCTGCAAAAAGATATGGCTCAGTATGTGGCTGAGCTGCCTGGGAACTAGAGTCTGGCAGGGTCCGTGGCCCAGGCTTAGGATTGGTCAGGGAGATGGTAGCCTTTCTGGGGAGCATCTGCCTCCCTCTGAGCGGGTGGTTTCAACTCTGTTGCCCTCACCTGGTTTGGAAGGAAACTCAGGAGAGAATTAGCTGGCAATGGTCTCACTGTGACTGTGGCCAAGGTGCTCTTCACCTGTCTTCCCACCAGGCACAGGCCCTCTCAGGTGCAGCATATTTTACTCTAATTCCCGGCTTATTCACTAAAGCCAGAAATGCCCAGTGCTCTGTTCGCTTACAGCTAACATGTGGGAGCCCACCAGCATCTCCTGAGCCCAGCAAGCTGCCAAGTACCTCCTGGGGTACTTACTCTTCCTCCCCCACCATCTCCTCACAGAGCCAACTGAGAGAGAATGACAAGAGATCACTGGACCAATGGAAAAATACATATTTGAACTAGCTTTATCATTCATTTCCTGTGTGATCTTAAGCAAATGGCTTAGCCTCTCTGGACTTTAATTTCCCACTTAAAAAAAAACTGGAATGATAATAACATCCAGAAAAATGAAGTCATTTAGAAAGTATCTATGCACTGTGCTAACAAGAAGCAGACACTCAAGAAATAGCAATAGTGGACAGGTGTGGTGGCTCACGCCTGTAATTCCAACACTTTGAGAGGGTGAAGTGGGTGGATTGCTTGAGCTCATGAGTTCACGACCAGCCTGGGCAACATGGTGAAACCCCGTTTCTACAACAAAAAACACAAAAAATTAGCTGGGCCTGGTGGCATGCGCCTGTAGTCCCAGCTACTTGGGAGACTGAGGTGGAGGATCCTTTGAGCCCCGGAGGTGGAGGTTGTGCAGTGAGCTGAGACGGTTCCACTGCACTCCGGCCTGGGCAACAGGGACTTTTAAAAAAAAGAAAAAGAAAGAGAGAAAGAGAGAAAGAGAGAAAGAAAGAAAGATCAGTAGCCTTACGCTTTCCCTGAGCATCAGTTTTCTTATGTATAAAACGGGGATAAAATAGGTTTCAGAGGGTGGTTGGGAAGATTGAATGAAAGAATGTATGGGAAAGACTGGCTGGTGCACACGGAGCTCTCAGATAATATCACTCTCTCCTTACTTCTCAGGTTGGGGTCCAGGGGCCAGGGAACCCATGGAACCCATTTAGGGGAACCCCTTGCAGGTTTTCAGGGCAGTGGGCATTTTGATGACTGACCTTGGAGGAATGGCCAGTGTGGCATTTTCTCTCTGTCCAACTAAGACACTGGGACATATATGACCCATTAGTGATGGGTTATTTTAAATTCTCAGCTCATAACATGGGCCAAGCTCACTCTTTCAAAATAGATGTTTCATCAATTCCTCTTAATTAAAACTCTAGTCCTATAATGCGTGTTCTCAGGGAACATTCTGAATCATCTTCAATAATAACTCCACTCTTGAAGAGGCTAATCGTAAGCCTCGTCTATCAAGAAACCAGAAACAGCAAAGTCCTACTGAATGGGCAAACTAAATGTCCCAAACACCATGAACAGTTCATGAATGGTCCTCCCAGAGGCAGGCCAGGCTTTCCCTTACAACCTGTGCACAGGACTCTTGGTATAGCTCTTTAAAAAAATGTTTTCATTATCGTAAAATATACACAGTATAAAATTGACCATTTTAACCGATTTTAAGTGTGCGGTTCTGTGGCATTAAGTACATCTACACTGTTGTGTAATCATCACCACCATCCATCTCCAGATGTCTTATTATCTTGCAAAATTGAAATTCTGTACCCACTAAACAATGACTCCCCAGTCCCCACTTTTCCCCAGCCCCTGGCAAGCCTGTTCTACTTTGTCTGTGAATGTGACTCCTCTGAATAGCTCACATAAGTGGGATCATACAGTATTCGTCCTTTTGTGACTGGCTTATTTCACTCAGCATGATGCCCTCAAGGTCTACCCATGTTGTAGCTCATGTCAGAAATCCCTCCTTTTAATGTGCAATACGATTCCATGATAAGGATTTTGCTCAGCCATCCATTCTTCAGTCGGGAGTGCCCATTAGCAAGCTTGTTCGTTCCTGGCTTGCTGACTCATCCCAAGACCATACACTGATAAGCAGCAGCCTTTGGAGTTTACAGAATGCTTGCACATATCTGTCCTTTCCATTTTGAATCAGCTCAGCAGGAAAGAATTGGTAATTGCCGATGGTCAGTAATTGGCAAAGCAGACACTGAAACACTGGTCTGACATCAAACCCCGAATTTCATGTTGTTTTTTTCCTAGAGAGCTCTGTTCTGTTTAGGCTGGGCTGATAATCAAAATAGAACCTAGAGTCAAATAAAAAACGAGGTCACCCCGAGGCCCCAGCTGGGCCCGGATGAACCCCCAAGCAGTCGGGGTCGGAAGGCACTCAGGGTGTTCCAGCCAGAGGCGATTGGCACTCGCAACAGAAATATTTAACAACAGGTCCGAGATACTGATGCATTCAACTGAATGTCACTTCTGGGGCTAGGGTCCAGTGGGATTGATCGGAGGTGGAGGGAAAGAGCTGTGGCAAGGAGATGAGACTAAAAAATCCATTTTTGGAAATCAACAATAAATTTGACCCCAAGAAAAATTTCCTTTATTGTATATGACACCTACTGCAACAAGCAACACACATTATCTGAATGGGTGAGTTCCTCATTCCCACAGTGGGCTCCATGGTGGCCCAAGATCTGAGCAAGAGGACGAGGTGGTGGGTGGCCAGCGTCCCCTGCCTCCTTTGTGTGCAGAGCCCACATCCGTCCTCTCTTTGGGACTTTAGTGTCCCCATTGGCAAGAGGGGATATTTCCATGGTCCTGAGAAAATGGTACAAAAAGTGAAGGTAGTTAGGACCGCTGGGCAGGGCCAAACCACTGATTGGCCTCAGGTAAGTTGCTCAACTTCTCTGGGCCTAAGTTTCTTCCCCTAGAGGAAGGGTTGGTCTCCTTTAGTTTTCATGTTCTGTGATCCCTCTGGAATATTGATCCCTACTCAACTCCAAAGTGTATGGAGGCTGCTCGTAATTTTATTTTTTTATTTCAAATTAAATTAAATTAAATTAAATTAATTAATTACTTTTCGAGATGGAGTCTCGCTCTGTCACCCAGGCTGGAGTGCAGTGGTGCGATCTTGGCTCACTGCAAGCTCCGCCTCCTGGGTTCACGCCATTCTCCTGCCTCAGCCTCCCGAGTAGCCGGGACTACAGGTGCCCGCCACCACACCTGGCTAATTTTTTGTATTTTTAGTAGAGGTGGAGTTTCGCCGTGTTAGCCAGGATGATCTTGATCTCCTGACCTCGTGATCCGCCCACCTCGGCCTCCCAAAGTGCTGGGATTACAGGCGTGAGCCACCGTGCCCGGCGCTGCTTGTAATTTTAAAACACACAAGAACAGGAAACTGAAAAGAATACAGAATTTTTAAAAACCCCAAGCAGAAGAGGTCAAAGAATAGACACGCCAGGTTCCTAAGTTGAATGTGACTGCAGTTGAACACTCAGTTTATTTCTGAGCTTCCTGGCAGCTGAGACAAAAAGGGAAACATGTTATATTTTCTGATAAAAGGGTGCTTCAGATTCTCCTTAGGAGAGAGACCTCTTCCTGGCACTGGAATCTATTACAGTCTTCATATCAAAGGCAGAAAAAACAATGTCTGGCTGAAATTTTGTTAATGATACAGAGGTTTTTTTTTTTTTTTTTAAGGATCCTTTTCATTTTGCTCCTTTATAAAATCTAAGGGCAAAAATATTACATTTTATCCCAGTAAAGGTAGTTCTCTAGTTAAAATAATTTAGTCTATGTATGTTACAGACAAAACTGAGGCCCAATAAATGCTTAATGAATTAACAATCCACCCTGATGAGGAAAAACACTGAGAATCACAGGAATGAACAGTTGAGACACTGTGTCTTGCAAAGGAAGACATCTCAATGTCTTCCTCATTGAGATCAGACATCTCAATGAGGCTGGGGCATTTCTGGGCTGTGACAGTTTCATGTGCAGATCCTCCAAGGAGTGCTTGTTGTGTTATTGAGACCTTGTGTCTTGGTGCTTAGGACAGTGCCAGTCACATGGTGGAGAATAAATATTCACAGTATCATATGTTAGGTTCCAGACACAGAGAATTAAGATCAGAAAGGATCCAAGAAAATGTTTGGTCCAGTGCCCTCATTGGACAGGTGATGATGCAGAGGGCTGTCGCGACCTCAGTACCCATCCCCTAGGCCACCACTCTGCCAAGACCTGGTACCCTGTCCTCTTGGATGGCAGATATGTCTGTACAGTTGAAGAACTGGGTCTGTCTTCCCTCGCCTCCAGAGAACACATGCAAAGGTGTGGTGATGCACTGAGTTATGGGGTCCCGGAGCACAGAGAGCAGCCAGAGGCATCTGACCAGAGCCCAACAGCCCACTCCTGCGAGAGGTGACAGCCCAGTGAAATCGTTCACAAGTGCCACCCATCTGTGGCGAGCATTTGGGGCTCCGACTTATCACCTGAGCAGGGTGAACTTGGCAGGGTCTGTGGGCCTCTGGGGTCAGCATGGGGTTTCGGTAGAGACCCCACATGGGAGCTTAGAGGAGCATTTGCCTGTTCCTCACATGGGTGAGAGGCGGGACGGCAGCATATCCCATCTTCGGGCTGCACTGCAAATAAACCACCCCAGGCAGGTGAGCGTCAGGCTTGGCAGGAAGCTCTCTTGGGACATCAGCTTCTTCCATATACTGTGGCCTCCTGGCTAGGGGCAGGGCTGCAGCCTCCAGCTCAGCCCCAGTGGGTGGGGGGCTCCTGTTTCCATCTTTCACGTTCAGTCCTTGTTAAAGAACGTTACTCAGTGTTTGTCTCTAGGCTGTGCTCCAACAGTTCCTCTGGCCTTTCAGGATGACTGTCCCACCAGCCCGTGATTCTGTTTTAGGTCTTCCTTTGGGCTTACTCCGCATTCTCTTGATTTCCCCTTAAGCTGTGTGTTCTGGCCAGGGATGCCTGCATAGGACACGTACCTACATTTCCCATGTCCTGTTGGCTCACAGGGAGATCTTGTATCTACTAATATGTAGAATCAAATCCATCATCTTTAATTAAATCTATTCCTGGACAGTCCTTTTCCCGGAGTTCCTTTGGATACCACTGGGTGACATCCTCAACCAGATCTAACTTGATCTGAGACTATTGGAGCATAATTTCTAAAAGTCTGGACAGCCTCCAAAGCAACACGGTGGGTGGCAAGCTGGCAGTTTATGGGTGTGGTGGAGAGTTTCAGGAACCATGCATCTAAGTTGGAGTTTCTCAAAGTGGCAGCTAAGAGCACCTGCTTCAGGATCCCTGCAGTGCTTGTAAAAAATACCGGTTCTCAGGCTCAACCTCTGACCCAGGAAATAAGAATTTCTAGGGGCGGTTTTTGACAATCAGGATTTTTGTCACACAAGACTGTGATTCTGGCGCACTCAAGTTTAGGACCCTCTGCTCCAGTTTCCTAAGGAAATTTCTGACAATTTTAGTTCTTATTTTGCCCTTTCTTGAACTTTAACTTTTAGGTGGAAAATAGGCCTTCATTGAACATACTAAATTGGAAGTTAGGAATAAAAGGATAGCCACTCCTGTTACTGAGAGGGCAGACTGCTGGAGCGGCTGTCAGCTGTTCAGAGCGGGCAGGTGGCTCCCCAGTCCCAGAGCCCCTGGACTGCCCGAGCCCTGTGCCCAGAAATCTTTCTCATTTTCCTCCTTCTATTTTCCTCTTTCTTCTCTGTTCTTCCTCAAAGTCCCGTATTTTCTTTTCCTTATACTCCACCAACTCTTTCTCTTTCTCCTCCTGGTGGTTTTATCCGATGGGGTCAGGTAGGAGAGAGGGAATGCTCCTGAGCTGACAACTGGGGAGAAGGTAATACAGTGGTGGGCAGAGTGTGGGCAAACACCGAGGACTGGTGTCATCCCCTGGAGCTAGGAACAAACACCCTAGGCCTGGAGGACAGGAGGAGGGAGGGTCACTGCAATCCAGAATGAGTTCTGCAGAGGAGCCCACGACACTGTCTCAACTCAACCGAAGGGGGCCATAGGCCAGCCCTGAGGGCACAAAGCTGGGGAGAGCACCTGGAGGGAAATGGAAGATTCCAGTCCCACAGGGAAGGGAAAGAGACACACATTCTACTGATTCATTTAACTTATTAAGATGCTAACTTCTCTGTTCTCTAATTTTTTAAATGGGTGAGCCGAGTCCAATCTGCAGAGGCACTTTTCTCTTTGGTAGAGAGAGAAGTGGGGGCAGCTGACGGAGGACGGAGGGGAACCTGGGAGGCCTAGGAGCGGTGGGAGATCCGGTTCAAACACCAGCACAGACCGGATGCAAGGCCAGGAATGGAGAGGCGACTCCCACCTGCCTGAGCTCCAGGATCCAGGGGGACAGACCCTGGGTACCAGGGGGAGCAGCAACAGGCCCCTCGCTCACAGGAAAGGCTGGGGGGTGCTGCAGGGCCTCTGCATGTCCACAGGTGGCCCCTGAGCCCGGAGGGCGCCGAGTGAGGGCTGAGGGGCCGAGGTATCCATCTGGGCTCTGATGGAATCTCCTAGGGCTCTGGGGTTCTGTCCAGTGCAGAGCCGAGGCAGCCTGGAAACTGTCCTCCTGCTCTCTAGCGCATCCTCAGGGTGAGCTCTCTGACTTCAGTGGGCTTGTCCCACCTGCACCCACCACCTAAGGCCTCACCCCACCCGCCAGGAGCAGGAGCCTCCTGGAAAACAAATGCAGAGACCAGCTCCAGCACGTCGCTGTAGGTCCTTTGCCCTGCTTTCTTGCTGCTGAATGCAGAGGCTGGCACCGGCAAGTTGCTGCAGACCCTCTGCCCTGTTTCCTTGCTGCTCCAGGACAACCCTCCCCACCTCTTGTTACCTTGCCCACTTCCTGTGATCAGAGCCTGGCCTCCAGCTCCAGGGCTGGGCACTCTGGTGTCAGTCCATTGCCCCAGACCAGGCACCCCACGCCCCCCGACCTCTGCCTCAGTGCTGCCTGCACTGTCCACCTGGTCTTGGCTCCTGTACAGCCTCTTCGGGCAGCCCCAGCCTTTCCAGCTCCCACCTCCTGGCATAGCCCCCAAGAAACATCAGACCCAGGGGCCAGGCAGTTAAGAAGGGCTAGAGAGAGGGCACTGAGGCTTTCTGGGAGGTGTGGGAGTTTCCCACAGCAGCTTATCACGCCCCTACAGTGAAGCAACTCAGGTGTCATCTCACTGGATCCCACAGTTGCCATAGGAGGGATGTGTTGTTGCCTAGTTTACATAGTGAACCGCTTTCACAAATGAGTAAACTGAGCCCCAGAGAAGATGAATGCTTTTCTCATAGATTGCACTGCCAGTGAGTATGGGCAGGAGGGGTCTCTATATCCGAGGATCACGCACTGTCATGCAGACCTATGACGCAGGGATCTTGTTGGAATGCGGGCTGACTCAGCAGATGCAGGGGTGCAGCCTCTGCGTTGCTAACCAGCTCCCGGAAGATGCTGGTATCTCTGCTTCCGAGACCACACTTTGAGTAGTGAGGCTCTAGACCCATGGTTCTCAAGCTTCGTAATTGCCTGGGGAGATTGAAAGATGACTGAGGCTAAGACCTAGCCCCAGAGATCAGAGTGCCACCTGTTTACTGGAAGGGCTCGTCAGGTGATTCTCACAGGTGGCCAAGGTTTAGACCACGGCTTCTCAGACGTCAGTGCGCCCCAGGATCCCCTGGAGGGTTTGTTAAAACCTGGTTTCCTGGGCCCCATCCCCAGAGACCCTATTCTAGAGGTCTGAGGGCAGGGTCTGAGAACTTGCATTTTTATTTTTATTTATGTATTTATTTATTTATTTTTGAGACAGAGTCTCACTCTGTGGTCCAGGCTGGAGTGTAGTGGTGCGATCTCAGCTCACTGCAAGCTCCGCCTCCTGGGTTCACGCCATTCTTCTGCCTCAGCCTCCCGTGTAGCTGGGACTACAGGTGCCCACCACCACGCCAGGCTAATTTTTTTGTATTTTTAGTAGAGACGGGGTTTCACCATGTTGGCTAGGATGGTCTCGATCTCCTGACCTCGTGATCCGCCCGCCTGCCTTGGCCTCCCAAAGTGCTGGGATTACAGGCGTGAGCCACCATGCCCGGCCTAACTTGCGTTTTTAATACATTTCTCGGTGATGCTAATGGTGATGGTACAGGCACTGTGTTCTGAGTGGGAAGGCTGTATACACCAGTGGCTCCCAAGGGTGGTCCATGGACCAGCGGCATCAGCATCACTTGGGAACTTGTTAGAAATGGAAATTCCTGGGCCCTACCCTCGACATACTGAATGAGAAACTCTGTGTTTCTTAGTCAGTGTTTCAGCAATCCTCCCACTCAAGTAGTCCGGATGTACCCGAGGTTTGAGAACCGCTGCTGTGCACCTGGCACGGTTGCTGTGTTTTAGCAATCCTCCTCCCCACCCAAGTTATCTGGATGTACCCGAGGTTTGAGAACCGCTGCTCTAGGCCTGGCATGGTTGCACCTCAGAAGGATCCCAGCTCAGTCTTCTCAGCCCAGGCTGGAAGGTGAATTTGATGCCCTTGAGGAATCCTAGAGTTTGGGAGGTTGAAGGCCGTTTTTTGGTTCCCAGGGGACCAGGTGGCCCACACCTGCTGGGTGTGAGACAGGAATGATGTGGACTCGGCCCGGGCCAGATGAATCATGAGCTCCTCTCCGTTGTGTGAACGGTCGGAAGCAAGAACATCTGTTCAATCGTTCTCACTTTCGTATTTTGTGCGGAGTAAGAGTTAAACTGCCAAATCCCGTCAGACAGCCGTCTGTTGCCCCGGTAACACCCTGCAGCTGCCGGAAAGAGAGAGATGGCGCTTCCGGGCACCAAGCCTTCATTCTCCCAAGTCTCAAGCGAGCTGTTTGGTGCCTTGGTTTTCTGTCTGGAAAGAGGGGAATCGGGAGCCCGTCCCACAGGCCCCCTGCGTGCCTTAGCAGCTCATGTACGATGAGTATGTACCGAGAATGTTCTTGTGTTCCTCCTCCCTGCATTTATGCAGCAAAATGTTCTCTGCGCACGAGGTGCCATGCTAGGTGCAGCAGTCAGCAGCAAACCAGGCAGACAGCTGCCTCTAGGCTGTGTCTTGAGTGGGAAAGTCTGTGGGGCCCCCAGATCCCTGGGGGACCGTGGTGCTCGGAGGAGCCTTCCACCGTTGCTCCCGCATCTCTGTAGTGAGAGGATCGAGGGCACGTGCCCTGCTTGCATCCATGCCCGTAGGGCTGATGTGCTTGCCAGAGCTCAGATGAGCCGAACTGGGAAGGAAATGGGCTTTCTCAGAACTGGCAAGGAAGGACTTAAGAAGGACGTGTGTCCACAGGACCCAGGGGACCCGCCATCCATGAGGCCAGAGCTTGCTGGTGTTCAGGTTCTGGGGCCTTGGCAATATGGTTTCCTAAGCTGAGAGCCCAACAAGCAGGCTTGTGGTCCAGTCCAGTTGGTGGCCCTTGGCCTGTCCCTTTAAGAGAGAGGAAAGGGAAGGCGATGTAAAGAGGAGGGTTGGATCCCTAGTGGAGGAAGCCTGTAAACACACCTGCACGGGGATGTGGATTCTGGGTTTAACAGCGCCCTGGAGCGCTGGCCGGGGAAACTAAGTCCGAATGCAGTTCTCACAGACGTGGGCTATGTCAGGGGAAAGGGCTTTAGAGGATGCTGCAGGTTTAAGCCCAGGACTCATTCCGTGTGCAGTGAGAGCAGGTCTGGCAGCGCGAGTGGGCCCAGCTGCAGCTGCTGGGGAAATCAAGGGATGAGGGGCCCCTGCCCTGACCAGGTGACTCCAGGGTGGGCAGGCAAGATCCCGCGGGTGAGGTCATGTAACTCTGCCAGGAACGGCGGGGACAGGCAGGTGCTGATTGTTGGGAGGACCTCAGGGGGCAGCTTCATTTTTATTTTCAAGACCAGGATGTTGTCCAAATGCCCCATTAAGGTTGAGATGCCATTTTCGCTGACTGAAGTGACCCCAATATGCTCTGGGTGAATTGGGCTCCCCTTGGAGAATGATGTGTGTCATGGTTGTTTCAAGTGCTGAATGTGGGAAATCTGGGTTCCTGCCACTGAGGAACGTCACTTGTGAGTGGTTCGGAGCCTCCAGGTCTAAGCTCCAGCCCAAAGAAGGCTCCATGTCATCAGGACAGCCCCGAGGGGTTCAACCTGCTCCATTTTGCAAAACTGAGCAAACAGGTGTCCTAGAAGGTGTCCTAGAAGCCCCAGGGAAGCGTGGGGGTATTGGGTTTTTAGAACCAACCATTCATTTCTCCCACAACCACAGTCCAATCAAGGTCTTCCCCCAGGATACAGGAGAAGCTCAGGCAGCCCCTGCCCTGGGGAGGTAGGTCAGGGGAGTAAATGCAAGACAGGACCCCAGGAGAAGATTCTCAGAGCTGAACAGCCCATTTGAGGCACAAGATCTTGAGTGGTAGGTACTCTGTGTTGGTGGCCCAGGGCTGAGAGGCTGATGTGCAGTCCCTGCCACCACCCTCTGCGGTAGGGATTATGTTGCCCATTTTATAGACTTAGAAATGAAGGCTCAGGGCAGTGAATTAACTTGCCTAGTGGCACTCAGCTGTGAGCTGGGATTTGAATCCAGGACTGACCCCAGTTCATGCAGTGTTCACATCATTCATTCGTTCAGCAACTACTTAGGAAGGGCCTTCTTGTCTGGGTACCTGGAATCTCAGCACTTTGGGAGGCTGAGGTGGGAGGATTGCTTGAATCCAGGGGTTCAAGACCAGCCTGAGAAGCATAGGAAGAGCCTGTCTCTACAAAACAATTAAAATTAGCCAGGCATGATGGCATTTACCTGTGGTCCCAGCTACAGGTTGGGAGGCTGAGGTGGGAGGATTGCTTGAGCCTGGGAGGTCGAGGATGCAGTGCTCCATGACCATACCGTGGCACTCCAGCCTGGGTGACAGAGTGAGACTCGATCTCAAAAAAAAAAAAAGGAAGGGTCTTCTTTGTGTCAGGCCCTGTTCGAGGCACTGTGGATTCACTCTGAGCAAAAATTCCTGCCCGGATTGTCTGGTCATCCCAGTGACAGCAGGAAGACTGGAGGCAGGTATCGAAGCAAAGCCGTGTCTAGGGATATCCATGGAAATGGCTATGGAAAAAAGTACAGCAGATAAGGGGAGGTGGAACATTTGGAGCAGGGCTGCTCTTTTAAACAGGGTGGTCGAGAAAGGCCTCGCTGACACACTGACGTTTGAACAGAGGGGATTGCCAGTGCCAAGGCCCTGAGGCAGAGCCAGTCAGAGCCGACAGCTGCCGGTGTGGCTGCAGCCACATGAGCAGGAGTTTGTGGTGGAGAAGGCCAGCGGGGAAGTGGGGCCTGTGTCAAGACTGTGGCTTGGACTCTGAACTGGCTGCCCCTGGAAGCGCCGAGAGAGGAGAAGCGGGATGTGCTTGGTCTGGCGCTGTTGGGCGTTCAGTCTGCTGACTGCAGGGGTGCCGGGCAGGAGCCAGGGAACCAGAAATGATCGAAGGACAGGCTCAAAAGATAGTCACTATTTAGAGATTCAAAAAGGGGCCACAACTGGGATCCTATCCAGCTTCAAAAACAGATGAACCAGTCCAGGTGCGATGGCTCATGCCTGTAATCTCAGCACTTTGGGAGGCCGAGGCGGGTGGATTACCTGAGGTCAGGAGTTCGAGACCAGCCTGACCAATATGGTGAGACCCCATCTCTACTAAAAATAAAATTAGCCAGGTGTGGTGGCGGGGGCCTGTAATCCCAGCTACTTGGGAGGCTGAGGCAGGAGAATTGCTTGAACCCGGGAGACAGAGGTTGCAATGAGCTGAGATCACGCCATTGCACTCCAGGCTGGACAACAGAGTGAGACTCTGTCTCAAAAACAAAAAAAAACAAAACAAAAACCAGATGAACCAGAATATGAAACTAAACATGGAACAGAGAAGATAAGCAACATTGAACCAAGTTCCAAAAGTTGGAACTTCCTTACAAGTTCCAAAAGATGTAAGACATCGTAAATAAACAAAAATACATTTGAGCCTTCTGGCGGAAATCCTCCCTAGGCTGCAGCCCCGGGAAGAAGGAAGTCAAGTCCTACCTCTCAGAGCACCAGGGGACCTCCCTCTTGGGGTTCACTGCAGCCTGACTCCCAGCCCAGCATGGCAAATGGGGACTACGAGTCAGGGGCTTCAGAAATGTGGCACGATGGTGTCCCCCAAAGCTGGTTAGGGAACAGAGTTGTACTATGTGACTTGATAGCACCTCTATTGTATGATAATATTATGTTTTGGGGTTTTAGGGGAAGCATTTAAACCTACTTATGGTTTGCATTTTCTTACTTCTTTAAAAAGATTGAAAATAAGTCCCCTGTGTGCTTCTAGGAGGGGCCATTTCCTCCCACTCTGTCGCCCCCGCGGAAAGTCATGATTAGGCCAAGACACTTTTCATTGTACTTCAAAGAATAATGCACAGTAAGATCAGCATTTTAAGTGGAGAAGGTGCTTTCATGCCCTTCCCCCAAATAAAAGGGATAGCTTTTACTCTCAGAAAGGTGGTGTATAATAGCTATGCGTTTGTGTTGGATGAATACTAAATGCCCCACGTTATTGTCAATGAAACAATGATTCTTGGGCCTCTCAGGTGGTGGAAGGACCAGCCACTCTCACCGGGCTCCCTTCCTCCTGGCAACGTTCCCCTCGGAAGGCAGGTTCACTCCTGCCTGGCATAAGAACTGGACAACTGTGGGCAAATGAAGCGATGGAGGCTGCATGTTAAAAAGCTAAAAGGAGCAAACCAGAGTTCAGAATCTCATTTTTCCAGCTCCCTGGGCTGCAGTTGCCTGCCTCTCAGACCGTGCACAGTGTTGCCAGGAAGCTGGAGGTGTGCTGGGTCTGTGTTTGCCACCCATGTGGGTGGGACCACATGAAGGAGGTTCTGCCCAAAAAGATAGTCCTGAATTTCTCTTTGGGTTTCTTCATGTACTCATCAAGTGTGGACTGTGTGTTCACTCTGAGCCAAGGCTGGGCCTGGGTTCTGGCTTTCAGTGATTCCACCCCGACTCCTATTTCCCCAGCCGCCCCTAGCCAGCCTCTGAGGATGCCAGGCCCAAGCTCTGCCCAAAAGGCATTCTGCAGCGTTGTCAGTGTCTCTGGACTCACAGCTCCCACTGTCACTCAAGCCGCCACCTCCTCTTGCCTGGAATGATGCCAGTCAGCAACTGGCTGCCACATGGCCTCCAGCGTCCCGGCTGGTGGGCACACTAGAGCCGGAGGGATCTTCTTAATTGGTAAATTGGATCTTGCAGCTTCACTGTTTAAATCTTTTCAGTGGCTTCCCTTTGTACTTAGAAAAAAATGCAACTTCTTCTGCTGGGATTCATCCGCTCACAGCCTTCCCCTCCACCCTCTCTCTGCCTCATGCTCTGTCCCTGCCTGCCATGCCTCCGATACTCACCTTTTGTACCCCAGCACCCGTGCCCTCTGCCCCTCGATCTTTGCCTGGCTGGTTCCTCCTCACTCAGTGTTCAGGACAAATGCTCCTGGCCCTACCCCATCTAGCCAGTCTAGCCCGGTCTTCCCTGTCTTCCCTGTTTCATTCATGGCTCTTATTGTTTGTTTACTTGTGTGCTGTTGACTTTTAACTCTCTCAGTCCCCACTGGAATGCAAGCGATCTCCCAAGCTCCTAGAATTGTTCCTGCCTCTTCACAGGCCCTTACGCTGTGTGTGCTGCAGGAGTGAAAGGGTGATTAGATGAGGGAGTGAGAGGGAATGATACCTCCTGCCTTGGGAATGTGAGGCGCTGGCCTTGGTCTCAGACCTAAGGTTCTGATTCTCAGATTCTCCGTGACCCTGGACAAATCCTTTGTCCCAAAGCCTCAGTTTCCTTATCTGTAAATTGAGAATGATGCCCCTGTGGCTGGGCTGTGTTGAGGATCAAATAAGATAACTATGCAGAAGTGGCAGACAGCTGACCTAGAGTGGAAATTCGATGAGTTTTCATTTCTTCCTTTCTTGTGGAGGCGTGTGAATATTCCCTGATCAAAGGAAAGGCTTCCGTCTCTCTTACTTTAATCATTTTCCTCCCCCGGCCTTCAGAGTAAGCATGCATCTTGACCAGGAGACTGGGGCAGTCATCTGCCAGGGTAACGCTATGACCGTGCCTGATATTTATGGGTTAACGGGCTTGAGAGTTCCCTTGACATCCTGAAGTAGACTGTACCTCTGCTGTTCCTGACCCACCTGCTATACCTGCACCCACCTGCTATACCTGCACCTACCTGCTATACCTGTACCCACCTGCTATACCTGCACCCACCTGCTGTACCTGCACCTGCCTGCTATACCTGCACTCACCTGCTGTGTCTGAACTAACTGCCTAGGAAAAGACCTTTTTATGTTTTCCTGATTGGAAGAGATCTTTAATGGGGCAGTTTGAAGACTGAGTCATGGACAGGGCCAGGATTAGGGTGAGACACACAAGGTGCCAGGTGCAAATTTTAAGGAGGCCCCCCCCTGACCTTCAGGCTTTTGTAATCCCAGGAGCAACCCCTGAGTGTGAGTGCTGCCTTAAATCCTGCACTCTGGGCATTTCATTGCCTCACCGTAGTTCCAGCCCTGGTCACAGAAACTCATGTTTGGAAGGAGAACCACTTCCCACCCATTCTCAGACTCCTCCCAGAGGGTTCCTGCCATTGGAACACCAGAGGAAAGGGCGCAAGGTGGTGTCTGTTCTCAGAGGATTGTTCCTCTGTCTTTTCCAATACTGGATGCTCTGGACAGAATGTTTGTGTCCTGTGAAATTCATATATTGAAGGGTAACCCACAGTGGGATGGTGTTAGGTGGGGCCTTTGGGAAATCAAGGGTTTACATGAGGTCATGAAGGTGGGGCCTCAGCAACGGATTAGTGTCCATATAAGAAGACGAGGAGACACCAGCAAGCTTGTTCCCTCTCTCCACCACGTGAGGACACAGCAAGAAGGTGGCTGTCTGCAAGTAGGAAGAGAGCCCTCACCAGGAACCAAATCCACTGGCACCTTCATCTCAGACTTCCCAGACTCCAGAATTGTGAGAAATAAATATCCAGTGTTTAAGCCACCCAGGGGTATTTTGTTATAGCAACCAGAGCTGATTAAGATACTGGCCAAAACCAGTCTCCCTATAACATCTACCCATTTCTCCTATGCCCAGAGGTGGTCTCTGTGACCACCTGTGGGTCACAGAGAACCAGTGTCCCTTTCTACATGGCAAGCCGAGGGGACTCAGTTCCTCTCCCACTCCTGTGGTCTCCAGGCCAGGCCTCACCATAGAGTGGGGAGGGAGGGACACTGGAGAGATCCGGTGACCAGGAGAAGTTGTTCAGTGAAAGCCGCGTGAACTGTCATTATCTGTGCATGAGCTCAGTCCAGGGACCCCCAAAGCGAGCCAACACCCAAAGTGACCCAGGAGAGGTGGTCGCAACTCAGAGTGTCAGCGTCACACTCTGGTTACAGAAGCCCTGCAGGGTTTCCCCCGGTCTGTGGGCAGATTAAGCCATGTTCTCAGGCTTGATGCCTTCCTGTTGAAATGCAGCTGTAGCTTTTGCACAAAAGGTGAGACCCGCTGTCACCATAAAGCATCCAGGCCTTGCTGCTGCTCCCTCAGAGCTGGATAATGACTGTGATGACAATAATAGTTCCTAAGGCTTCTGTTCTGTTTCCTCTCTGCAGAAGTTCTGGAAGCTAAGTTGTACTTTCTCATCCAGTGATGAGCCCATCGTTTCTCTGTAGGACAGAGAAGGAGGAGTGAGTTGCTCCATTTTACAGTTGAGAAACTGCAGGCAAAAATGGCCACTGCCTCCATCAGCGGGCGGCCCAGGCTGAGTCCAGGCTCCTGCCTGTGTCTTCCTCTGTAAAAGGGGAATATTGGCTCCCATGGTGATCACACCCATTTCTACCCTGTCTTTTCTGACTTCTTTCCCTCATGGGTGCTGGCATGCCATGTCTCGGGTGATGAAAGCCTCCCAAACCACTAGCCTTGCCAGTGATATCCAGCTCTCAGGATGACCCCTGCCCTGAGTAGCTGGATGTGGGCCCTCCTGGGAGAATGGCAGCACCAACTGGGCAGCCCATTGTCACTATTGATTTCACCAAATGAAGCACAGTGAAAACGAAGATGAACATTCTAATCCCATAATCGCATTAGTGCCGGCTCTAAAGACTCACATGCTCCCCAAGCCCCAGCACTCAGGCCTCTGTTTCCCAGGCTCTTCACAGATGGCACACAGAGAACGTTCCTTCTGCAGATGACTTGGCTTGGTTGCCATCCAAACGGGAACTTGCATCTCATGGAAGGGCTGGCAGAGTCCATTTGAAGACTATTTTGAGATTCAGGGATTAGGTAAACAGCAATGAGAACTGTTCAGATTTTCCAGTCTGACACAAGTGAGGGAAACTGAGGCCCAGAGAGGGCAAGTGACTTACTGAAGATCACACAACACTAAAGTAGGCCAAGCCACTTTCCAGATCACGTGGGTTTCTTTTTCCTTTCAGTTCAGTAGATTTAGAAAGTACCAAAGTTTAATTACAAATCTAACTATAGTACACCAAGTTTTTTTTTTTAACACTTTGATTCAGTTTTTAAAAAATCACATTGGGGATCATTTTTAGATTCGATATTGTTGTTGGATCCTAACTTGGTTTAGTTCAAGTTTCTGGACCCAAACCAACATGATCTGTGTGGATTTCCCCACTCCCCAGTTTCGCTTGTTCTGAGGAGGGATGGAGAGGCCTATCCTGGGATGAGGAGAGGTCCCCCATTGGTGAGCCCCATTCCTCACTCCTGGATGGCCAGGAGGGATGGGGCCATGCTGCCCAGAGTGAGACTGGGCATCAGCGGCTCTTGGCAGGCGGAAGCTCCATCTGCCCTGCAGTCTCCTCTCATTTTCCTTCCTGTTGGTGACTGCGCCATCAGCATCCCAGGGTCTGCCTATCTGTCTCCTGGGAGCCTGCAAGACATTGATGTATCATCCCCAGTCACTGCATCTTGTCATTGCTGAGGGAGCAGGTGGGGAGAGGGGCACACCATGGGCCACAAGAGGCTCCCTGAGCTCTGTGGACCCCAGGGAGTAGAAGGGCCTGAAGGAAGGGAATGGGGTGTTCCAATGGTGACACGCCTGGAGTAGACTGTACTTGCATCCACCTGCTGTGCCTGAATCCGTTGCCTAGGAAAAGGCCTTTCTGTGCTTTCCTGATTGGAACACAGCTTGGATGGGGCAGGTTGAAGACTGAGTTATGGCTGGGCAAGGTGGCTCCTGCCTGGAATCCCAGCATTTCAGGAGGCCGAAGCTGGTGGATGATCTGAGGTCAGGAGTTCAAAACCAGCCTGGCCCACATGGTGAAACCCAATCTGTACTAAAAATACAAAAATTAAACGGGCATGGTGGCACGTGCCTGTAATCCCAGCTACTCGGGAGGCTGAAGCCTGAGAATTGCTTGAACCCAGGAGGCAGAGGTTGTAGCAATCCAAGATCACACCACTGCACTCAAGCCTGGGTGACACAGCAAGACTCCATCTCAAAAAAAAGAAAAAAATACTGAGTTATGGACAAGGCCAGGACTAGGGTAAGAAAAGCAAGGTGCCAGGGTACACATTTTAAGGAAGCTCTCACCTTTAGGGTTTTGAAGCCCAGAAGAGGAGAGAGGTCTTACCTGTATCTGAGAAGCTGAAGACAGATTAATCCCAGTTTCTAGTTCAATCCCCTTCTGTCCTCACTGGCCACAGCAGAGGTGCAAAGGGGCAGCCGGTCACTGTGCTGTGATTATTGGCTCCAGCCCTTTGAAACCATTGGCACGATGCTTCCCTTTGACATCCGCTGTTCTCCTAAAGGCAATGATGATGCTGGCACTCTCGGAAAGCCCCATGAGGGCTGTAGACTCCTGACTCCTGGATTTGGCCCTGAGCTGTCTTTCCAGTGGTATCTGAGTGCCATGCTTAGCGCTGTCCTCTCTGTCGATAATTGGCTGAGCTCCCAAGTTGAGGCCTGGGCCCTTCATCCTCTCCAGCCTCAGGGAAACTCTTGGCCTTCTTGGGGAACCTCTCTAAGGGGTAGGTGCAGTGCCTGCTTTGTATGGGGTGTTGGGCAGATCCTGCAGATGGGTCTCCAGGGCCCAGGGATAGACGCCTGGCAAGCCACTAGTGTCCACCCCCACCACATCCCGGGGCGCCTTTCAGATGGGCAGAAAGTAAAGGAAATGAAATGACCGTGATGACAACCGGAGTGAGGGAGGCCACAGAGGAAGGCTCCGCAAATTCACTTTTGAAGATCAGCCCTAGAAAACTGTAAGAGGAAGAGAGGGTCCCAGCTCCTTTCTGCCTACTTCCTCCTGGCAGCACTGGCCCCCAGGAGAGGACCTGTGAAGGGGAGCAGCAAGGTGGCAGGAGAAACGAAGGCTAGGGAGCCAGGAGCACTGGGCAGGCACATCCCTCTCAGGGCTCAGCCTTCTTCCTTTGTAAAGGGAAGACCTGGGTTCCTGCCCATTCTTCTCCATCTTTCTGTTGTCTTGCCCTCACCCTCTCACCGAGCAGCCACTCAGGGCCCTGAAGCCCAGGGCAACAAGGAATCGCCCCATGGCCACAGCTTCCCTCTCAGCATTTTGTCAAGGCAACATGACATTGAAATAAATACCCAGGGCTGCATGGGAAAAGGAAGTGTCCAGTGTGGGCCTGGATCTCATCCTACCTCTGTTACAGTGAGCCTCAGACAAGTTTCTCTACACACCAACTTCTTCTCTAGAAAGGGGAGACTCAGGCTAGCTCATTCCCATGTTTCTGGCATCTCTGTGGGTGTCTGGCAGGGAAAACAGAACCACATAGCTTGGGTTCACCTCCCAGCTCTGCTGTCTACTACTTGTGTGACCTTAGGCAAACTACTTGCCTCAGTTTCTTCATCTGTAAAATGGGACTATGAAGAATAATGTTACATGAGTTAATACATACGACCCACTTAGACCCATATCTGACTTAGAGTCCTCACTGCAGAAATGTTACCTTGAAAAGGCAGAGAGGCTGGATGTGGTGGTGAGCCCCTGCAATTCTAGCACTTTGGGAGGCCTACATGGGGGGATCACAAGAGCCCAAAAGTTCAAGGCTAGCCTGGATAACATAGTGACACTTTGTCTGTACAAAAAATAAAAAAATAAGAAAATTAGCTGGGCATGTCGGCACACACCTATAATCCCACTTATTCAGGAGGCTGAGGTGGGAGGATTTCTTGAGCCTGGGAGGTCAAGACTGCAGTGAGCAGCAATCATTGTAGGCTGTTCTTGCATTGCCATAATCACAAGTAGATATCCACATGCAAAAGAATGAAGCCGGGGGCTGGGTGCAGTGGCTCACACCTGTAATCCCAGCACTTTGGGAGGCCAAGGCTGACGGATCACTTGAGGTCAGGAG
This sequence comes from Homo sapiens, assembly GCF_000001405.40. Taxonomy (NCBI): domain Eukaryota; kingdom Metazoa; phylum Chordata; class Mammalia; order Primates; family Hominidae; genus Homo; species Homo sapiens. Next base: position 10,955,091 of record NC_000008.11, on the reverse strand, counting down.
TTCAAGACCAACCTGGCCAACATGGTGAAACCCCATCTCTACTAAAAATACAAAAATTAGCTGGGCATGGTGGCACATGCCTGTAATCCTAGCTACTCGGGAGACTGAGGCTGGAGAATCACTTGAACCCAGGAGGCAAAGATTGCAGTGAGCCAAGATTGCACCACTGCACTTCAGCCTGGGAGAAAAGAGTGAAACTCTGTCTAAAAAAAAAAAAAAAAAAAAGAGAATGAAGTTAGACCCTTACCTTACATCATACAAAAAAAAACAAGTCAAAATCATCATAGACCTAAATGTTAAAGCTAAAACTATACAACTCTTAGAAGAAAACATAGGCGTAAACCTTCATGACTTTGGATTAGGCAAAGCCTTCCTAGATATGACACCAAAAGCACAAATGACAAAAGAAAACATGGACAGATAAGACTTCATCAAAATTAAAAATTTCTGTGCTTCAGAGGACACCATCAGGAAAGTGAAAAGACAACCCATAGAATGAGAGAAAATATGTGTAAATCATGTGTTTGATTAAGGACTTGTATCCAGAATAAACAGAGAACTCCTACTCAATAATAAAGAGAAAACCCAATTAATAAATGGACAAAAGATTTCAATAGACATTTCTTCAAAGGAGATATATAAATGGCCACTAAGCACATGAAAAGACACTGAACATCATTAATCTTTAGGGAAATACAAATCAAAACCACACTGTGATACCACGTCACACCCACTTGGATGGCTAAAAACAAAAAGACAATAACAAGTGTTGACAAGGATGTGCAGAAATTGGAACGCTCATTGCATTGTTTGTGGGAATACAAAATGGTGCAGCCACGATGAAAAACAACTTGCTGGTTCCTCCAAAAAGTTAAACATAAAGTTACCATGTGACCCAGCAGTTCCACTACCATGTATATACCCAAGAGAATTGAAAACATATGTCCATATGAAAATTTGTAGATGAATGTTTATAGCAGCATTACTCATAATAGCCAAAAAGTGGAAACAACTCAAATGTCTATCAACTGATGAATGTGATAAACAAAATGTGGTATATACATATAATGGAACATTACTCAACAATAGAAAGGAATGAAGTACTGATGCATGCTACACTGTGGCTGAAACTTGAAACATGCTAAGTGAAAGAAGCCAGCCACAAAAGGCCATATATTGCATGATTCCATTTGTATGAAATGTCCAGAATAGGCTAATCCATAGAGACAGAAAGTAGACTAGCACTTGCCAGAGGCTGTGGTGGAATGGAAGAACAGGTAGCAGCTGCTTGTGAGTCCAGGATTTCTTTTGGGGGTAATGCAAATGTTCTGGGACTAGATGGTGGCGATGGTTGCACAACTCTGTGGAAGTACTGAAACCGGTGAATTATACATCTTAAAGGGGTAAATAAATACAGCTATTATCTAGATTCTTCCCACACTTGTAAAATAAGATGAATAGTGCCAGATCCACTGAATTGTTGCAGATTCAAATATAATAATGTAGGGCTGGGCAACATGGCAAGACCCCGTCTGTGTTAGGTCATTCTTGCATTGCTATGATGAAATACCTGAGACTAGGTAATTTATTAAGAAAAGAGATTTAATTGGCTCACAGTTCTACAGGCTGTACAGGAGGCATAACATGGGCATTTGCTTCTAGGGAGGCCTCAGAAGCTTACAGTCATGGTGGAAGGCCAAGGGGGAGCAGGCATCTCAGATGGTGGGAGCAGGAGCAAGAGAAAGAAGGTGCCACACACTTTTAAACAACCAGATCTCCAGAGAATTCACTCACTCTCTCGAGGAGAGCACCAAGGAAGATGGTGCTAAACCAGCAATCCCCAACCTTTTTGGCACCAGGGACCAGTTTCATGGAAGATAATTTTTCCACAGACTAGGAGGGAGGATGGTTTCAGGATGAGTATTACATTGATTGTACACTTTATTTCTACTATTATTACATTGTAATGTATAATGAAATAGTCATACAACTCACCACAGTGCAGAATCAGTGGGAGCCCTGGGCTTGTTTTCCTACAACTAGATGGTCCCATCTGGAGGTGATGGAGACAGTGACAGATCATCATGCATTAGATTCTCATAAGGAGCGCGCAGCCTAGATCCCTCGCAGGCACAGTTCACAACAGGGTTTACAGTCCTGTGGGAATCTAATGCCGCCACTGATCTGGCAGGAGGCAGAGCTCAGGTGGTAATGCTTCCTCGCCTGCCACTCACCTCCTGCTGTGCAGCTGGGTTCCTAACAGGCCACAGACCAGTACCTGTCCATGGCCCGGGGGTTGGGAGCCCTGTGCTAAGAGGAGGCTCAGGTTCATTCATGAAGGATCCGCCCCCGTGATCCAAACACCTCCCACCAGGCCCCACCTCCAGCACTGGGGACTACATTTCAACATGAGATTTGGGCAAGGATACACATTCAAACTGTATAACCGTCTCTACAAAAAATAAAGAAAATTAGCCAGGCATGGTGGCACGTGTCTGTGGTCCCAGGTACGGGGGAGGCTGAGATGGGAGGATTGCTTGAGCTCAAAAGTTCGAGGCTGCAGTGAGCTGTGATCTTGCCCCTGCACTTCAGCCAGGGCAACAGAATGAGACCCTGTCTCAAACAAAAGAAAAGAAAAAACAAATATAATAATGCAAGGAAATAACAGTTCAGCACATCACAGGATGCTAAAGATATGAGAGGTTCTGACGTACTGACTGTATTAGTGTTTGTTGGGGGTTTATGGACTGTGCATACAATGAGCAAGCTCATGGATGATGTGGGTGGTAAGTGGGCCTCTTTCTACCCTGACTGGCTGCCTCCCAGGTCACTACCCCATTACCCAATCACTTCAGAGCGGGAACGTCACGGGGAGGCCTGTGGGTGAACTTGGGTCCCCTTCCTGGGCAGGGGCTTTGAGGCAGCCTCTGAGGCAGGTGGGCTGAGGCCTGGGATGGGGATGGGGGCTTTGAAAAAGCCTGGAGAGGGGCAGGAGGGCTGCAGGAGGTCATGCCGTGGACCTGTGCTGCATGTGCCCTTTATAGCTGGCCCTTCTCCTTCCCACTCCCCTACCCACTGGCCCACGATTTCCCCTGCTGATCCTGGCTTTTTCTCAGCCAGCTAGAGGAGGGCAGGGGGCTGGCTGTGGCCTCTTGGTTCTCCTGTCGTCCCCACTCAGCCCAGCCCTTCTGCAGGGGCCTCTTCCCGACCTGGCATCCCCATAACAGCTCCCACCCCTGCCCCCTCCTTGGTCCGGGCTCCCCACTCCCAGCTCAGGCCAGGTCAGGAGGAAAACCTCGTTTCTCCCTCTCCCAAGGCCACTGACATGCAGCTGGGGTGGCTTCTGCCTGCCCTGCTTCACACCTGCTGTGCTGCAGCCTACTCAGAAGAGGCAGCGCCTCCCAGATCCCCACTCCCAGGGGAAGATGAGACTCTGCAGCAGAATAGAATGATGGGCCGTTAGGTCATGGACCAGCCTTCCCATTCTGCAGGTGAAGACCCTGAAGTCCGGGGAAGTGCAGGGCCTGTGTAAGAGGGCGAGATCAGAAAGAAGCCACGCAGTGTGAAACAGACTGGTAGCCACTGCTGCTGTTTGGGACTAAAACCAAGTTCTTCCCGATGCAGCCGCCGGTGATTCTGTCTTCACTCACACCTTCCCAGCCTTCTCGCTGTTCCACTGCAAGCCCATTCCCCTCTCTGAGCTGCAGCCTGGCTGTTACCCATGCGTCGCTCAGCACCTTGTCCCATTCTGGTGTGCGTTCCCCTGTCACCACTGTGGGGGCCCCCCCCCCCCACACACACACACACTTTTCTATCCCTCTGTTTTATTTTCCCCACAGCCCTTGTCCCCCCAGCATGAGTTTCCATCACTATTTGCTCATTTGAACACTGTCTACCTCTGCCTGGAAACTGAGTTCCAAGGGCAGGGACCTGGGGTGCTGTGGCCTCCAGACTTCCTGGGCACCTGCTGCAAGGGACTGGCCCAGAACAGCAGCCCTGGGGTCGTGGATGGATGGGTGACTCCGTCTGGCGCTTGACAATTTGGAAAGCACAGGAAGATGTCAGGGCATGCTGCTGAGGTTCTGGGGCCACAGTCAGTCCTGGATGGAAATCCCCACTCCCCATCCTTGCTGTGTGGCCTTGGGCAAGTAACTCGCCGTCTCTGCACCTCAGGCTTCTCATGTGTAGAAAAATGTAGTGACAGTACCTGTGCAATGGGCAATTGTGAGGCTTTGATAGGATGGCATCTGAGAAACTTCTAGCAAGCTGCCTGACCTGGAAAGTGTTCGACACTTACTCCTGGATGACCTTGGGAGGCGAAGGTTTGGCCAGCAAGCCAAGGGCCTGTGGTGCTTGCCAACTGGATTGTATGTTCTCGCCATCTCAAGTTCTTTTCGGAATGTGTTGAGGTATGAACGAATGAATTATTAAGCATTCTCTGTCTAGGAGACTAGGTTTTCTGTTCTTGTCAGGGGTTTTCAGTCTAAAACTGTTGTGGGGACACATCCCTTTCTTCATTTGCACCTGCTGGAAGTCAAGAGAGAATCCAACAAGAGACCCTTGTTCCCACTTTATGAACGAGGTGACTGAGGCTCAAGATGCTGATGTGGTTCTTGCCATCTCGGGGCTGGTCAGTGGGAATGACAGGAAAGGCCTGGACCCGTGATCTCTGCCACAGTCACTCTCCCCCAGCCCTGGCACAGGGAGGGTGTGCACTGCTTCTAGCAGTGTCTACAAAGAGCTTGTGCTCCCTGGGAAGATGAGGCCCTTCTGAGCTTGGGCCTGCACCACACTGGCTTCAGCAGGGACCTAGAGGAGGCCGGGGGCTGGGAGCACAGAGGAGCCCCCTGCACTATCCATTGGCCAGGTGGTAATGGCAGCAGGAGGTGAGGGCTGCTGGCCTGCGACAGGGTGGAGTCCCACCCCCACCTGTTGGGAAGCTGCCCCTCCCTCTCTGCTGTGACCTCTTCTGGTCTCAGCCACCCCTGCTTCCATCCATCCTGCCATGTGTCACGTGTGCATGCATTCCTGGGCCAGGAAGGGTGGAGGGGCAAGGATGCTCAGTTTCTGACCTCAGAAAGCTTCCAGCTACAGCCCTGTGGGTTCTTTTTCATGCAGAGGAGCCAGGAGAGGGCCATGTTGGAGGAGCTGTGAGCACAGCCTGCAGACCCCTGAGTCAAGACAGGCCGGGCTGGGAAAGGGACTCCTGGCCTGTGGAAGTGGGCTCTTGCTCCAGCTCAGAGATGCTGCTGAGATTCACCTCCTCCTGGAATCTTCCTCGTACCCTCCCCCACCCAACTTGGGCTAGGAGTTCCCTCCTCTGCCCGCAGAGCTCCGCATGCTTTGGGCACAGCATAGTCTGTAGGCACCGGTCCTTGACTTTGTGTCCTTGGATGAGTTACTTAATGGTGCTCGCCTGTTTTCCCATTATAAAATGGGGATAACAATAGACATACTGCCTTCAGTCACATTCCCCTGTTAGGGCACTAACGGTGTACCCCGCTAGCCTCGAGTGTCTGGCTCCGTGCCTGGCACATCGGAGGCCTCCCTGCCCTCTTTTCAGGTGACTGTTCTAGGAACAGGTGTGCCTTCCTGGCTACAGAGCGAGAGCTCAGAGCCCTGGGGAGCTCCAGCCCTGGCTCTGTGGTGCGGCTGGCCCCTGCTCTGCATCCTGCCCAAGTCTTTAAGGGGCTTGCCTGCCTCCCAGATCCTCATCCACGGTGCTGCTGCACCCCAGATGAAGGGGGCCCATGCTGGGTCACCAAGGGCAGGCCTTCTCCCTGCAGGGCAGTTATGGAGAGTCCACTAAGCTGGCCCGTAAGACTCAAGGCATGGAAGGGACTTAGAAACGGTTGTTCCGCTCTTTATCTTATGGAGGGAGAGGCTGGAAGCGGGAGTAGGGGGGTGATTTGCTCCAGGCCCTAGAGCCGGCCCCTGCAGAGGCAGCCCCGGGGCCCAGGCTCCTCCAGCCAGGGCTCACCCCGGACTCCCAGGGTGTTTCCAGCAGCATGTGGAGTCATTGACAGGAGAGGACAGCGTGAGTGTGAGGCTCACTCAGTGGAGATGTGGCCTTTGCTGCCCTGCCCTGGGTCTGACTTTGAGGAGCCTCCCGAGAGGCTGCACCGCCCAGGGCAGGGCTGGGAATTGACGATCACCTGAAGATTTGGGCTCTAACATGTGGACATGTCACTGGCCACCCTGGGTGGTGCTGTGCCTGCTCCAGTAAATGCCATCTTCTATTTTGAGCCTGTTTCCCAGGGAGGCCCCAGGAAGCAACACAGATGAGCACGTCTCCCCAGAATGGGGCTGGTGGACACGGATACAAGGAGGGCTTGATAAGCCACAGCTACACGCCGGGGTGGGAGTGCGGGGCCTTCCCCATGGGAAAGCAGCCAGCTGGCAGGGGGTGCTATAGGAGAGGACAGACCGGGTCCTGCGGGGTGGGAGGTGCTAGAGGACGGGACAGACCAAGTCCTGCAAGGATAGACCATGTCCTGTAGGGTAGCTACTGAGGTGGAAAGATCTCTGGGCAGCCGACCAGGCCCTACAAGGTCTGCAGAGTCAGCTTCCAGGGCCTGAGAGCTCACCTGGTCTTCCCCGCTCATCTCACTCATAAGGAAACAGAGGGGAAGAGCTTCCTGAGGCCACTCAGCCAGGGCAGGGGGCAGCAGAACATAGCAGCCTTCTCAGCTGGCAGAGGTTTCAAGAGCCTAAGTCTCAGCACACACAGCAGATGCGGTGCTGGGCATCTTCCACAGGACCAACAGCTGCATGGGATGAGGGACAGCAGGACGCTGAGGGAGAGGGTCCATCTGCTGGATGGGGACGGACCTGAGCCCAAATCCCAGTGCTCTAGTTCTTTTGCTGTGTGACTTTGGGAAAGCTTCCAAACCTCTCTGAAGCCCAGCCTCTTCACCCGTAGCTGGGATACTGGTTTTACCTCATAGGGTTGTTGCGAGGAACCAGTGAGATATTTTGGTGGTGCCTGGCATACAAATGGCAGCCGCTGTTATATCCTGAGTCCCCTTCTCTGAGGGAAAGGTGGCTGTTCTGCAGTCACCTCTCCCCTAACCCACCCTGCACCCTGGACTTCGCTACACGACTTTGAAAGGCATTGCTTACCCAACCCCAGGCCTGACAGCCACTTCGTCCTGGAAGGTAGGGAGCATTTGAGCCCAGAGCTGAAAAGATCGCCCAGGAATGCTCTTCCCTTGGCTCTTGGGTCCCTACACCTGTGTGATCACATCCCCAAAGCCCTCCTGGCTCCCAGAATGAGGGAAGAACTGAGCAAAGCCCAGAGCAAAGGGATCCACAGTTCCCCTGGCGGTGGGCTATTCTCAAGGGACTGGATGAAAAGACTGGGACTTTTCAGCCTCAAAAACTGAAGGTTGGGAGAAGATGCAGGCAAAACATCTTAGAAGGTGAATGAAAGATCACCTTTGCCAATACTTGGGTCCAGGGCCCCGGGGGCTACACTGTGCTGTCTTTCTCCTCCTTCTTTGGGTGTGGATAAGTGGTGCTTCTCTTCCCTGATCACCAGGGCCCTCTCGGTCCTTTCTGACCTTCCTCTTCCATGGAAGCTAAGCAATGGTGTTTTCAGGGCTCCATCCTGGGCTGCTCTCCCTCGATCCCCCAGGGTGACCCCAACCATGCCCCCAGATTTGCCATCTGTGCTTCCTCAACTCCACTGTCTGCATCTCCAGCCTGGATTGTCATCTTGTGCTTCATAGAGACACGCACATGGGCTCCTGGCCTGGACGTTCCCCAGGTATCTCACTCCCAAACCTTTGCTCTCCTTTTCGGTTCATCCCGGTGAATGGCAACACCATTCTTCTGGTCAACCAAACCAAATCTCAGACGTGTCTTCATTTTCTCTCTTTTCCTCTGCCACTGAGAGCTATGATTTCCCCCTTGCCAGCATTACCACCATGGAGCAAGCTCTCCTCACTCGTAGTCACTGGGACTACTGTGTCTTCCGCTCCAACCCGTCTCCTTAGCTGCAGCCAGAGTGAGCCTCCTGATATGTCATCCGATCCTCACCATGCCTGCCTCCTGCATGCATCTGTGCTCCCAAGGCCCTTTCTGTCCAGCCTGGCCTCCCCTTATTCCTTCCTCTCTGTCCCCACGCAAACCTGGGGGATTTTGACCCTCTGGAACTGTCTACCTGGAGCACCCTCTTTCCCTTAGCTGCTTGGTGAACTCTCCCCCATCCTTGAGCACTCAGCTCCAGTGCCTCTGACAGAAATATCTCATGCCTAGCAATGGAATTAGAAGCCTTTCCTGCTGTTCCAACCTGGTTGCCAGCTCCTGAGGCGTGTCTCCTCCACTGGTCTGTGAACAGCATGAGGGCAGGGACCATGCTGGGTCCCCTGTGCCTACCCCAGTGCCTGGCATGCAGTAGGAGCTCAATTATGTCTGCTGAGTGCTTGAATACGACTGAGAGGGGTTTGGATCACTGCAGTAGAGTGCTCAGGAATGTCATAAAGGGGCATGTTTCGGGCAGATTGTGGGACAGCATAGCCCGTGGGGAGGGAAAACCGCAGGACACGCCACCCCCAGGGGTGGGAGGGGTGGATGAAGAACCTCCTTAGTGTTTTAGATAAATTCATTAATGATAAGCCCACTATGGGCCGAAAAAGGACACTAGAGTGTTTCAGCCACACCCTGCACCCGAGGCTTACACAAAGGTACAAGCACGTTCACTGCCCCGGGTGGGCTCTGCGGCCTGCTCAAGTGCACGTGTCCATTACACGATTCAAAGCCCCCGGTGGAGTGTGGGTGACTTCACTTTGGGTCGGGGGTCCTTTCTCATAGCTGTGAAGTGCTTGGATCGGCTATTCGTGTTTCCCTCCTGTGGGCAGAGCTGATCTCACCCCCATTCCCCATGGGCAACCTGTGTGCAAATAGGCTACTTGGGTCCCGGCAGATTGTGAGAAACCTGCAGGCAGAGTGACACAGGGAGGTGTGTGTGGTCAGGAGGTCTTTAGCTCTAATTTGAGTGAGGTCAAAGTGGCCTTCCCATCACGGGCATGGCAGCGGTCACAACTCCACGCTGAAAAGCACAGGGCGCCACCAGCAAGGGGCTTGTCTTGCTTGGTTGGAAAGACTGCGTGGGGGCTAGAGAGGAATCAAATATAGTCCCCATATTCACTCCGGGCTGGGGACTTAGGCTGGGCTGGAGAGTGAGGCTTGGGGACAGGAGAGGGAAGGGAGGAGCAGAGCTGGGAGTTCCCATGAGCTGCTCTGCACACCACCCAGCTCTCGGGTTCCCCAGCAGAGACGCGGCGCTAGGCCAGAGCCTGGAGAAGGGAAGGGCTATGCGTACCCTTGCCCTGGGGGCTTGGAATAGAGACATATGAACTTTCCAGAGTTCAAGGATTTTATTAAGAAGTCGCCCAATGTGTTCATTCATTCATTAGAGAAAATCAAATGCCCGTAAGTACCAGGTCGTGTGCCTCATATCAGAGATATAAAGATAAACAAAAAACCAAAACCTTGGTCTCTGTCCTTCTGGGAGCTTAGATGGGGAAACAAAGGGAAACCCACATTTCTCCAATACATGGGTTTGCCAAGGCATTTTGGTCTTTTCATTTTTATTTATTTATTTAGAGATGGAGTCTCACTGTGTTGTCCAGGCTGGAGTGCAGTGGCGCCATCTCGGCTCATTCCAACTTCCACCTCCCGAGTTCAAGCAATTATCCTGCCTCAACCACCCAGTTAGCTGGGATTGTAAGTGTGCACCACCATGCCCAGCTAATTTTTGTAGTTTTAGTAGAGACAGGGTTTCACCATGTTGACCAGGCTGGTGTCGAACTCCCGACCTCGTGTGATCCGCCTGCCTTGGCCTCCCAAAGTGCTGGGACTGCAGGTATGAGCCACCGTGCGCAACAGCATTTTGGCCTTTTTAATCAAGTTTTTTGCAACGTCTTGGAGAAGGCCCTGGTGGCCTGAGCCCTACTTGCTGGTGGGGAAATGAGGCTGGGTGGCGTGGGGTGGAGCCAGTTTCACCCAGGCAATGCTCTCCCGAGCCCTGGGATGTTTACAGAAGTCACCCTCGAGCTTGACCCTACATCCAGAAAGACTGCATGGCGACATCTACCGCATTCTGCCTCTGTTCCCAGAAGCCTCAGGGTGCTTTCCTCTGCCATGTCCCCTGGGACCCTGGAAAGAAATGCCATTTCATCCCTGCGTTCTCAGACACGCACCCTGAGCCCACCACCATTGTTCAGCTGATGTCAGAGTTGCTGGAAAGAAGGGCTAAAAATAGCTCTGATTTCATGTGCTCTCAGGGGCTGGGTTGGCAGCTGGGCCCCCACCTTTTCCTTGTACAGAAGGCATCTCTGCTCTAGGGTATGTTGGGGGCAGGGTGTGTGCAGGGTGGAGGGGAGCATAGAAGTTTCTCGGAGCCAGCCAGGCTGTGGAAGGTTCTAGAGTCTGTTCTCATACTCAGAGCCTATGAACCAGAGGTCTGTGGCCCTGGTCGCGACTACATGGGTGCACTATTTCTGCAGGCCCTTTGAGCTGCCAGACCTTGCCTTTGAGTGGTCCTGAGGGAGTCTGAAAGTGGGATTTGTGTGTGGGTGTGGGGCACCCTGCCCTGCCGTGTGGTGAATGGCTGGAGTGGAGAGGATTTTCGAAAGGTCAGTGGGTCCAACCCTTGCCTTCTGTGTGCTGGGAGCATCTGACAGGCTTGTTTCTGTTTTCTTAAACCGTCCAGGGAGTGGCAGGAAACCTGTCTCGTTGTGGGTTCAGCCAGCTGTGCTGGTCACTAAGTTCTTTCTTGTGTTCAACTTAAATCTTTCCTGCTTGAATTTAGCTGCTGCCCTTGTCATCTACCTTTGGGAACATCTAGTTCATGTATTTGAAGCTAGGGTTACAGGCAGCTCTTGGTCGAAGGAGACCAGCTTCCATCAGAGTCATCAGAGCCAGGGCCAAACTCAGTTTAGTGCACTCTGATTGGATGTTACCGTGGTGGGCTGGGGGGCGCTGGGTATATGGATGCCCCTCCTGGAGGTTAAAATCTAGCTGGAGAGGCTTCTCTCTTCCTAAGGGACTGGGTGCAGGGTCGGGGGTAAGGAGAGCTCGGATATTGGAGGAGAGAGGCCTCCAGGGGTGGGAAACAGAGGCAAGCACCACATCCGGGCAGGGGGAGACTTCCGCCTGGCTTTAGCAGGGCCATTGAACTCCCTGATCCTCAAGGTGTCCTCATCTGTAAAATGGGGCTCGCAGATGATCTCATTCGTAGGGATGTGGACAGGAGTGAATGAGAAGGGGAGGGAATGAGAAAGAGAGCAGGAGAGCATAGTGCCCTGGCGTAAAAGCACTCCCTCTCGAGTCAACCACCTGGGTATGAACCCCTGGCATCCACAACCTCTTGCTTTGGTCTCTTCATCTGAGGACGATCGTAAGGCTTTCTGGAGGCTTAGATGAGTTGATAGATGCAGAGCACTTCCATTGTGCCTGGTACAGAAATGGTAGCTACGGGAGGACGAGCGAGGGGTGGAATTTCACCAGGTCAAGGAGCAGGCATGTGGCGGGGAGCTTGGCCCTACACAGGGATGGATCTCCAGGCAGAGGGGACAGCAGGAGCAGATACAGAGAGGGGCACCCTTAGGAAGGTCTGGGGATGGAGAGCCATGGATGTGGCTGGAGGGCAGGAGCAGGTGTGGGGAACAGGCGAGAAGGCAGGTCGGAGTCAACCATGGGAGACTGAAATCCAGGGTGCAGAGGCAATGGAGGCCACCCAGGTTAGTTAATGTAGCTTAGCCTCAGCTTCCTCATCTGTCAAATGGGACTGCTCATCATAGTAACTGCCTGTTTGCCTGGCAAAGGCTTACAGGCTGTACCCTGTCCTGTCTGTGACAACTCAGACAGTGATGCTCCTGAGATCTGCGAATGGTATGGAAGGGTGCCAAGGCCTTTTGCTCTGTCCTGCAGCCTGCTCCTGAGCTATGATCCCAGGAAGCAGCCACTAAGGCTCTGACCTGGGCAGAGTGAATGGCAGGCAGGTAGAAGAGCCCCAGATGGGTACGGTGCCTACCTGGGCCATGCAGCCTATGGTCCTGAAGCCTTCCTGGCCCCTCCTTTGAGCCATTTTCTCCTGCAGCCACTGCATGTGGCCACCTGGCCCTAGATCCTTGCAGCCCTGGGATGTGGTCAGACATGGAAAGGACAAACAAGGAGGCAACTGTTCCACCCTCAGAAGGATGCGTCAGGCAAGAATGCGATCTTGCAATGTCTCAAAAGCTTTGCTGTGGCTGCAAGTCAGGACTCCAAAATAAGCTAGGCATGGGATAAGGGAAGGGGTTGTAGCGTGAACAGGGCGGAGGGAAGGCAGGGGTGATTGGCAAGTTGGGGCATCAGTGAGCTCGCGAGTGCTTTGGCGGCAACTAGCTTAGCCCTGTTCTCAATAATGGGGGCAGCGTGGCGCTGAATTTGGAACACCTGGATCTGCTCACATAGTGCTTACTTCGTAATTTGAGGGCTCCTGCTGTCCTCTCTGAGGTGAGTCCAACAGCTGAATGTGAGTTTGGCTTTTTGCTCTGTGTGCCCGGTCTCTCTGCCTCCCTGTGGAGGCCACAGTGATGGCGAGTGACCGGGAGCAGGCAGTCCTGGGAGCAGGAAGTCCTGGGAGCAGGAGGGGAAGCACAGGCAAGAGACCTCGCCCACAGCAATCCAGGCTGGCTGTGGACTCAGGGCCGTGGCGGATGTGACTGTGTGTCCACACGTATCTGTATAGATGGAAGCTGAGCTGTGTGTTGCATGTATGGATATTTGGTAGTTTGCATGCGTGTGTGCTCTGTCAGACACAATGCACCTGTGTGGAGTGTGACCATGTGGGTGGATGTACTTTGTGTTGAGTACGCTGTGTGTAAAGTGTATGCATATTGTGAATGCCGTGTGTGTATGCAACTGTGTGTGGTATGTTCGAGTGTGTGTGTTCATGTGGGAGGTGTGTGTATGGGTGCGGTTGTGTGTATGTGTGAGATAGTGCACCTGCATCCTCCCAGGATAAGAGTAAAGATGGTTTGAGTAAAAATCCCTCAGAGGGGATAACTGTGTCATTATCAGCTTCAGAGAAAAGCTGTGCTCTGCCTTTAAGGTCGGCTTTCTGAGTCTTTTTGGAAAGAGCTTGAACAGTTCTTGGCCACAAAGGGGTCGGAGTGCAGCCCACAGGCCTGGCTGCTGGGGCAGAGGCAGCCGTGGAAGGGCCGTTGGGGTTCTATGTGCTGCTGTGACTTTGGGCCTGGGGCCTCCAGGGCTCCCTTTGTGAGCCCAAGGGTTGCATTTGACATGTTCTAAGGCCCTGCTGGTCGAGGGTGGGGGGTCTCAGCTCCCCAGCCTCCTCACAACCTCCACAGCACTCAGCACCCATGAGCCCCCAGGCCACGTAGCCACACAGACTGTAGGCTCTGAGGTCAGGAGGCTGGGGCTGAAGCCCAGCCCTACCACACAGTCCCTCAGCACATGCCCTGTGGGTCTTCCCAGGAGCAGGCCTCTGGTAGGGGCTGGGGACCCAGTGCAGGGCAAAATCAGGCTCAGAGACTGCCTGCGGGGCTGAAGGTCCTGCAGGAGTGGCCGAGCTTAACCTCAGCTCACACAGGTGCTTGGCAACAGCCCAGTGCATGGGGTCAGCAGACCCAGCTGGATGCCATCAGCCAGTTCCTTTGCCTCAGTTTCTCCATCTCCACAGGGCCCATGGTGCCCATCCTGGGGTCAGGGCAGAAGCAGGAGGCCTTGCAAGTGCTGAGTGCTCCTAAGCGGTATCACTTTATGTGGTTGTGGTTGTGACACCGTCCCCTCTGTTCCTGCCCCCAGGGAACCAACCTGCAGACAGTCAAGGGCTGAAGGGTTGCCTGGGGAGGGGGGCACAGGTGGAGGGTGTCGGTGGGAGGAGGCTGTGAACCCGGAGGAAGGACAGGAGAGAGGGTAGAAGGAGCCTGTTGGACAGGGCCTGGAGGGGTCTCCGTGTCATAAGGCAGTGGGAAAGGTGGCCTCCTCAGACTCCTCTCCACTGAGTCTCCTCCAGGAGTCATCGAGGAGCCCCCTCACCTCCTCCCTGGGTGTCTGAGAAGCCTGGCCCGGTGGCCGAGTCACTGTGGCTACAGGGACCAGAGCTATGTCCCTGCGTGACCCCAGCCTTGGCATCCTGTTCATAACCAAGCCTGGAGCTGATGGCAAGGAGCAGCTGAAGGGAAGGGGCTGCCCTTCTGATCGATATCTGGTGGAAAGAATCAGTGGGTCACAGCACCTACCACATATGGAACAAAGCAGTTTGCTGGTGATGGGCCCGCCGGCCTATTGCAAAGGGGATGTGTGTGACATCTCGGGGTACAGCTGGTTGTCGCGTACAGGTTGTTTGTGTCCTGAATATGTGACACTGCTGCTGGCCAAGGCAGCTCCTGGGATAGTGGGGAGAAGCCACTGGTGAGATCTTGGGAGCCCCAGGAGGAGGGTGGGACCTGTGTTGCGTGGCTTTGAACCAGCTCTGCTCCCGGACCAGCCGTCTGCAGGTGCCGACAAAGAGATCAAAAAGGGGTTTCCCCTGCGGAACTCAGCCTTCTGCTAGGGCTTGCTATGCCACTTGGGGGACACAGGTGAAAATCGGGGCCTACTATGGCCTCTGCCCAGCCAGTTTCCCATGGCTTCCTGGGGCTGCAGCCCTCCTGGTTTGGCACATGGGCTCTGGAGGGAATGCTGTAGGTTGTCCACAGTGACTACTGCGGGCCCTGAACCTGGAGCCCTGAAGGCATGAGCTATGTGGCATTCTCGAATGTTGACCAAGGAGGAAAGCTAAGTAACTTACAGTGAGAGTCCTGTGAGTGTGGTGCCCAGACCTGCTTTGTTCCTGCTCATGATGCCACCTCTCAGCTTAGGCACTTCCCTCCCTCCCCGTCTCTCCCTCTCCCTTCCTCCATTTCTTTCTTTCACTAATGTGGGTCCAGGGCACACCATGTGCCAGGCGCTCTGCTACATGAGGGGCCATGCCAGTGACCAGCACAGACATGGTCCTGCCCACTAGGCCCTCCCTGGAAAGGTGCACATTGCATTACACGTCGACGCAGGATTTCTCGCAAACACTCCAGGTGCTTCTCAGGTGCAGCCAGGATTGACACCCCTTGTGCTACGATGTGCACACTCAGGGGACACACCTGGGGGAGGGGGAGGCTGGCTGCTGTGGACCCCCGAAGCCCAGGGAGAAGCTGGAGATGCACAATGAAGAGCAGTTCTCCCAAGGACGCCTGACAACCTCCTAGGCAGCAGGGCCCAGCCCCTGGCCTTGGGAATGTCTTCTGAGGACAGCTCTGCATTGCTCACAGTGCCCAGGAGGCCTGAAGGTGGGCGAGGCCCCTGGTCTCTGGTCGAAAGCAGAGCTCTGCATTAGGGCAGGAATTTCAAGAACCCAGCGACTTAGGGGAAGCTTTACGAACCAGCCTGGAGTCTTAGGCCCCTTCTGCGTGACCACCACTCCCAGGTGGGATACAAGCGCTCATAGAATCAGGTTTCTGAATAAGCCGCTTGAGGGGTGAGAGCTAGAGATTGCTAAGGCCACTGGGTGCAGGTCAGGTGCCCAAGTAGGCAGTGAGGTCACCCCTCTCAGGAGCTGGCTTGTCCCCAGGGGCCTGGGTCTCTAGGATAGGACTGTGGGAGCAGCTGTCCCTTAAATCCTGGTGATCCCCACCCATTTGTTCCTCGAGCAGGTCAGCGTAGCCTTGGGAAGTCATCAGTAGAGTGTTCCTCTCAGTCACTGGTCCTTGGGGCCAGGCCCAAAGAGACATTCGTTAGGAGGGAGAGAAGCAGGAACTGTGGTGGGCGGGCCTGGATTCTTCTCTGCCAGGGCTCTTCCTGCCCTTCCTTCCTTCCTTCTTGCCTGGTTGGGCCGGTCAGCTGTTTACTGGGGAGCGGAAGTTCTGAAGCCCTCATACTTGCTTGTGCTGGGAGTGAAGTTTCCTTTGGGCCTTTCCATCCAGGGTTTGTGAGCTCATTCCTTCCAGAAGGCTGCAGAAGCAGGTCCTGGGAGAAGCAGGTCCTGGGAGAAGCAGGAAAAGGTCCTTGCAGATAGTGTTCGGGGACAGATGGATTTCTTGCGGCCCCACTGAAGCTTAAGCTTTAGGGCCCCTCACTTTTATGGGCCTCTAATGGGACCCTGTACTCAATTTTGAATAAGTAATTTTGTATTCTTTTTCTTTACATTTTTTAAAAATTTAAGATTCTTTTTTGGACAATTTTGTAAATTAACATTTACATAGAGTAAAATTGACTTGTATGTGTGTTTGTAGAGGTCTTTGAGTTTCAGTGCATACGCGGATTCACATAGTCACCACCATAATCAGCTCACAGGACAGTTCCACCACCCCAGAACACTCTCCCATGTGCCCACTTTTAAGCAAATCATGCCTTAATTTCACTCCCTGGGAACTACCAATCTGTTCTCCATCCCTCTGGCCTTGCAGAATATCATATAAGTGGAATCACACTGTATATAACTATCGAGACAGACTTCACTCCTTTAGGATAATGCCTTGGAGATTCATCCAGGTTGTTGTGTGTGTCAGTGGTTTGTTCCTTTTTATTCCTGAGTAGTATTCCACAGTATGGATTACCATAATTGTTTATATATTCACCTGCGGAAGGATAGTAGGCAAGTATGAAAAGAACTGCTGGGGGGAGGAGCCAAGATGGCCGAATAGGAACAGCTCCGCTCTACAGCTCCCAGCGTGAGCGATGCAGAAGACGGGGGATTTCTGCATTTCCATCTGAGGTACCGGGTTCATCTCACTAGGGAGTGCCAGACAGTGGGCGCAGGCCAGTGGGTGCGCGCACCGTGCGCGAGCCGAAGCAGGGCGAGGCATTGTCTCACCTGGGAAGCGCAAGGGGTCAGGGAGTTCCCTTTCCGAGTCAAAGAAAGGGGTGACAGACGCACCTGCAAAATCGGGTCACTCCCACCCGAATATTGCGCTTTTCAGACCGGCTTAAAAAACGGCGCATCACGAGACTATATCCCACACTTGGCTCGGAGGGTCCTACGCCCACGGAGTCTCGCTGATTGCTGGCACAGCAGTCTGAGATCAAACTGCAAGGCGGCAGCGAGGCTGGGGGAGGGGCGCCCGCCATTGCTCAGGCTTGCTTAGGTAAACAAAGCAGCCGGGAAGCTCGAACTGGGTGGAGCCCACCACAGCTCAAGGAGGCCTGCCTGCCTCTGTAGGCTCCACCTCTGGGGGCAGGGCACAGACAAACGAAAAGACAGCAGTAATCTCTGCAGACTTAAATGTCCCTGTCTGACAGCTTTGAAGAGAGCAGTGGTTCTCCCAGCACGCAGCTGGAGATCTGAGAACGGGCAGACTGCCTCCTCAAGTGGGTCCCTGACCCCTGACCCCCGAGCAGCCTAACTGGGAGGCACCCCCCAGCAGGGGCACACTGACACCTCACACGGCAGGGTATTCCAACAGACCTGCAGCTGAGGGTGCTGTCTGTTAGAAGGAAAACTAACAAACAGAAAGGACATCCACACCGAAAACCCATCTGTACATCACCATCATCAAAGACCAAAAGTAGATAAAACCACAAAGATGGGGAAAAAACAGAACAGAAAAACTGGAAACTCTAAAACGCAGAGCGCCTCTCCTCCTCCAAAGGAATGCAGTTCCTCACCAGCAACGGAACAAAGCTGGATGGAGAATGACTTTGACAAGCTGAGAGAAGAAGGCTTCAGACGATCAAATTACTCTGAGCTACGGGAGGACATTCAAACCAAAGGCAAAGAAGTTGAAAACTTTGAAAAAAATTTAGAAGTATGTATAACTAGAATAACCAATACAGAGAAGTGCTTAAAGGAGCTGATGGAGCTGAAAACCAAGGCTCGAGAACTACGTGAAGAATGCAGAAGCCTCAGGAGCCGATGCGATCAACTGGAAGAAAGGGTATCAGCGATGGAAGATGAAATGAATGAAATGAAGCGAGAAGGGAAGTTTAGAGAAAAAAGAATAAAAAGAAATGAGCAAAGCCTCCAAGAAATATGGGACTATGTGAAAAGACCAAATCTACGTCTGATTGGTGTACCTGAAAGTGATGCAGAGAATGGAACCAAGTTGGAAAACACTCTGCAGGATATTATCCAGGAGAACTTCCCCAATCTAGCAAGGCAGGCCAACGTTCAGATTCAGGAAATACAGAGAACGCCACAAAGATACTCCTCGAGAAGAGCAACTCCAAGACACATAATTGTCAGATTCACCAAAGTTGAAATGAAGGAAAAAATGTTAAGGGCAGCCAGAGAGAAAGGTCGGGTTACCCTCAAAGGGAAGCCCATCAGACTAACAGCGGATCTCTCGGCAGAAACCCTACAAACCAGAAGAGAGTGGGGGCCAATATTCAACATTCTTAAAGAAAAGAATTTTCAACCCAGAATTTCATATCCAGCCAAACTAAGCTTCATAAGTGAAGGAGAAATAAAATACTTTACAGACAAGCAAATGCTGAGAGATTTTGTCACCACCAGGCCTGCCCTAAAAGAGCTCCTGAAGGAAGCGCTAAACATGGAAAGGAACAACCGGTACCAGCCGCTGCAAAATCATGCCAAAATGTAAAGACCATCGAGACTAGGAAGAAACTGCATCAACTAACGAGCAAAATCACCAGCTAACATCATAATGACAGGATCAAATTCACACATAACAATATTAACTTTAAATGTAAATGGACTAAATTCTCCAATTAAAAGACACAGACTGGCAAGTTGGATAAAGAGTCAAGACCCATCAGTGTGCTGTATTCAGGAAACCCATCTCACGTGCAGAGACACACATAGGCTCAAAATAAAAGGATGGAGAAAGATCTACCAAGCAAATGGAAAACAAAAAAAGGCAGGGGTTGCAATCCTACTCTCTGATAAAACAGACTTTAAACCAACAAAGATCAAAAGAGACAAAGAAGGCCATTACATAATGGTAAAGGGATCAATTCAACAAGAGGAGCTAACTATCCTAAATATATATGCACCCAACACAGGAGCACCCAGATTCATAAAGCAAGTCCTGAGTGACCTACAAAGAGACTTAGACTCCCACACATTAATAATGGGAGAGTTTAACACCCCACTGTCAACATTAGACAGATCAACGAGACAGAAAGTCAACAAGGATACCCAGGAATTGAACTCAGCTCTGCACCAAGTGGACCTAATAGACATCTACAGAACTCTCCACCCCAAATCAACAGAATATACATTTTTTTCAGCACCACACCACACCTATTCCAAAATTGACCACATACTTGGAAGTAAAGCTCTCCTCAGCAAATGTAAAAGAACAGAAATTATAACAAACTATCTCTCAGACCACAGTGCAATCAAACTAGAACTCAGGATTAAGAATCTCACTCAAAGCCGCTCAACTACATGGAAACTGAACAACGTGCTCCTGAATGACTACTGGGTACATAACAAAATGAAGGCAGAAATAAAGATGTTCTTTGAAACCAATGAGAACAAAGACACAACATACCAGAATCTCTGGGATGCATTCAAAGCAGTGTGTAGAGGGAAATTTATAGCACTAAATGCCCACAAGAGAAAGCAGGAAAGATCCAAAATTGACACCCTAACATCACAATTAAAAGAACTAGAAAAGCAAGAGCAAACACATTCAAAAGCTAGCAGAAGGCAAGAAATAACTAAAATCACAGCAGAACTGAAGGAAATAGAGACACAAAAAACCCTTCAAAAAATCAATGAATCCAGGAGCTGGTTTTTTGAAAGGATCAACAAAATTGAATGACCGCTAGCAAGACTAATAAAGAAAAAAAGAGAGAAGAATCAAATAGACACAATAAAAAATGATAAAGGGGATATCACCACTGATCCCACAGAAATACAAACTACCATCAGAGAATACTACAAACACCTCTACGCAAATAAACTAGAAAATCTAGAAGAAATGGATAAATTCCTCGACACATACACTCTCCCAAGACTAAACCAGGAAGAAGTTGAATCTGTGAATAGACCAATAACAGGAGCTGAAATTGTGGCAATAATCAATAGTTTACCAACCAAAAAGAGTCCAGGACCAGATGGATTCACAGCCGAATTCTACCAGAGGTACAAGGAGGAACTGGTACCATTCCTTCTGAAACTATTCCAATCAATAGAAAAAGAGGGAATCCTCCCTAACTCATTTTATGAGGCCAGCGTCATTCTGATACCAAAGCCGGGCAGAGACACAACGAAAAAAGAGAATTTTAGACCAATATCCCTGATGAACATTGATGCAAAAATCCTCAATAAAATACTGGCAAACCTAATCCAGCAGCACATCAAAAAGCTTATCCACCATGATCAAGTGGGCTTCATCCCTGGGATGCAAGGCTGGTTCAATATACGCAAATCAATAAATGTAATCCAGCATATAAACAGAGCCAAAGACAAAAACCACATGATTATCTCAATAGATGCAGAAAAAGCCTTTGACAAAATTCAACAACCCTTCATGCTAAAAACTCTCAATAAATTAGGTATTGATGGGACGTATTTCAAAATAATAAGAGCTATCTATGACAAACTCACAGCCAATATCATACTGAATGGGCAAAAACTGGAAGCATTCCCTTTGAAAACTGGCGCAAGACAGGGATGCCCTCTCTCACCGCTCCTATTCAACATAGTGTTGGAAGTTCTGGCCAGGGCAATCAGGCAGGAGAAGGAAATAAAGGGTATTCAATTAGGAAAAGAGGAAGTCAAATTGTCCCTGTTTGCAGACGACATGATTGTTTATCTAGAAAACCCCATCGTCTCAGCCCAAAATCTCCTTAAGCTGATAAGCAACTTCAGCAAAGTCTCAGGATACAAAATCAATGTACAAAAATCACAAGCATTCTTATACACCAACAACAGACAAACAGAGAGCCAAATCATGAGTGAACTCCCATTCACAATTGCTTCAAAGAGAATAAAATACCTAGGAATCCAACTTACAAGGGATGTGAAGGACCTCTTCAAGGAGAACTACAAACCACTGCTCAAGGAAATAAAAGAGGATACAAACAAATGGAAGAACATTCCATGCTCATGGGTAGGAAGAATCAATATCGTGAAAATGGCCATACTGCCCAAGGTAATTTACAGATTCAATGCCATCCCCATCAAGCTACCAATGACTTTCTTCACAGAATTGGAAAAAACTACTTTGAAGTTCATATGGAACCAAAAAAGAGCCCGCATCGCCAAGTCAATCCTAAGCCAAAAGAACAAAGCTGGAGGCATCACACTACCTGACTTCAAACTATACTACAAGGCTACAGTCACCAAAACAGCATGGTACTGGTACCAAAACAGAGATATAGATCAATGGAACAGAATAGAGCCCTCAGAAATAACGCCGCTTACCTACAACTATCTGATCTTTGACAAACCTGAGAAAAACAAGCAATGGGGAAAGGATTCCCTATTTAATAAATGGTGCTAGGAAAACTGGCTAGCCATATGTAGAAAGCTGAAACTGGATCCCTTCCTTACACCTTATACAAAAATCAATTCAAGATGGATTAAAGATTTAAACGTTAGACCTAAAACCATAAAAACCCTAGAAGAAAACCTAGGCATTACCACTCAGGACATAGGCGTGGGCAAGGACTTCATGTCCAAAACACCAAAAGCAATGGCAACCAAAGCCAAAATTGACAAATGGGATCTAATTAAACTAAAGAGCTTCTGCACAGCAGAAGAAACTACCATCAGAGTGAACAGGCAACCTACAACATGGGAGAAAATTTTCGCAACCTACTCATCTGACAAAGGGCTAATATCCAGAATCTACAATGAACTCAAACAAATTTACAAGAAAAAAAGAAACAACCCCATCAAAAAGTGGGCGAGGGACATGAACAGACACTTCTCAAAAGAAGACATTTATGCAGCCAAAAAACACATGAAAAAATGCTCATCATCACTGGCCATCAGAGAAATGCAAATCAAAACCACTATGAGATATCATCTCACACCAGTTAGAATGGCAATCATTAAAAAGTCAGGAAATAGGAACACTTTTACACTGTTGGTGGGACTGTAAACTAGTTCAACCGTTGTGGAAGTCAGTGTGGGGATTCCTCAGGGATCTAGAACTAGAAATACCATTTGACCCAGGCATCCCATTACTGGGTATATACCCAAATGACTATAAATCATGCTGCTATAAAGACACATGCACACGTATGTTTATTGCGGCATTATTCACAATAGCAAAGACTTGGAACCAACCCAAATGTCCAACAATGATAGACTGGATTAAGAAAATGTGGCACATATACACCATGGAATACTATGCAGCCATAAAAAATGATGAGTTCATGTCCTTTGTAGGGACATGGATGAAATTGGAAATCATCATTCTCAGTAAACTATCGCCAGAACAAAAAACCAAACACCGCATATTCTCACTCATAGGTGGGAATTGAACAGTGAGATCACATGGACACATGAAGGGGAATATCACACTCTGGGGACTGTGGTGGGGTGGGGGGAGGGGGGAGGGATAGCATTGGGAGATATACCTAAGGCTAGATGACGAGTTAGTGGGTGCAGCGCACCGGCATGGCACATGTATACATATGTAACTAACCTGCACGATGTGCACATGTACCCTAAAATTTAAAGTATAATAAAAAAAAAAAAGAAAAAGAAAATAACTGCTAAAACATTTGTGCACACATTTTTGTGTGGACATAAGTCTTCATTTCTAGAATACCTAGAAAGGGAACTATGGGTCATATGTGGAGAGTATGTTTAACTTTATGAGAGACTGTCCACTGTTTTCCAGAGTGTCAGAAGCATTTGCATTCCCACTGCAATATATGAGCATTCTAGTTGCTCTGTATTCGTGACAGCACTTGATAGTGTCAGTGTTTTTATTTAGCCATTTTAACAGATATGAAGTACTATCTCATTGTGGGGTTTTTTTCACTGTGATTTTAATATACATTTCCCTATTTACTTGTAACGTTGAGCTCCCTTCTCCCCATGTTTATTTGCTATTGTGTATCCTCTTTGGTAAAATATCTGTTCAAATCTTGTGCCCATTTAAAAAATTGGATTGTTTTTTTCTAGTGAGCTTTAAGAGTTCTTTGTTTATTCTAGCTACAAGTTCTTTGTCTGATATGTGATTTGCAAATATTTTCTCCCAATCTGTAGCTTGTCTTTTCATTCTCTTAACAATGTCATTCACAGAGCAAAAGCTTTTAATTTTGATAAAGTTTATCTTTTTTGTTTTTTTTATGGATCATGCCTTTGCTGTCATTTAAGAACTCTTTGTCTGATACAAGGTACAGAACCACTCCTGCAGTTTCTTCTTAAAGTTTTATGGTTTTACACGTTAACCTATGATACATTTTAAGTTAGTTGTTGCATATGAATGACTTATTATTACTACATCATTTGTTGAAAAGACTATCAACATTGAATTGTCTTTATCCCTTTGTAAAAAACCAATTGGCCATAATTATATGGGTCTTCTTCCGGACTCTTCTGTTCTGCTGATCTATGTTTCTCTCTTGGCCAATGCTACACTGTGCTGTAGCTTTATAGTAAATCCTAAAATCGAGTAGTGTGAGTTCTTCAAATTTATTCACTTTTAGAATTGTTTTGACTATTCTAGTTTCATATAAATTTTAGAATTGGCTTGTCTGTATTTAAAAAAAAATTCCACTTGGGTTTTTATTGGAACTGTGTTACATCTGTAGATTAATTTGAGGGCAATTGTCATCTTACTATATTGCATCTTCCAATCCCTGAACATGGTATGTCTCTGTATCATTTAGGTTTTCTTTGATTTCTTTTATTAGCATCTTGCAGCTGTGGCATACAAATCCTGCATGTTTCAGTAGATTTGTCTCTAAGAATTTCATTTTCGGAGCTAATTTAAGTGGTATATATTTTTAATTTTTAAATTTTCAATTATTCATTAATCATTTATAGAAACGCAATTGACTTTTACAGGCTGACCCTGTATTGTGATACCTTGCTAAATTAACTAATTATTTATATGAGCTTCTTGCTTAGGATTGCTTAGGATTTTCAATCTAGACAATCATGTCATTTACAAATAGGGACAGTTTTACCTCTTCCTTTGCAATCTGCATATACTTTCTGTATTTATTTTTCTTGACTTACTGCACTGAACAGGACTTCTAGTATGATGTTGAATAGGAGTGGTGTGTGTAGACATCATAACCCTGTTCTTGATCTTAAGACAAAAGCATTCAGTCTTTTATCATTAAGGAAGATAACTGGGAGTTTCCATAAATGCCCTTTATCTACATAAGGTTAAGGAAGTTCCCTTCTATTTCTAGTTTGCTGAGAAAATTAATGGATGTTGAATTGTGTTACCTTTTACTTCTGTATCAATTGTTATGATGTGTGGTTATTAATGTCATAGATTACATTGATTGATTTTTGAATATTGGACCAGCCTTTCATTCCCAGGATAAACCCCAGTTGGTTCTGGTACATTGTTCTTTCCATATATTACTGGATTTAATTTGCTAATATTTTGTTGAAGATTTTTGCATCTATGTTTATGGGAGATGTTGTCTGTAGTTTTATTTGCTTGTACTGTGTTTGACTGGCTTTTGTATCAGAGTAATGCCGGCCTCATAAAATGAATAGGGAAGTGTTTCTTCCTTTTTTATTTTCTGGAAAAGATTGTGTACAGTTGGTGCAATTTCTACTCTGTTTGGTAGAATTTACCATTTTCCTTAAAGAAGGGTTCTCTAAGCCTCAGACCCCACAAAACATGAGCTTACCCCTGTTTGGGGCTTTGAAGGTGGTTTGTTATCCACAATCAGAGATTTCAGTGCTGTTTCTGACAGTGTCATAAGAAGCAGCTGGAGACTGTGGGCCCAGATAGGTGAATGTTTAGCCCCCTGCCCCTTGTAGAAATCACTTATTTTCTACCCCAGCCAGTCTTGGGCAGAGCCATAGCCAACCTCAGAGGGGCAACATAGTTTGGACGAGACCTTCTCTGATTTTCCTGAACCATGACTGACGGTGTGGCTTCAGGGAAGTCACTTAGTCTTTCTGAGCCTCAGACGAGCCAGCAGGAAAAAGAAGATGACAACCGTGTCTCCCTCAGAAAGCTGTGCTCAGAGGACTAGATACTTCTGCTGGAGGGAACAGGAGCTTTAAACAATTCCATGGCTTACAAAGTAAGGAAAGGAGATAGAACTAGAAAGATATAAGCAGAGTGGGCTGGAGGGAACACAGGAACAGGGCACCTCAGGGAGCAGTAATGGCTGCCATCTGCATGGTGACTTCTAACCTCCTGTCTGTGCTCACAGGCATGGTCTTATTTAAGGCCCCTGTGACCCTCTGAGGGGGCACTATGGTATGCATTCATTCGTCCATCATGTCCTGGGTTCTACTCTGGTCTAGGCATTTTATACATGAGGAAACTAAGGCTCAGAGAAGTTAGGAAATGTCCCTCAAGGTAACACAGCCAGGTGGCAGAGCTGGAAGGGAGCCCAGGTGTTTTGGGCAAACTCCTTTCTTCCCCACTGTCAGGCAAGTTGGACTGAGTTCAGAAGTAAGGAGACACATGGTCTACCTCTGGGAGGTGCGTGGGCAGGAGCAGTCAACAGCACTGGCCCCAAAGCCAGACTGCCTGGGCTTGAAGCCCTGCTCAGCTACTTAGCTGGGAAGAGCAAGGCGAATGTTTTAACCTCAGTGCTTCAGTTTGCTGTCTGTAAAATGAATATTGGTAGGTAATACTGCACCTGTAAAATGAATAATTAGTAGGTAATATTGCAGCTACCTCATAGGGGTGTTGTGAGGATTAAATGAGGTAATATGTGCCAAATGCCCATAATAGAGCCTGGCACAAGTGAATGTCACACAAACATGAGGCATTATTGTTTATAAAGATGCTAGGCCATCCTTTGTGCTCTGTGAGGTCACTCACCTGAAGAAAGACAAAGTTATAAGATGTTGACAGAGGCTTGGAGATCCCTCCTGCCTGCCCCTCCTGTGATGGGAATAGCGGGGCCCAGCCATGGGAGGTGACTTGCTCAAGACTGGCCATTCCCGCAGACCATAGACCAGGCCCAGCTTTCTTGAGACTGTGCTCCATGAGGACACGTGGCGTTGCTGCTTTCACCCCCGTGTATTTCATGATCCGAGGCTCTTAGGGCAGATATGGCGTGACAGGAGGTGACACCGACTTTGGGAGCAAGTCCGGGAGAAGAGTTGGTGTCTTCTCTCCCAAGAGATACCTTCCTGGAGAACGGTGCGGTAAGCTTTCTGGAACCCGCCTGGAAGGTGGAGAAGGAGGGGGCTTGGAGGAATGGCAGCCAATCCTGAGTCTCCTGCCTTGGTTCCCCCCTCGGAGCGCACCTCTGGGCTTGCACTCCGCGCCCTGGCAGAAGAGGGCGCGGGCCTGTGGGATGAGATCACTTGCCTGGAGCGGCGTTTCCGCGACGCTTAGGGTCTGGCGCCACCGTGTGGCCGCGGGTCGAGGCCGCTTCTGCAGAGGGGATGGGAGACTCTGCAGGAGGCGGCTGGCAGCGCAGCCTCAGAGGTCACCCAGGAGCTCCGGATTTTACACACAGGAAACTGAGATCCCGAGGGAGAGCAGCGCTGGCCCAGGGGTTTAGGGGGGACATGGCTTATGCCTTCCTCCCACCCCACCCATCTGCCTCGTTGTTTCTTGGCAGCTCCTTAGATCTTGAGGGAGACAGACACCAGGTAAAGCTAGGAGGAGGAAGAATCCTAGAGCCTCGAGGACAGCAGCAGCCGCGTGATCGCAGGAGCTGCCAGGATCCTCCTGCATGAGAGGCAAGGGCTTTGCACGTGTTGTGGTGGACAAGCAAGGTCATGGGGTCAGGCCTGGATTCTGGTCCCGTCCGGGCCCCACAGCACTGAGTGACTGAGGCGGCAGTGGCTTGCGTTCTGGCACCTGGGCCCTCCACTATAAAGTGGGGGTTGGACTAGACCTCCAGGGTCCAGACCTAATTATATTGCAAACCAGTACCCCTCGGTTGTGTACTGTGGACCCAAGGACTTAAGAGTAGCAGAGGAGGGACCGAGCCGGGAGCAGTTGGAAAGGATGAGCATTTGCATTGAGGCTTGGCTGTCAGGAACTCCTGGGCAGGGCTGTGATCAGTCCCTACTACAGTCCCAGAGGTGCCTGTGCGGGTGACCCAGGAGGCACCATGCTGTCCAAACGGTTTTGCCTGGACTCTAGTGCCCTCTAGGCCCCAACGTCTGCTTGCTAATTGGCTCAGGGAGGAGTGGCACCCTCTTTGCCTACATCCACCCTGGCTCTTCCCACACCCTGGGGTGCTCACACCCAGGAGAGCATCAAGATTGGCTCCTCCTGGCAGGCATCCCAGTTGAATTGGTGTATTCTGGGCTTGTTGTTTTCCTTTGCCCCGGCCTTGGTGGGCAGAGGGGCCTGTGGCTTTGGGAGAATGTGGCGTGGAAGGGTAGAACTGGTGCTCCCTTTGCCTGGTAGGGCAAACCTGGGTGAACCTGAGCACTGGCATTACTGACCTGGGACCCAGATGGATAGGGTTAGTGCTGCCATATAACCGTTCCTCCAGCTGCTGGGCCACCTGTGAGGCTGGAAGAAGCAGAGTCTGTAGTCTGAGTACCCCTGAGACCATTAGGTTTGCGGTCTGGGGCCTGGAGTGATCTGTGGCTCATGGCTTGTGTGCTGCAGGTGCCACCTGTTGAGAGAGCCGGGTTTGGGTCACAGGGGGCAGCTCTGATCTGGGAGACACACGGCACTGAGGCTCCACTCAGCACACAGCTCTCCTAGACATGGGTGCCAAAGATCTGGGCACGCAGCCCTGCCTCGGTGCTTCAGCTGGAGCATTCATGTCCCCTGATGCCCTGCCTCCCCGCACTGCCATCACGGTTGATCAGCCTGGCCCTTCTATCACCCTCCATCAGGGGCTCACCCTCAGCCCCTCCCAAACTACCGATGATGACATCTGCTTCCAGGAACCTCGCTGCACACATTTCTTGCTGCCATCATCTCTTCCAGGCAGTCCTCTCCTCAGACCCCCAAGTTTGACACTGCTCCCTTCACCTTTGCTTTCCCCTTCAGCTCCCTCCTACTTCTGTGTCTCTCCGTGTGTGTCTGTCTCACTGTCTATCTCTATGTCTCTGCCTCTATCTCTCTGGGTCTCTCCCTCCCCCTCTCTTAGTGACTGTGAGCTCTGAGACTAGGTGCAACCTCCCCCTTCCTCTTCCTGAGCCTCTTCCCTGGTTCCTTGATTTTGTGAACTCACGGGCAGGGGCCCAGAGCAAGGCAACACCTAGTGGAAATGCCACAGTCAGCAGGTGGCAGAACCTTGAACAGAACCAGAATTTGGTGGTTTATTTCATGCTAGAGCCTCAGTTTCCCCATGTGTTGAATGGTGATAACCAGACCTGACCCGCAAGGTGGGCCAGGGACCCCAAGAGACTGTATACCTGGAAGGACCTGGCCTGGGGGGCCTGGTGCCCCAACCTTCCTCCCATATCCCTCCCTGATGGGGCCATCATTGCAATGCCAGCCTCACTCTGGTTGTCAGTAAGATTGCATCTCTGCTCACCACAGGGGGTGGGTCTGGAGAGAAATGAGGCATCCATTGCAGCTTCCCTGGCTGGGTGCCTTCAGGATCCAGGCCCCCAAAGGGCCTTAGGAATCTAGAGAGAAGCCGGGCACCCCTCATCAGTTGGTGAGCGGGGCTTACTGCACCTGGCATGTGTGTTTGAGGTCACCCTTGTGGCTTAGTAGCGGCGTGAAGAATGGGTTGTTCTGGGGTAAGAGTAGACAGTGGAGGACCAGTGAGGAGACTCCAGCATCCCTCCAGGCAAAAGGGGCAGTGGCTGGGAGCCAGCTGGTGTTGTGGCAGTGACAGAACAGACCATCCGGCAGCCCTGAGTGTGTTCTTGGTAATACCTGAGGCCAGCTGGGCCTGGATAGGGTGTCAGCCATGCACTGAATCTTTAGGAGTCAGGCTCAGCATTTCAAAGGGCACAGTAGTGGGTCCTAGAATGTCCATCCCACAGGACAGTCAAGGACAGGCATGTGGTTCTCTCCCACTGCCGCTGGCACCCAGTTTACGGTTCCTGTTTTTGATCCTGACTGGGCCCACAGAGCTGTGCACTGTGGCCCTTGCTTCTGGGTGAGCCCTGTCCACAACCTCTACCCTGGCCCAGACTTGGAGCCTGTTGGCTGAGTTTGGATGGTGCCTTAAGTCCTTCTCTTGCCTTGGAGACACAGTTCCAGAGAGTTCCGGTGAAATTGAGGCTGGGGTTATTATATGACCTGGGGAGATGCCGACTGTGCATATCATCTCACTAATCTTCCCATGCACCCTGCGATGCTCTCATTCTGTCCCCATATGAAAGATGAGTGACAAGGACACAGAGCTGGAATAACTAGTTCAAGATCCCCCACTTAGCAAGTGATGAGTCAGGCCTGCTTGACCTGTGAACCTTGCTCTTCCCCCTACCTGCTTCCTTGGCCCCTCAGCCCTCCCACACAGAGCCCGGGAGTGGTCCTGAGAGGGCGGGCAGCGGATCTGCTCCTGTGTCCTGGGCCCTGCTGGGACGGAGACTCCATGGCAGGCCCTGGGTCCCCCTGATGTCCAGGGAGGGTGTCCAGTGGCCTGGATGTGATCCCTACTTGTTCCACTATCCGGCGACAGGAGCCTGTGCAGTGGGGGTGACCTTTCTGAGCCCACGCTGTTTCCTGTCTGTATCATGTGAGAACCATACCCTCCTACTTACCACCTGGGCATGGCCAGCCAGCGAATGGCACGTAGTAGGAGCTTCAGAAATGTTCACCCGCTTCCCTTCCTTTCCTCCTCCAGAACAACAGAGGTGATAACCTTGCTGGATTGTTTCCCCCCGGGGTCCTGAACCTGAAAGCCCACCCCTGTCCCGGAGCTCACCTGAGATGCCTACCTGCAGGCCCTGGCAGGGCATCTGGCCCCACAGTCTCATCTTCCAGATGAGCAAATGGGAGACCAGGAGGAGGAAGACCTGCCTAGGGGTCCACGAGGGGTCAAATCCTTTCCTGACCTGCCCCGCCCCTCCCCCATGCCTCAGCATCATGTCCTTTTGCCGGGAGCCCCCCAGAGCCCCGTCCAAGCCTCTGGGAACTTCAGAGCATAGGGAGTTGGGGGGATGCTGAGTCTCTTGGTTTTAGGGGGATGGCAAGGGTCCTCTGGAGCCCCTGCACCCACCCATGCTCTCTGTGTTCTCCCCATCTCTCTGGGCAGGTATATCCGCACCATGTACCTGGGGATTCAGAGCCAGCGGCGGAAGGAACACCAGCGACGCTTCTACTGGGCTATGATGTATGAATATGCAGACGTCAACATGCTGCGCCTCCTGGAGACCTTCCTGGAGAGCGCGCCCCAACTGGTGCTACAGCTCTACATCATGCTCCAGAAGAACAGCGCCGAGACCCTGCCCTGTGAGTGCCCGCCGGCCGCGCCCCGCCACCCCGGCCTGCCCTCCACCTGGGGACCACGGCCGCCTCCCACACACTTCGTGCCTGGCACGCTCTGTGGGCATTGCCCATCCTGCCCTGAGTCCCCAGGACGCCCGGCCCCCAGTGCAGTGCTGACGGGGCCCACACCACACTCAAGAGCTGCACAGGCATGTTCTGAATGTATGTGGGCTGGCTTGGCACCTCCAGGCCACTTCGTCCATGTGAGCAGAGCAGAGCCAGCCGGGTAGAGGGCTCTGGGTCTCCCCATCAGGGGCAGTGGCCCCTGTCCTTGGGTGCTGACCTGAGCCAGGCATTTGCACATCTATGGGAGGGGAAGCCACAGACCAGAGATAGCGTGGGACCACAAGGGGCCGTCATATTGGGCAGCACTAATGGTTTCAGACCCTTTAAACTGTGGTGCTCTTGCTTCAAACCAAGCTCATGTGTAAGCCCCATTTGTAAAGCAGCTTAAGTAGCTCTGTTCAAGTTCCAGCAGGGGAGAGGGCCCAGGAGGAGGAGGGGCTGGAAGCAACAACACATGGGGTGACATTTGAAGGGATGTCATGGGCAAGAAGGATCATCCCAAAGTGTAGAAGTTGCAGGGAGATGCTTATCCATTCAACAAGTGAGAGACAGTCCATGGAGCCATGCATGAACTGTCTTGGGAGGTACGGAGTTTATCATCAACTGGAGTATTCAAGGCAAGAAGTTGCTGAAGAGACTCAGCCCAGAAGTTCCTGACTGCAGAGCGCTCAGTGAGCGTGTGTAATCTGGGTAGCCAGGCAGCCATGAGGAGGGGTCTGCCGTCCATACCCCAGCTCTCCCTGGCCAGCAGTACCTCCTGGTCTCTTGTATTCTCACCTCCAGACCCCGCAGGTCCTCTTGGTGCCCCAGGAGGCCCTCCGTGTCACCACGTTCATGGACACCCACACGGACCTCCTCACCAATGTGGTCTGGCAAGAACAGCCACGCTGCCCCAGGCCTTTCTCTAAACAGATGTGCCTCCTTACTTTTTCCAAGCTGGCCCTCTGTAGGCTCCAATCCCCCTAGGTACTTAGGCAAAAAGGGGATTTAATCTTCAAAAGCCAGTGGAAGACTGAGCTGTTCAGGCTAGTAGCTTGCTGGTGGCATTCAAAGCCTGGGGACCTGGTTATGAACCCAGATGTGCTGCTGACAGGCTCGCCTGTCCTATACAAACTCGGCTCAGGTGAAGCCTCATGTCCCATCTACTGAACCAGAACAGCCCTCAATGGAGGCTGTCTGGTAGAAAAAGGGGCCCCAGGGTATCTGTCCATCCCACAAAATGCTGGCTGCAGTCCTGCTGGTCCATCACAGAAGCAAGGAAAAGGGGCCGTGTGACCCTTGGAATGGACACAGGGAAAGCCAGGCCTGAGACCCACACTGAGCTGAGGGACCAGTTCCGCCCTTTGACAAGGCTTCAGGAAGCATAAGCTGCATGCTCAAGGCAGCCACAACCTCTGTTTTCTGGGCACCCACAGAAGCAGGAGGGGTATGGGGATCTTCAGCAGGTGCTGCCAGTGGGGTGACACCAGCCAACATCTGCCCTTGGGCATCTGCAGTCCTCACTGTCAGGAAGAGGCCCCAGGTGGCCCAGGGGCTCCAGCTTCTTGGAGTGACAGCCCAGCTGGTGCCTACAGGATGAGCAACCGTGGCCTAGAGAGGAGAGCTGGAAGGAGCCAACTTGATGTCCGGCTCCAGCTGGGACATGCAGAAGCTAAGCAGGAGGCCTCGAGGAGGATGGCAGGGCTGACCACTCATCTGATCCCTCCCTTCTTTCTTGGACACACCCACATGCACACATACTCTCTCCTGGGCACTGAGAAGAGCTTGGGAACACAGGGAAACCTTGGTGATGCTCCATCTTCAGGATGCCTGAGGACCCAGGCTGTATGCTTGGCAACGAACTGGTGTGATTGGCTGCCCACAGCTGCGGCCATGGGAGTCCCTGCCTCACAGGATCGCTGAGAAAACACATGGTGTGAGCATGGACAACATGCAGCAGTTTGAACAACATCATTTGTTCTCAGTGCCAGGAGACTCACATGATGATTGATTCTGGAGCAAGACCAGCATCATAGGGATGTCTTTGAAATGCGCATTCTTGCTCTAGAAACCTACCCATAAAGGAGCTCTGTGGAAGTGAGCACTGAGCCTGGGTAGCAGCTCCTGGTGCCAGGATGTGCTGCCGACTGGCAGGGCAATGTCCGGTTCCCTGGTGAGGCCTCCATATCCAACCTGCCCTCAGATCCCAGGGCTACTGCCCCACAGCCCAGGGCAACAGTGCTCTCATGGGCAGATTTGCTGGCACTGGAGAGGGACACCTTTCTCTCCCATCTGAGTCCTTCTTTTTCTCAAAATGAACTCAGCTGCTGTCTGAGACTTCAGCTTAGCCCATTTGTGCTACTATAACAAAATGCCTGAGAGTGAATAATTTATAAAGAGCAGAGATTTATTTTCTCCCAGTTCTGGAGGCTGGGAAGTCCAAGATCAAGGTGCCTGCAGGTTCAGCTGCCTAATGAGGGCTGCATCCCCTGGAAGGGAAGAACACTGTGTTCTTACATGGCAGAGGGCAGAAGGACAAGCTAGCTGCATGCTGTATGAAGCCTCTTTTGTAAGGCCCTCAATCCCATTCGCTAGAGAGGAGTCCTTATGGCCTGATCACCTCTCAAAGGTCCCACCTCGTAATCCTATCACACTGGCAACATCTGAACTTTGGAGGGGACACCTTCAAACCATAGCAGACTCTGTTTATTTAAACTGCCTTTTGCTGTTTCAATTTCAAATCTTCCCCACTCTGTACCACCAGGGCTGCCAAGTTATGCCTCCTCTCATCTTTTCCTCTTCCAACCTTTGGCCAGATCTTGACACCCCAAACAGATAGGGCAGGTAGCAGGGTGGTAGACAGATGGGCTCCTGATGGGGCATTTGAAATCCAAGGACCTGGTCACCACTTATACCCTCTTGTGATTTTGGACCTTCATCTTTTCACAATCCCGTTTTCTCTTTGGTATACTGGAAGAAAGAAGAATAATACCTAATTTTCAGTGGGGATGCAATGATATAATGCACAAGAGAGCACTTTGTAAACTTTCAAACTCCACGGGCACATAAGGGGCTGTGTTTATCATTTCCAGGGCCAGGTGGAGTCATCCTTTTATAGGGCTCTGACGGTCACCTCCCCATCCTCATGGTACCACCCGCCATGGGCCAGACCTGCTGGGGATGGGTTTGCAAAGACGCCTATCCTTCAGGAGTTTATGGGCTGGCATGGGCCAGGTCCTAGGGAGATTTCTCTCCCTTTCTGGCCCTCTGGATCATCTGTGTCCCAGCCTCCTTGTTATGCCTGTCCTTTCTATGATAGTTTCTCAGATTATAAACAGAAAGGGCTGGGCACCAAATCTCTGGAGAGAAAAGCCAGTGGGGATTCCCAAGGGGCAATGGATGTTGCTTCCTAAATGTCCTCTCATGTGGGAGCCCACTGGGGCCAGGGTCTGTGCAAGGACAGGGGCCACTTGGGCATGCTGCCAAGAGCAGACCCCTTGGAAAAGGAGCTGGGAGTGACCCAGTGTCATGCTGCTCTTGGGCCTTCACCCCAGGGAAGCCCCTCCTGTGTCCTCCTCCCTGCAATCCCCTGTTTTTGTGCTAGAAACTGGGAGGTCTGGTGAGCATTTCCCCAGGTTTGTTTGGGATGTGGAATGGGTGTTTCTCAATACAGCCTTTTGTGGTTAAATATATTTGGGACCTGTTGGACTAAACAAAGGCCAGTGGCCATCCTTGTCATTGGATTGTGGATCTCTAAGCCAAGAATGAGGCTATAGCATCAGCTGGGTTTACGGGAAGGAAGGACACTAGCCATCACTGAGCACGGGCTGCCTGTAAGGGGCTTGGCATTTCTCTCTTACTTAACTTCTAGAGTCGTGTCCTCATCACGAGACAATTTTGTTATGCCAGTAGATGCCATTCCAATCTTTTTAAGCTGCAGGAAATGTACAAGCCTTAAAGAAAATCAGTTTAGTCATCAGAAATTGGAAGAGGGCAGAGAAAATGTGTGGACTTGGAACAGACCTGTTGGTGGCATGGCCTCTCCCAGTCACATGGGTGCCTGGAGGGTCGCAGCGTAGAAAGCTGGGGTGACTCCCACCTGTTACTTGACAGTTGTTTGACATTAGGCAAGTTACTGAGCATGTCTGTTCCTCATTTTTCTCATTTCTAAAATGGGGATAATGCTAGTACCTATCATAGAGAGTTGTTATGAGCATGAAACATCATGACAAATGTGAAGTGCCTTGTAAGATATCTGGCTGTTTTCTTGGTGGTTGTAGTGGTTCTTTTATTGTAGATGGACCTTCTGAATTCGCCTTCAGGCTTTACTGGTGAGACCTGTGGCTCACCGACCTTGCTTTGGTGGGCTTTACAATGACTCTTGTCCACTGTATACCATTAGGGCTAGTAGATGCTTGGAAAGATCACTATGACTACCACTTTAATAGGTGAGTTTTGCATGGATTTGCCAATGCCAGTCTCTCCCTCCCTTGCCATCTCTCCACCCTCTGTTTCTCTCTAATCACTGGGCTAAGAGAACAATATTCAGCCTGCAAGACACACTTATAATCCAATTTCCCTATAAATACAGACTCAAGGGAAATAATAGTAATATATCATACAATTATTATGCTGGAGTCATTTGGACATTTCTGCAGGGTCTTCCTTAAGCCTGATGTCTTGAAAGTTTAAGTAAACAGAAGAACAAATAAATGACGGGAGCACATAATTCTGACATGTCACATTTATGCCGGTGGTGAGTCTTGTGTCTGCTAAGGCTCCGCTCCTGTTCTGGGTTGTGAAAGGGTTGGAAAAGCAGTCCAGTGCAGTAGGAAAAGTCAGACAGGGCTGCATGCAGATTCCAGCTCTGCCATGTATTGACCTTATGGCACCAGGCAAGTTACTTTCCTAAGTTTCCTCATCTGTAAATTAGGAATAACAAGTACTTTTTGGGTTGTTGCAAAGGTCTAATGAGCTCCACATGCACCTCCACAGTGCATCACCTGGCATATTCTGGGTACATGATACTCTCTGCCACTCAACAAAGATGTGTTACCCAGGAGCCATGCTATGTGTGGAGGAACAATGGGGAGCATAACAGGCATAATCCATGCTGTCATGAATTTCCCATTCTGTCTGGGGACACAGCACAAAAACAATTAGACAACGCGTGATGGTTAGAGTATTGAAGCAGACAACTGGTTGGGGTTGGAGAAAGCCCACTTTAGGCAGGGGGTCAGGAAAAGCCCCTCCAGAGAGCTGCCAGTTAAGCTGAGTACAAATGATGAGCAGGAACCAACTTGGGAAGAAAAGAGACAGCCTTCTGGGCAATGGGAGTAGCTTGCACAAAGGCCCTGAGGGAAGGAAAGCCTGACTTGTTCCAAAAAGTGAAAGGACCCAGCATGACTGGAGCTTGGCAGTTGGGGTGAGAGAGGATGGAGAGAAAGGCAGGGCCCCAATTGGGAAAAGCATAGGGGACCCCAGGAGCTTGGATTTATTCCAAGGGCAGTGGGAGGGGCTGCAGAGGAAAAGCACACCGCCAGGCTTGCTTTTGAAGAAGGTCCCTTTTCTTTCACACAGGGAGGGAAGCAAGGGCTGAGCTAGGAGCACCTGTTGGAGGCTGTGGTGGGCCAGGTGTGAGGTTATGGGATGGAGAGTCTTTGGGGAAGGATGCAATGGACAGATTTGAGGTCTGTTCTGGAGCATGAGCCAACAGGATGCAATAGGGCTACTGGGGGTGGTAATAGAAAGAGAGGTGGTGGTTTCTCACTGGGTGTGTTGGGAGGAAGATCTTTGGGGAAGCAGGGATTGGGGGATGGATGAAGAGTGATGGCTCTGTCCTCCTTCCTCCTTTGGGGATTCTCCGATGGTTCTGCACAAACATAGGTGCCATGCACAACGCCTCAAGCTTGGAAGTGGTAGAGCTGGGATCTCTACCTGGAGAGTCCTTCTCTAAAACCTGTGCCCATAAGCAAGGACGGCTGTGGCTGAGTCTGGAGGAGACAGATAAATCTGTGCGGATTCTGCAGAAACCAGCCACTGCTGACGGGATGGAGTGGAGGGTGGCTTGTGCCATGGCCAAGCTGGGCATGGATGTGGACTGTCAAGTCCAGTACACACATGTGTGCATGCCCCAGATGCCATCACACTGACATGGTCAGAAAGCGATGTTTCTGCCTCTTGTCCCCAAAGTCTCTGCCCAGAACTTGGCTTTTTGCAAATGTCCTGAGTCTTCCAGAGCCTCTTAGGTGAGCCTCTTCCAAGCACTCAGGGGGAAGCCTCACTGTCTTACTAGGAAGCTAAGCTTGGCCTGGCCAGGAGGCAAGGGGATGGGTCTAGGACAAGGACCCTCCAGCTCCCCAGGACCCTGATAGTGAGAAACACACATATGGGCTCACCGCCCTTTGCCTAGCCTTTCCTTGGAGATCATTTCTATCCTGACCCAGAGGTCAAAAAAGCTTATCCAGAGAAAGACTTTAGGGCAGGATGGGTGGCTCTGGAGGAGATGGATGTGGGATGATACTATTATCATTTTGGCCCCAAAACCTTGGAAGACCCTGAGATTCTTGATAGATAACAAGATTCTAGCATCTTCTAAGGCTGCCTGTTTACCTGTCTCCCCACACATAAAAGCACAGAATCTTTGTGCTAGAAACAAGCATTTGAGAAAACGTGTAGTTCAACCCTTTTCTTTTACAGATGAGGAAGTTGAAGCCCAGAGAGATCAAGGGACTAGTCCAAGGTGACGGACTCAGTTAGTGAGAGGTTCACGATGAAAACTCAGTGCCCTACATTTCCAATATGGTGCATGTTTCTCTGGTCTCCTTAGATCTCTCTGGCCCTGAAAAATCAGGGCACCCCAGGAACCCTCAGAGGAAACCCCAGGTGCCCTCAGATATCCTCTGAGCCATTGTGTGCCCCTCAGACTCTAACTCAGCAGGGGGCAAGACTGGGCATCCCCAGGTGGGATCAGACTTGTGCTGGGGCTGGAACCTAGAGTGACCTCTGACCCCAGAACATGGCCAGCTGGTGCCATGTAGACCATTCCTGCTCAAGGGACACACATTGGGAATATACTTCTTCCTAGAGCAAGGAATTCTCTCAGAGATGATCAAAAGCAGACCTCGACATGTTGCATAAAGTCGCACGGTCCCACTCCACCATGCAGCACTTGGCAGGATCTCCTGGGAGTGGAGGTGGGGGAGATGCTGCCCATCAGGCCATCCAGCCCCTCTCCCCATTTAACACAGGGAAGCCGAAGCACAGAGAGGGAAGGAAGTTGCCCAAGTCACACAGCAAGGAGGGTAATTAGAAAAGCCTCCTATACTTCTTGCCACCCTGGGCCTGCAGTTGAGCAGGTCACACAGCACCTAGAAGACATGGTCCAAATGCCATGCCTCTCCCAGAGGGTTCCCTGCTCCCCACCTAGACATCCATAACCACAGATACCAGCACCAAATTTGTGCCAAAAAAAAAAAAAGCATCTTTGCTAAGACAGGGAAGCAGGAGAAAATTATAAACCCTGCATATAAACACTGATTTTCCGTTAAACAAAC
Source organism: Homo sapiens (assembly GCF_000001405.40). Taxonomy (NCBI): domain Eukaryota; kingdom Metazoa; phylum Chordata; class Mammalia; order Primates; family Hominidae; genus Homo; species Homo sapiens. Next base: position 10,916,996 of record NC_000008.11, on the reverse strand, counting down.
CTGGAGCTCTGAGATACAATTAGGGATCTTTGTGTCTCTTCAGTGCTAACTTCCTTGCTAGTTTTCTTCTTTCTCAACTTCACTTGCAGGCTCCTTTTATATCAGAAGCCCTTCTAGAGGGCTGCGTTTGAGCTTCACATTGACCTATTTTTCCAGCGAGAACTCAGACTGACTGCGTCCAAACAACTCAGAAGGACAATTCGGTTTTCTCTGCTCCCATTAAGCAGAAATGTCTGTGCCTTTCTTTTTGGCTGCAACCCGGCAAGCACTTACTTCTTTTTTTCCCTGGTGAGGATGAAAAGCATCCCACATGAAGCATCAGCTCCACTGCTCTGTCTCCCTGGCCAAGTATCCCTTCTATGGGTAAAGCCTGCTTCTGTCCCCAGGTGGAGGGAGGGCCGAGGGGCCCGACTCTTAGCGGTTGGATCAGTTGGATCGGTTGATCAGTTGAATGGCCTCCTCTCTTTCCTCTCCCCAGTGAAAGACATCCACATCTGTCTTTGTGGGAGATTTCTTTTTTCTTATGTGAAAATACTTTCTTGTCTCTTTCCAGTCCTGTTCATATGGGACATTAGCTGTCACCGTCTCTAAATCAAGGACACAAAAGGTGATTACTTCAAACTTTGGGATCTTGGTTAAAATAGGGTGAAGCTGCCACCCAGAAAGGGGTGGTGATTTTGTTGTGTGAGGTGAAGGTATTGGATCTGAGCTCAGCACCAGAGCCATGAATTTTCCATTCCATTTCCTTAGGAATGAGAAGTAAAATTTGTTCCCAAAACAACCAATCCACTACGTCAAACGACATTGCATAATGACTCACCTGGTCCAGAGTTCCTATGTCCTGGCCCCTTGCCAGTGCTCCACGCTGCCTGGTGGACCCCAAATTGAGCAGAGCCCCTCCTTCTCCATGGCTCACAGTGCTGATCTTGGGGTCAGGTGTCTCCAAGGAACACTCTGGGCTTTCAGCCCCAGCGGCACATACATCTGCCAGCACAAGAGCTCCACTTCCGGGCGCTCATGGCATTGCAGTGCCTTGGCCTCGAGCAATTAAATCAAGGGAAAGAGGACCAACTCCCTCTTGACCCCGTTCTCTGGCTGGCTCGCATCTTCATCCACAGCTGAGATGGAGAGAGACGCAGCACAGACCTACCTGCCTCCTCCCGCTAGAACATGGGCTTGGTCTCTCCTACTTCCCCAGGGATAGCCTTTCTCTAGCTCTGTGTTTCTCCTCTCATTTTGAGGAGATGCCATTTGGAATCTGCTTGGCGTCTATAGCAAGTCCTGCTCTAGCTCCAAACGGCTTCTTGTTAAGCAATACATTAAACCATTACCCTGTTAAATGGAGTTTGCAAGAATTTTTAACAGACTTGAACGCTCGCACTGCACCACTCTGGCTTGAACCTGCATGCCATTTTGAGGCCCTGCACTGAGGTCGCCCTACCGACCAATGGCGAGAGGGAGGGTTCTTAAAGCAGCAGAAAAAAAAAAAGAAACAGGAGAAAGGCAAACTCAATGGGTTTCATGACAGTGAATGCAGATGAAGTAGCAACTCGGGACTTGGAAATGTTTGCACATGAAATGCTGGAACAGAGAGACATGAGCGCAGGCTTCCTCAGCCAGTGAAAGTGAGCGAGGTAGCTTCATGGGGGCTCTGACAACGGCAAGTTTAGAAGCCTGAGCATTTACTGCAGGTGGAACGTTGATTCACTTATTCAATAACTTCCCTAATCACCTACTATGTGCCTAGCACGGTTCCAGGAGCTGGGGACAGATACAGCAATGAAAAAACAGAAAACCCTGCCCTTGTGGAGCTTCTGCTTTGTGTAGAGAGATGGGCAATAAACAAAGCAAATATTTTCTCTTTTAGAAAATGGAGTGCACAGAGAGCAAGAAAGCTGGGAAGAGAGAAGGGAAGGGAGGCAGAGCCATGTGCAGCGAATAGCTATTATGCAGCTCTCTATTGGTCTTCAACAGGGAGACCACGAAGGCGCCACTGAGGTGAGGGTGGGGCCGAGATGTGCAGGAGGGGAGGCGGCCAGGCTGACAGACACCTGGAGGACAGTGTCCTGAGAAAGAGGAGTGGCCCAGACAAAGGCCTTGAGCAAAGGGAGGGCTCCCAGTGTCTGAGGGCAGCCAGGGAGGAGAGAGGAGGGGGACCTCTGTACTGGACGCCAGGGGCTACCCAGGAGGCCAGCAGGGAGCCCTCTGCTTCCACAGCCTGGCCTGCCCCAGGGTCTTACCAGGGAGCTGTGAGATTTCCCCCACTTTCCCACATGGGGAATTGGGTTAAGGAGCCCCCCTCACAAGTCAGCTGAGCTAGGATGCTGCAAGGGAGACTGCTCAGATCTCTCCAATCTCATCTTCTCTGGGTCCCAGAAACATGCAAGGAGACAGAAGAGCCTCCTGAAGCCCATTTCAGCTGTAGCCTAAGGAGGAGGAGCATTGGGGGAGTCACAGTAAGTTGTAGGCAGCAGGGGTCCTTAATTATTAGACATCACGTCAGAGGCCATCAAGAACCTGAGACCTCGTGGGAGCTTCCAGCTGCAGGAAAGACTACAGCTAAATGATCTCCAAAAGATCTTTCCCATTCTTTACGAATCTCAGCAAGGAAAGCCCAGGAGTTTCACGAATACTATCTTCTTGTTTATGTCCCTCTCACTACTGGGGATGCACTACTCATCCCCAGTATATACTGTATATACTCAGGAAGAGGCTCCGAAAGGGACACCAGAGTGACTCCCAGTGAGCTGTCCCACCCCCTGCCTTGCTAAGACCGGGAAGCATGGTTGCGGCGGTTACAGTGATTACGGCAGTGGGCTGGGTGGGGGGCACTCTCTGAGCCTCACCTTTTTCATCTGGGAAGCTTACACCCATAGACCCATTCAATCCTGAACCAGTCTGAGGTGTTAGGTTGGTCAGAACGCCAAGAGGAGTTCCAGGGGTCTGGAATTTGCCCAAGGGCCATCCCGAGGCAAGATTTGGGCCCGGACCTGACCAAAGGAGAGTCCTGACTGCATTCCCAGCCTCTTGCACCCCAGGCTGCCAAGCCCTGCTGCTGGCTTCTGAAACCTGTTATCTGCAACATAATCATGGGGCCCCCGTCGCAGGTCCTCCTGCCTCGTGCTGCTGCTGGGACCCCATCCTTTTCCACACCCGTCACCCTCACTAGCAGTCACCAAGGACTTTGGGTCCTTCTCTGCTTATCGGGAACCTCTGCAGCCTTCCTGTCACCTGGGAGAAAAGGTGCCTCCCTTGAACACCACGTGAAGTCCCTAGTGGGGGCCAAAGGGGCCTGGCTTTGCACACCTGGTCCGCATCTGCATCGACGGCTGAGTGCACCGGGGCAGGTCCCTCCCCATCCCTGAGCTGCAGTGATCGTGTTTGTAAACACTGGTGATCTCTTCTATCGCAGAGGGGTGTTAGGAGGCAGAAGTGATGACATCTGCTCTTGGCAGAAAGGAAGCACCCAACAGCGATGGCTGGGGGGTGCATATGGCCTCCATCCTTATCAAGGCTTTGGCTGAGTGAAGTGCTTTCACCTGGCAGGCTGTGTCTCCCAGGGCACTCACGGCTGAGTACCTGGCTAAGGGGCAAGGCAACGGTTAACCTCTGTGAGCCTCATTTTCACCTTATAAATTGAAATAACCCTACCTGCCTAATCTCCTCACAGAGGATGCTGGGGACCCTGGCCAGACTCTGGGGGTACAGAGGCGAAAAAGGCAGATGGATCTCTGTCCTGGGGCTTACATTTTAGTGGAGGCAGGCAATGAACAAGTATATGAACAATGTAATTTCAAATATATATTGAGTATAAATATAGAGACTATATACACACACACACACATATACATACACAGAAAAGATGACATACATACACACCCTCTATATATATACTCTCTCTCTATATATAGATATACTCACCTTCTCTATATAGATATATACTATATATATATACAAGCACACACACCCTTTCTCTCCTCTCTCTCTGTATATATATATATATGTATGTGTATATACACTCATCTTCTCTCTACAGATGTACTCGCCCTCTATAGATATATACACTCTCTACATATAGATATACTCGCCCTCTCTTTATATATAAACACACACACCCTCTTTCTCTCTATCTATACACACACCCTATCTCTTTCTCTCTCTATATATATATATGTATATATACTCGCCTCTCTCTCTATATATATGCACACATACACACCCTCTTTATATATACTCACCGTCTCTCTCTCTCTATATATGTGCATATACACTCATTCTCTCTATGTGTGTATATATATATATATATATACACTCACCCTCTCTATATATATAGACACACATATAGACACCCTCTTTCTCTCTTTACATATATATACTCACACACCCTCTTTCTCTCTCTCTACATATATATATGCACACACACATATATATACATACACACACACCCTCTCTCTTTCTCTATATATACTCACTCTCTCTATGTATATACACACACATACACACCCTGTCTCTCTCTCTCTCTCTCTCTCTATATATATATATATATATACACTCACCTATCGTCTCTCATATATATATGCTCACTCTCTTTATATATATATATGTATACTCACCTTCTCTCTATATATAATCACCCTCTCTCTCTCTCTCTCCATATATATATATATATATATATATATATATATATATACACCCTCTCTTTATATATGTATATACACACCATTTCTCTCTGTATATATATACACACACACCCTCTCTCTCTCCCTCTCTCTCTCTGTATATATACACACACACACCATCCCACTCTATATATACACATACCCTCTATATATATACATATACTCTCTCTATATATACACCTCTCTCTAGCGCTCTCTCTCTATATATATACACACACACAGATATATATACTTACCCTCTCTATGTATACACGTCCTTTCTCTGCATAAATATGTGTGTATATATACTCACCCTCTCTTGCTCTCTCTCTCTATATATATATATATTCTCTCTCTTTCTCCATATATATGTGTAAACTCAACCTCTCTCTCTACATATATGTATACAGTCTCACCCTCCCTCTCTATATATACCTATTCTCTCTATATATATACACACCTTCTATATATACAAACACGTATACACACACCCTCCCTTTCTATATATACACATACTCACCCTCTGTATATATACATACATTGTCTCTATATATACACACCTCTCTTTTTATTTATATATATATACACACTTGCCCTCTCTATATACACACACCCCTCACTCTCTCTCTCTCTACATGTGTATATATATACTCACCCTCTCTTTTTCTCTTTATAGATATATATATATTCTATATATATATACTCACCCCCTCTCTGTCTACATATATATGTGCAATCTCACCCTCTCTCTTCCTCTCTCTCTCTATATATATATAGATATTCTCTCTATATATATATATTCACCCCCTCTCTTTCTACATATATATATACAATCTCACCCTCTCTCTCTATATATATATATACACATACATATTCTCTCTCTATATATGTATACTTACCCTCTATATATACATATTTTTATACAATCTCATTCTCTGTATTTATATACATATTCTCCCTCTCTGTCTATATATATATATATACACACACACACACACATATATATATATATATATACTCACCCTCTCTCTCTACACATATATATACAATCTCACCCTCTCTCTATATATATACATATTCTGTCTCTCTCTCTCTCTCTATACACACACACACACACACACACACACACACACACACACGCACACCCTCTCTCTATATGTATATATACTCAAAATCCATGTTTTTACCCACGGCTCACAAACAGTAAACTGAGGCTTGGAGAGAGTCAGTGCATTTGCCCAGGTCCACATGGCTGGACCCAAGCCAGCTGTTTGTACGGAACCTGTGTCCTTTCCAGAGCATCTCACTGCCTCTGTCAAAACACAGCCACTTCTGGGAGCAACAGGGCATTGTGCCTGGTGGGCTGTTGCTCCTCAATGAGAATGGATTTCCTGGCACTCTCCAGGGAAAGCAGACGGCCATCTCCACAGTTTGCTCCAGGCCAGCCAGGATCCAGGCACCCTTGAGCCTTGTGCCATGCCAGCTGGGTGGCTGACATTTGTTCTAGAATCTCTAAAGTTTGCCTTTATGCAGCTGGCTGTGAAGCTGGTATTTTGAGATCCCTGACAGAATCTTAAAAAGAACAGACAAGTGAAGCAGGGGGCTGGATTTAGCGTTCCTCCTCCTGGGCCCTTTAAACCCTGGTGTTTGACCTTGGAACTCCTTGAGGGGAGGTCTGGTACTTCCCTGTTGTCCACCATATTCCCAGAGTGGCCGCCAGCCCCCAGCCAGCTGCTCAGAAGAGCCCAGGGTCCAGGAGAGCCACAGTGGTGTTTCTCACATGTCGTCTTTCCTGCAGCTGTAGAAGAAATGCATTTGGGACCAGTGCTGAAGATTGCGGTGGTGGCTCTTTCTTTAGGAACTATAGGTTCTTTAGGAACCAGTCATCCACTCTTTATCAGAGCTGGAGAGATGCAGTCCTCATGGCCTTCCGAAGGTCCCTGCATCTGTACCTCCAGGCCCGTTAGGATACCCACCACTTCTCAGGGGGAATTCTTTGGAAGATCTAAATCTTCAGTTATTAGGCACAGCCAAGTTCCTGTCTATTTTTTAATTGATTTAGAACATTGAGGAAATACCCTATCACAGTTTCAACCTCAGCGCGATTATATTTGGGGCCAAGTCATTCTTTGTTGTGAGGGGCTTTCCAGAGCATTGCAGTATTTAGCAGTATCCCTGGCCTCTACCTGCCAGATGCCAGCAGCACCTGCACCCCGAGTTGTGACAATCAAAAATGTCTCCAGATGTCGACAAATGTCCCCTAGAGGCCAAAATCACCCTGGTTAAGAATCATTGCATTGCTGTTAGTTAAATGGGTGATTCTGGGTGTTGTAAACTGAAAAAGGTCCCCCCAGCCCCCCGAGATGTGAAAGCCTCAGAATAAAAAGACTTGCTTAATACTGTAAGCTTAGGCAAATTCTTTTACCTCCCTGAGCCTCAATTCCTTCCTCTGAAAAATAGGGACACTGACAGGCATTCTCATGGGATTATTGTCCCATTAAATTCAATGAAATAACATATGCACAGAGTCTGGCATACATAATGTCTGACGCACTGAAACATTCAGTAAATGTGAATTCCTTTTCTTCCCTGTGTTTAACCCCAAGGTTTTCTTCCTAAATGACAAAGGCATAAATGCTCCCAAGGAACTCCCTTTCCCGTGTTTGGAGAGCATTGTGGGAGATCATGGCGGCTAGCAATGGGGATTATGATCCCTTCCCTTGTTTGCCTACTTAAGAATCCAAGAATAGCTGTGGACTCATTCATGAGAAAAATACCCACACAGTTTTGCATGTAATTCCAGAAGTACCAAACCAAATCCCTGCTCTGCCCTTAGGGAGCTAGCATTCACCATGGAACATAGTAGAAATAAAAAACCAAAAGCAGGAGAAAAGTTGATCAAGATGGTGCAAAATGCTATGGTGGAAAAAAAGCAAGAAGGCATGAGGCAGTCTTGAGGGGTATCTTAGTCCATTTTCTGCTGCTATAATACAACAGACTGGGTAATTTATGAAGAATAGAAGCGTATTTGGCTCATGGTTTTGGAAGCTGAGAAGCTGAAGATTGAGAAGCTGCATCTGGTGAGAGCCTCTTTGCTGTGTCTTAACATAGCAAGAGCGGGGAAAGAGAGAGAGAGAGACAGAGCTCAGGCCAAACTATTTTTTTTTTTTTTTGAGACAGAGTCTTGCTCTGTCATCCAGGCTGGAGTGCAGTGGCGCAATCTCAGCTCACTGCAACCTCCACCTCCCCAGTTCAAACAATTCTCCTGCCTCAGCCTCCCAAGTAGCTGGGACTACAGGTGCGTGCCACCACACCCGGCTAAATTTTTGTATTTTTAGTAGAGATGCGGTTTCGCCATGTTGGCTAGGCTAGTCTCAAACTCCTGACCTCAAGTGATCTGCCCACCTCGGCCTCCCAAAGTTCTGGGATTACAGGCGTGAGCCACCGTGCCCAGTCCAAACTACTTTTTAAAAGTCAGGAACCCACTCCCTGGATAAACAACCCACTTCTGTGTTAACTGCACCAATCCATTCAGGAGGCAGAGCCCTCATGGCCTAACCACCTCTTGAAGGCCCCACCTCTTAACACAATGCTGTAATGGTGATTAAGTTCCCACCATATGAATTTTTGGGGGACACATTCAAACCATGGCAGGGAGTTGCAGTTTTAAGTGTGGTGGTCGGGGAGGGCCTGGCTGAGAAGCTGATCGTTGCATAAAGGTCTTGGTGAGAAGGTGACATTTGTGTAACAACATAGCGATACTGGAAGAAGAGCATTCCAGGCAGAGGAAGTAGCAAGTGCGGCTGGAGCATGTCTGAGGAGCCAGCAGGAGAGGACCCCAGGGAGGGCAAAGGGGACTTGACAGATTAGATTTAAGAACAGCTCACCCATTGGAGGCAGAGATTCCTGGGAGGGGGAAGCAGGCTGGTTCCACGGGTGACTCCATATATATATATATATGTTTATGGCAGGGCAGCCCTGCCGGCCCTTCTAAGGACTGTAGCTTTTACCTGGGGTGACTTAGCACATCAGTGAGGACAGGCTGGCCGTGCTGCAGTTTACAATACCTACACAGTTCCAGTGGCCTTGAGCATTTTCGATTTCCTTCATGCTCGTTGCATGTGAGTCAAGGGTCCCTGTGGAGCAGCCTCTTCCTGGAGCATGGGTGAGCACAGTCTTCTGCCCGGCAGGGCCACACATCCCTTCTGCTCACGTGCCTGGCCAGAGCAAGTCTCAGCCACACCTCAATCCAGCAGCGTGGGCGTGTACATCCTCCCACGCAAAAGGCGTTGAAAATCAGTGACTCTTGATGGTCCACCAGGCACTGGAAGCCACGCGGAGGGAAACATTGTAGCTTAATCATGTTGGCTGCTGTAGTGTGGATAGAGTGTTGGGAGGAGGGCAGATGCAGAGAGACCAGTTAGGAGGCCATTCCGGCAATTCAGGCAAGAGAGATGGAACAGAAGTGTCATCAGCTTTGCAGTGGCTTGAACACTCAGGCAGGGCCTCCGCGGGGTGGGTCCTCGGCTGTGTAGACCCACAAATTTGACTTTGTCAATGCTCACAGAGGTGATCAGAGGGCTGACATATGTTAACCAAATTAATAAGAAACTGATGTATAAGCCTCAATGATAATTCTTTAATTTGTGGTTGAGGATGGAGAGAGATCTTTCCCAGTGGTTCAGAAAATAATCTGAGTTTTGGATTCAGACAAGCCTATATTCAAATTCTAGTTCTACAACTTTTTAACTGCTTCATGTGGAAAAGTTACTTAATTAGCCTGTAAGCCTCAGTGTCTTCATCTTGAAATCAGTCTGCTGCTGCTGATAGCATGGTAAGGAAGAATAATTGAGTTAACATAACAATTGAGTTATGTGCAGTGCCTAGCATAGAGTCTGGGTCAAGGTGGCTGTTCAGTAGAGGGAAGATATCACTGTTATTGAACTTACTAGAAACTAGCAGATGACATGATATGCATGAAGTCAGAGGCAAAAAAAAGAGATCTTTCATAGAAACCATGGTAAGACCTGATATTCTTTCTCCCTTGGCCCACTCACTTACGTTAAAGAGCTTTTTGTCCAGCCAGAGGATGGTGTGATCGCTCAGATTTTGGCTTTCCTGAGATATCCAAATCCTCCTTTCTTATGTTTACACCAGATCACTTCGATCAGTCTTGGGTTTTTCCTGATCTCCTCGGCCACATATTTGTCAGTCCTGAGGGCTAGGGCCACAAATGTGATTGCCGTCTCTTCTCTTTGACCCTTCTTCTTCTTCTTTTTCTTTTTTTTTTCTGAGATGGAGTCTTGCTCTGTTGCCAGGCTGGAGTGCAGTGGTGTGATCCCTGCTCACTGCAACCTCCACCTCCCAGGTTCAAACGATTCCCCTGTCTCAGCCTCCAGAGTAGCTAGGACTATGGGCACTTGCCACCACACTCAGCTAATTGTGTTTTTGTATTTTAGTGGAGACTAAATACATGGTTTCACCATGTTGGCCAGTATAGGATGGTCTCAATCTCCTGACCTTGTGATCCACCTGCCTCAGCCTCCCAAAGTGCTGGGATTACAAGCGTGAGCCACCACGCCCAGCCTCTTTGACCCTTCTTAAGGGTCCATCTGGAGATGTCAGAGATGCATTAAAGTGACTCCTTGTGGAAACCTCACATCTGGATCACACCCTCTTCAAGTACAGAAATGTAATGAAAATGAGTATGTCAGTGCTTATGAAAGACTGTGCACAAAGCAACCTGTTAGACCTGAAATTATTTGCCATTACAATGGCAAAACCGCAATTACTTTTCACCAGCATATTATTTCCTGTGTACATATTTTCAGCAAAAGTTTTAAAAGAAGATTGCTTTTTTTGTTGCTTTCTCATTAGCACTAAGGTATTTAATTCTGACTGATAACCAGGTAGTGCCCTGCATGTGAAGACCACATCTAGGAGTACAGCACTGAATGTAGAGTAGGCACTGAATTTGGAGACAGGCCCTTCTAATTTGCATAGACACCCACCAAGCTTTTCAAGAAGGATGGCTGATCCTGACCGGTGGTGTGCTGGTAAATGTTTAACAACCAACATTTAGCAGGATTTGGTGGAGCTCTGGTTTGTACCATTTGCCAATTGCTGTGGTGTAAATACTCCCACCATGCCAATTTCAAGCCCGCAACATGACATCAGGCAGCCTACAGTTTAAGAATTGGCCAGCTCCAGCACATGCAGATCCAGATTCTGGGGAGTGAAATAGTCTCGGGTTTCAGTATGAGCTCTCTTGCTTACTAGCTGTGTGGCCTTGGGTGGGTTATTTAACGGCTTTGAGCCTGGCTCATAGAAGTCATCAGGATGCTTGTTTTCTTCCCTCTTCATTGCCCAAATAGGAAAGTACCTTTGTCACATCACTCCCTTGCCATGTCTCCTGTGGGAAGGCGAGGACGGGAGACAGTGGGTTATGCTTAGAGAGGCGGTGGACACAGCTGCCTTATCCTTTCCTGGGAACATTTCCAAGAAGAGACTGGACTTTTTTAAAATGTGGGAAGACAGAGGGAAGTTTGACAGATGGAAGGGGAAGAATTGCTGTCTAAAAGGACTCATTGTGGGAAAAATACAAAATAGGAATTTGAAAAGCAGATGGTGGAGATCCCCCAAATGTTAGCTTCCCCAGGAGGGAGGGAGGCAGGGAGGGGGCCAGGGTTGAAAGAGGGAGATGTTGTCCTTGATATGCAGACTGACAGATAACCAGCTAAGCCTGTGTCCTGTCTGGGGCATCTCTAGAGGCCCAGCCTACTGGGGTACAATGCCATACAAGTTAGGTGAGCATGCAAATGTCAGGATATGGCTGTGGCCACATCCACGTCTCTTCACTGCTGTTTCGGTCTCCTCATCTACAATATGGGGATAAGAAACCTGGCAGGAAAAGGCTGCCATAAAGAGCTCAAGAAATGGCAGGAAGAGAACTGGGGAACAGCTAAGGGTGGGGTGTGAAGAAGGACAGAGCAGATCCCAATCCCGACTGTCACACAGAGCCAGGAGGAGAAGCACGGAAGCAGTCCTCCGAATGCCGCACGACCTGAGTGACAGCTCTCCACTGGGGCAGATTTGGGAGGAAAGCAGGTGGTGGGAGAGTGAGGAGGGCAAGTGGCCTGCCTTCGGGAAGCTTGGAGAAGATGAGACAAGGAGAGGAGGGACAGCTTCAGGAGAGGATGCAGGGTCCAGGGACCATGCTGTGTAAATGGGAGAACCTTGACCCTGGCTACCCGCTGATGGGAACAAGCCAGGAAGAAGGAGCTGGGGAGGAAAGAGTCAGGAAGCTGGGATCTGGGGAGCTGCACACAGCTGACTCTTTCCACTTCTGTCCTGCCTCATGCTTAGGTCCCTCATCATCAAGTGTGTTTCCGACACATGACTTAGCGGTGGGGCTGAGCTGACGCTCTCGGTCAGAGAGAGGGTGAGGCAGGGCTGGGCCTGCACCTCCCATTCTGCAAAACACATTCCTGCAGTTGAGCCCAGCTCTGGCTCAGGGGCAGTTGGTGACCATCTCTAGGCACTCCTGTGGCTTTCTGGAGCATGCCTTCCCCCAGGTGCTGTGTTCAGCCTACAGGGAGCTCTGGACATTGTTTCCTCCTTCAGGTTCCCTTATTGGAGATGTGTCGGGGCTCCCATATGCTGGCCCCCTGATGCAGCTCCACCCTGGCCCATCCCGGTCACAGCCTCCCTTCCTGGCCTGACCCCTTCCGTGGCACCTCCTTGCTCTCCTGCCTCACCTGCTCCCTCCAGGTTCTAGGATCTCATCCTTTGCAAGACGCCCTGTCACTGTGCTTCTCATTCAGTAGGGCACCCATATCCACACGTGTTGCTTTGTTCCCCAACTGGCTATGACCCCTGGGAATTGAAAACACAAAACAGGACGTTCCCTGATGACTGCCTTTCTGGCTCTGTGTCATCGGTCATAAGATGTGGCCGTTCCATTTCTGGAACCTGAGACCCCAGGGCTGGTGATCAGAGCCCAAAGGCCCTTTCTCCAAGCCTTTCTCTGGGGAGTTGCCCTTCCCCAGCCCCCCAGCCTCAGGAACTCTGGCCCAGAGACTTCCCAGCCAGTGGCACTGCACTAAGGTCAGCGCAGTGGGCATGCTGCCAGCGCTGCCTCCTGGTCTGCACCAGGGAAAGGGAGCTGTGAAGGTCACTGCTCAGAGCTCGTCACAGCCAAACGTGAAGCGTGTAACAATTTCTAGTCTGATCTTCGGAATGCAGTCAGTGATGGAGCTGGAAGCGGAAGGGAACCGTGGAGGCTGCCAGGCCTGTCCAGGAATTTCACTGGGGGCTTCCACGGCCGGTTCCTGTGTGCTTGGGTGTTACCTAGGAGAACGCATTGACTTTTGAGTTGACTTCAGACAAGACGGAAATTCTCCAAGTGAGCCACTGCAGAGAAGGAAGAACCTGTACTCACTCCTTCTGTAACAGAACACACAGCAAGCTTTGAAGATGAATCACTCGGCGGTGGCTGTGCACAGTTCTGTCCGCACGGTGTACGTCTGCTCAGGCTGCGGTCACAGAGCACTGCAGATCAAGGTGCTACTGGTCTGAGAAGTCTCTCCTGAGGCCTCCCTCCTTGGATTGTAGACGCCTGTCTTCTTGCTGTGTCCTCATGTGGTCATCCCCCTGTGTGTGTACCTGTGTCCTAATTTCCACTCCTTAGAAGGACCCAGTCACACAGGGTTAGGGCCCACCCTAACGGCCTCGTTTTACCTTAATCACCTCTTTAAAGGCCCTATCTCTAAACACAGCCACATTCTGAGGTCCTAGGGGTTAGAGCTTCAGCATATGGATTTTGTGGGGGGGACACAACTTAGCACCTACCTCCCCAGGCCCTTCTCAATAAGAAAATGCATGTAGATGCTCAGTGAATCCTGCCAAGTTCTCCGGGACAACCAGGTGCACAGTTGGGGAGGGTTCAGAGCAAGAAGTGCATCTTCTGTCCTGGCTTCCCATCTCCTGCCCCTGTTGAGTCCCCAGAATTCACAGGCTGTCCTCAAGGCACCCTTCGCTGATGGCCCTCTGAGGAAGAATTGCAGCGACAGTCCTGTGGGGGCTGCAGGACTTGTTCAGGGAAAAGATGCAGAAGTGGCTGAGCCATGAACATTTGGTCCCTTGGCCAAACATAACGACGTAGACAATGTCACAGACAGGTCCAGATGAGTTCCTGGGGGGCAGGCTGAAGACATGTTCATCGATGCACTCCATCACAGGTTTTTGAGTCCCACCAGGGCAAGGGCTACCCTCTGTTGAGCATCCAGTAGAAACCTGTTCCCAAACGGGGTCCTGAAGTGAGCCTGGCTTTCCTGGTCTCTTCTCAGGGATTGACTCAGCCCACTAGCTGTACCAACTCCGGTCCCAAAAAATGTGCCCAGAGCCTTGGATAGAATGGGGAATACTTTGGTGATGAGGTAGATTAGAAAGTGATGGGGGTAAGAGTTTTGACCTCCCCCAGGCAAGTCCCCTCCTTGCAGGATCATTCTCGCCCCTGTTGCTGGCAGAGAGAGAGGGGCAGGCACATCAGGGGCACGAGGCCTGTACACCCACTCCCCATTGCTCTGTGTGGTCAGAGGTGTTCTTCTTGGTCTTGGGCAGTTGGTGGAAGTTCACCTTCTCCTTTCACTATTTGGAGCATTTCACAGTGTCAAGGATATGGCCTGGCGTTCGAACCCTGAAGAGCCAATGGCTGGGCACCAGAACAGGCTCCCACCATTGGAGAAGGCTGATGACCTTTAGTACAAAGGATCTTGAGAAAGGTGTTGCCTGCTGGATATCTGGAAAGCTGAACTGACAGAGGGACCAGACGGAGAAAGGATGGAGAGTGGGAGCAGCGCGACATGGCAGGAAGCATGCCATCCTCATAGAGATGGCCGGTGGTTCTCAGGACAGTCTTGAGCAAGCCACCCAAGCCCCTGCACCTCTGCTTCCTGTGGAATGGGTGGGTTGAAGTGGATGGTCTGGGAAGCTCCCCTAGATAGAAGGTTTGGCCATTCATAAGTTGACCAAGTCAGGAACAGATGAAGCAGAGACTTAAAACTGGGCTGGCCATTAGCTCGCCAGCAGACTCCCCAGTCAGATGCCTGGAATCACAGTCTTCCATGGGACCATTTCCCAAGCCCTCCTTGTAAGTTAGCAGTGATGTCTTGCAACACTGAGGAATGTCTGTGCAGTACCCTTGGGCGAAATTCTAGAAGCCGCAACTGCAGTGCCTGGTCGGCTGAAACAAGAGTAGTTTCAGCACCACTGCCATGAAGGGAGTTGCAGGAACAGAACACCCGCCTTCAAAACCACAGCGACACACCTGGAAATGGGGTAGGTAACTCTGAAGGCAGAAGAATGGAGAAGAATTCTATTTGGCTTTGCAACTGGTGGCTGATGAGCATTTGAATTCCCATTTATTCATTATTGGTGTGAACGGGGCCAATGTCACAGCACAGAGAACAACAAAATCAGAACAGCGAAGTCTGAGGGTGATCCTAACTCTGCACCCCAAGTCTGCTCAAAGCATGCTTAGAACTGGACTGGATCTGACCAGGCCCCAGCAGAAGCTAAGCTGCTCCTTCTTGCTTTATGAGCTCAGCACTCACGCTTTTCTGAGTAGAAGGTAATAGAGTTTGCTTTATTAGAAGGAACACAACAATCAAGCCTTCTTCCCACCCAGCTCCCATAGAACTCCCATCTGATTACTATGGGTCGGTAGGACCTACCAGATGTTCATGATTAACATCAAGCAGTGAATTCAGCTGGAGAGCAAGGATGTCATGAGGATGTTTAATGGAATTTTTTGAGGGTGCTTCAGTGCTGGGAATAGCCTGGTCCAGACTATGAAGATGTGATTTCAGCAAGGCGTGGTGACTCATGCCTGTAATCCCAGCACTTTGGGAGGTCAAAGTGGGAGGATTGTTTGAGCCAAGAGTTCGAGATCAGCCTGGGCAATGTGTTGAAACTCTGTCTCTAGGCTGGGTACAGTGGCTCATGCCTGTAATTCCAGCACATTGGGAGGCCAAGGTGGGCAGATCACTTGAGGTCAGGAGTTCAAGACCAGCCTGGCCAACATGGTGAAATCCTGTCTCTACTAAAAATACAAAAATTACCCAGGCATGGTGGTGTGCACCTGTAGTCCCAGCTACTCTGGAGGCTGAGGCAGGAGAATCACTTGAACCTGGCAAGTGGAGGTCACAATGAGTGGAGATCATGCCACTGCACTCCAGCCTGGGTGACAGAGTGGGACTCCATCTTAAAAAAAAAAAAAAAAAAGAAGTAGAAACTCTGTCTCTACAAAAAATAAAAATAAAAATCTTAGCTGGGCTCACTGGAGCATGCCTGCGGTCCCATGTATGGGAGACGGGAGGATCACTTGAGCACAGGAGGTTGAGGCTTCAGTGAGCAATGATTATGCCTCTGCACTCCAGCCTGAGCGACAGGGTAAAACCCTGTCTCAAAAAAAAAAAAAAAGGTAATTGCACATCCTCTGCCCTCCAGAAATCTGCAACCTACATCACATTACTCCTAAGGGGAGTTCTCCCTGCTGCACCCTAACAGACAATGTGAGCACTAAAAGGTTCCCTGACCAACCATGTGCAGCCACTGCAGACACACATGAGATGTCTTGTGTGTACCACAAGTGAGGCAGGACATGTGTCATGTTCAGAACTTTCTAGAAAAGAAAAGGAAAATTGCCATGAATGCTCTTTGGATGTTTTCCAGATAGATTTCCATGGAGAACTTGGGATCGTGTTGCCCCTGTTTGTTTCAAATCTCCATGGTTGTTATTACTATGAAAGAGTCACACATGCCCATTGTAACAGTTAACAGGTTTTTTTATTGCACCATACTGTTCTGCAAGCTAGGACTCTGAGCTTCATGTGACATGATGGAAGGAGGGGACCTTTGTGAGACGGGTGACGCAGAGCCAGTGCTGGGAGAGTGTCACGTGGCAGAGAACTCGGATTCTTCATCGGGCTTCGGAGAGTTGTGGGGAGTTGGGCAGGTCCCGGGGAGAGACGAGCAGAAGCCTGGTGGTCTGGGGAAGTTTAACCAGTGTCTTGATGAATGGGGCTTCTGTATCTGATCTTTGAGCTTAAGGGAGAAAATCACTGGGTAACCTTGATTTCAACCTGGAAGAATGTCGTGGGGGGAATTGTGCTCCGTGGGAGGGTAAAGCTTTCCTAAGGAGGTCGTTGCCAGTGGGACAGCATTCGGCCTCCTGTTGCATTTACTTACATTTAGTTGTGAAATTTTGGGAGAAAAGACCAGCAAAAGAGGCCCCAGATGGACTGTGGAACTGATGCACGGGGAGTTGGGGGTTGGTGATGGGGGAAATCTTGCTTAAACGGAGATTGTATGACAGCACTCGAATAATGACTGGTTGTTCATGGGTGGATTTGGGGAGACTTCAGTAACAATGGATTGTGTTTCATTTGGTTTACTTGCAAATATCAAGTAGTCAGAGTTGGATATAAAATTGTTCTATGGCAATATGAGTATGACTTGGGATTAGGCACACTCAAACTCTGTGAATATTTGCCCGTTGTGGGAGGAAATGCAGGGAGTAAAGTGCAGAGGCCTTGGAAGCCTCAGAAAACCAGTAAGGGGAAGAGGCACCCCCAAAGCCCAAGTGATACCATGTTGAACCCAGAGGGCAACCAGAGAAGGACAGAGCTTCAAAAGTCAAGGCTTAAGAGCACATTGAGCAGCAGTCGGTTGGAAAAAGCAACAGGGATTGTGGAGAGGCCGAAAAGACCAGAGTGGGTGAGAGAGGAAGTCTGTGAAATGGGCGGGATATCCCAGTGTCCTGGATCTTGTTGGCCTTGGGTGGCAGGTCAGGGAGAAGCTAACTGGAAGAAGGTTCAGGAAAGGGCCTTTTGGGACTTTGAGTGAGGTGAGGAAAAGGCAGAAGCATGATTCCAGCACCTCAGAGGAGAACAGTGTGGAATTCAGGGCGGTGGGTAAACCCTTGGTCTTCACAATTGGCGATTCCTCCTGTGGGCTTCTCTGAGAGCACAGGCTGCTGGTGACAGCGACGCCAATGCCAGCCGCACATCTGTGTGCCACAAGAATCGCATGATTCCTTAAGGCGGAACCCACAAAGGGCTGCCCATGGCAGACGTGGCCCCACCTCTCAGCCCCCTAGCAAAACACACTGGCTCAGTATCACCCTTGAGCTACTGAGCTCCCAAAATGGCAAATGGGGTTGTTGAAACAAAAGCTCCATCTCCCAAGTTGTCAGCGTAGGGAGCAGCTGTGACCTCCAAGTTCGGTTCCTGATTCTGTGTTTCTTTCTCCCTCCTCCTTTAGATCGTGGTGTATGTGGGCGTCTCCTCAGCCGGCAGCTTCACTGTGCCCTGCGGTTGATGTCCAAGGTTTTGACTGTGTGGGTTTGTGTCTTTCCGGCAGGTGTCTCCTCTGTGACTTCCCTGATGTCCCTGGCTTGGGTGCTAGCCTCCTATCACAAGCTGCTGCGGGACTCCAGGGACGACAAGAAGAGCATGAGCTACAGAGGGGCCATCATCCAGGTCTTCTGGCGCCTCTTCACCATCTCATCCCGAGTGATCTCTTTTGCCCTCTTTGCTTCCATCTTCCAGCTCTATTTTGGGATCTTCGTGGTGGTTCACTGGTGCGCCATGGCCTTCTGGATCATCCATGGCGGAACAGACTTCTGCATGTCCAAGTGGGAGGAGATCCTCTTCAACATGGTGGTAGGGATCGTGTACATTTTCTGCTGGTTTAACGTCAAGGAAGGGCGGACTCGATATCGAATGTTTGCATATTATACGATAGTCTTGACCGAGAATGCTGCCTTGACGTTCCTTTGGTATTTTTACAGAGACCCGGAGACCACTGACTCCTATGCGGTGCCAGCACTGTGTTGTGTCTTTATTAGCTTTGTGGCTGGGATCGCAATGATGCTCTTATACTATGGCGTGCTGCATCCCACAGGACCACGAGCTAAGATCCTTGCCAGCTCCTGTTGTGCCGAGCTGCTCTGGGGCATCCCTTTGCCCCCCGATGTTGAGCCCATGGCGCCTGAGATCCCTGGGTACCGGGGGACCCAGGTTACGCCCACCAGAGCCGTAACGGAACAACAGGAGGATCTCACGGCTGACACTTGCTTGCCTGTTTTCCAAGTGAGACCCATGGGGCCCCCTACCCCGTTGGGGCGTCCTTACCTCCCAGAAGGGCCCCTCATTAAGATTGACATGCCAAGAAAGCGATACCCAGCTTGGGATGCTCATTTTGTAGACAGGAGGCTGAGAAGGACTATTAACATTCTACAATATGTCACCCCCACCGCAGTAGGCATTCGATATCGAGACGGACCACTCCTCTATGAGTTGCTACAGTATGAGTCTTCACTCTAAGAGCATCTTGACCAAGTTGAGAAGGGGACCTTAAGTTTGGTTTGCGGCAAACAGCACTTGCAAGAAATATAACCCTCCCTTCCCCCAATACACAGAACCACCGCCACCACCACCAACACCGCCACACCAACACCACCACTACAAAAAAAAAAGAATTAATAAGTCACAACCCCTTCAAATAAGCTTTCTTTCCAGTCGCTGTATGTATACAAAGATATTCTCTATGTTTTGTAAGTAAAAACAAAAAGAAAACCTTTCTTTTGTTTTTTACACATAAGAAACAGTATTGAAAAATCCCACGCTATGGTTCATAGGGTGGAGAAGGAGGAGTTATCTCCACTCCAAAAGAAAAAAAAAAAGTTTTTTACCTTACACCAAGTGTAGATCATTTATGGGATTGGTGCTGATTGAAAGAACAAAACAAAACAAAACAAACACAAACAAACAAAAAACCTTCAACTGCCTTATGCCCTTAGGTGCTGAGTTTCATTAAGTACTGTCACGTTTTCTCATGCAAAACTCTCTGGTGATTTTTGCACCAGAAGAGGGAAAATTAAACAATTAAATGAAACAAATCTAAAAGTGAAACAAAAACCAACCAACAAATACAACACAAAGCAATTATTCTTCCTATCTGATTATTTGTATTGAAGAAAACAAATTTACCAAAAGCAAAAGCATAAACCCCTCCCTCTTTTCAGTTTCTCCCCCTCCTCTCCTGACCTTCTCCCCACTTTGCAGAGCCTTCTAGGAGCTCAAGGGCTGTTTGAAACTCAAATGGCTGGAGAAGCTACTTGAAGGCTGATTATGTGCCATTTTAGCATTTGCCTAGCAAGAATCACATTCGTTTCCCAGTGAAAAGCAAACCAGAACAAAACAAAAAGCCACCGCAATAATTCGGTAAGGACAGGATATTCTAAAGCAAATTAAAGGAGATTTCTGTACACATAGTCAGTAATAATAAAACTCAGCATAGTAGCAAAAAGAACGACATCAGTTTAAAGGCACAATACTTAATCAGTGACTGGCAACAACGATTAGTTCCATCATTTTAAGGCTGTGAATGGTAGACATTTATCACATGTGATATTGTGTAAAGCCTCTTCTGTTTCCATTTGGTGGGAAGCCTTAAATTGATCTGGAAAGAATTCTTCATTTTTCATTTGTGCTTTTTTAAAAAAAAAAATAACACAAAGAGGAAAACTAGAATATATATATATATATACATATATATAAAAAGTCAAAATTGTAATAACTGACCCATTTCAAAGACTGTTTGGTGCTTCTGTCTTTCACCATTGTGGTTGGCTGAAAATCATTCAGCTCACCTGGTGCATCTGGGTTGAATGGGAAATTTTGTGTGTGTAGTATGTGTGTGTTTGTGTGTGTATGTGTGTGTGTGCCCATAGCACACGTATATATGTGTGTGTCCCTGCTGCAAAGTCTTGCCAGAGATATACAAAACTGATGTAAGACGAACTTGGATCACGGCTTGGTTCAGCAGAGCATGGGGGCGGGGGCTCTGGAGTGGTGGGGAAGTGATGCTGCCTGCCCACGAGCCCTGGTTTGGGTGGCAAGACTCACACCAGCAGCGGACTGCAGGCCTTAGAGGCCATGCCATTTGGGTGAGGATTTGATTCCACTGTTTATTTTCTCATTGTATCAAGTTGAATTTCTGCAGGTGTTGCAAGTATGTTCAACGATTTAAATTTTTTTTTATTTTTCAAAGTATTGTTCCTTTAAAGAATATTTCTGTTCTAGGGCATCGTTTCAATCGCATCGTATCTCTACTTGGGCACAAAAAAAAAGGAAAAGAAAAAAAATCACAAAAAAGATATATAATAAGTATATATATATATATATATATAAACACACACAATATTTTTAAGTAAATACTGTTAGTCTTTGCTGTGTGTAGCTGCGATTTTTTTTCCCAAATATATACCTGTTTAGGGTGCAAGACCTCACGTTGAACTATTCTCAACAGAAGTTCAATAACTGAGGGTTTTTTAAATGTTTGTGGAGTTTTGTTTTTTTTTAAATAAAAAACAATTATTATTCAGCGAGGCTTCTCCTTCCCACCACCTTCATTGTTTATCTAAAACCTTTTTTGTTTTAAGAACAAGTTTCAAATATCAGTTGTGAAACTCTATGCTCTCTTCTTTGTCTGGACTTCCTAGACTTCATGCGTCCTTACTAAGCATCGTGGTGCTGTCCTCTCCCCGTCCCTGACTCGGGGGTCCCCTCGGGCCTCACTGGTGGGCAGGTGGAGGAGGAGCCCCCAACTCTAGGAAGCAGGACGAACAGAGCACACGCAGGCAGCAGTGAAAACCAGCCAGGAGGGCTCGGCGCGCCCATTAAAGGGACCCGCCCGTGGGCCCCTGGAGAGTCACCTGGGAGTTGGAATCTAGTCAGAGGCACTTTTCTGAACCGCACCAGCGTGCTGCCTTGCAAGGGCTTCACGCCTGAGCTGCACAGTGTACTCTGCTAGGCTGGGAAGGTGAGGCCATTGGAGGGTGGGGCATCCGCTTTAGCTGGGGGGGTCCCACCTCTTGTCTGCTTCAGGTCTGGGGCTCTGTGCACCTGGAACTGGCCCATGTCTGTCCTTTGCGCATCTTCCTTGAAATGCCCTCATGCATCCCCTCGGGACTTCTGCCACTTTTGCTTGTGTGTCTGTTCTTGGATTTCTTTCTTTCTTCTTTCTTTTTGTTTCAGCGCAGTCACGGGTTTTAATTCACCACCTCTATTTCACTCTTGCACACTTAGTGTGTGTGTGTCCGTGTGTGTGCATCCTGCCACGTTTACATGCAACTTACAAAGAGAACGGTGGATGCTGAGCTGACCGGGAGCACCAGGAGTTGGGATGGCAACTTCCAAATCAGGGAGGGCCTCCAGGGTCTTAGCCACTAGGAACAAATGAGGAGATCACGGGACATTTCAGCAATCTTTAATTTCACACTTCTCACTTGAAAAGGCACCCTCGCCCCTCTCTGGAACCCCTCCATCATGCCAGTACTTTCTTCACAAAGAAAATGAAAATATGCATCTGTGAGCAGCAGCAGGGAAAGCTGGTTTTGCAGAGATGCAGGAAAAGGAAGAAAAGCAAGGAAAGAAGTAGAGAGCAAGGCAGGGAAGGGGCAGGGGAGACCTGATGGCAAGGACCAGGCCAGAGCTGTCCTCAGTGTCCTCTTGTCATCAGCCTCTAGCAGCTCCCCACACTCCCAGCCACCGTAAAACTCTCTGGCCTCATCTCCCCTGGGGTCTTCTCTTCCCCCCAGGCCCTTCCCCTTCCAGTGACTGGTCCTGGGCATCCAGGCAGGATTCCATACACACTCAGTGCTGAGACCACCTGGGGAATGTGTCTCCAGACCCAGATGACTTTGGTCCTGAAAGCCCGGATCCTTAAGGCCGCCCCGTGACAGGGTCACTCTTTGTCCCACATTGGACATTAAATGCCCAATGTCCCATATTTTTCATTTGCCTCAGTCCTTGACAACCCTCTAGGGCTGCTGCTTCAGTTGCTTCCCAGAGGAATGCCTGTGATGTTTTTAGGTTTTTTAAAAATTTTAAATCTCTGGGCCCATTTCTTTCCCAGGACCCCCTGATGAAAAATAATCCATTTCCAGTATTTAGGCCTGGTAAGCACGTTGGTGCCCAGAGATGGAGAATACAAAAACTATCTCCTTTTCATTCCCTAATGACCCCCCCATCAAGTATGCCCACTAAGACCCGTATTTTATTCCTCTAACCACGTAGAACATTTGGCTTTTACTTTTTCTTCCCAGAAATTTGGTAGTATCGCTAAACTATAACTAATGGTGTTAGAGTCGTTTCTGCAAACTCTGCTTCTCCCTTGCTCAGCAGGTCTGCCTCTTCTCCCAGCCTCTGTGTAAAAGGAAACTTCAGTCCCCTCAGATGACATTAGGATAATGTGCCCTGAGTTCACTGCCTGAAGCCTGTGACATCCGGAATGGGAGCTCCCTGTCTCTTAAGGCCATGATGAGGGGTGCTAGGGAGGCTTCAGTCCATCAGATCAACCCCCTCTGGCCTCACTCACCCTAAAGCTTCCCGTGTCTCTAACACTCTCCTGCACTCTGCCTCTGGAAGGTGTCACCTGGTTCTGCAGGGTCGGGCTTGTCCCAGCAACATGGGTACCAGGATACTGGTAGGACACTCACCCAAGCAGATCTGCGGCCAGAACGAAAGAGGCGCCATCTCCCTTGCCCAGACATGCCGCCGTCACAACACAGCCTTGGGCAGGGAAGACGACATTTCCCCATGGCCTGGGGATCCCCCACACCACACCTCCCCAGGCACAGAATCATTCAAGACCCGATGGTTCTCATGGCTCTAACCCAGTCCCTCCCCAGCCGTGGCCCCTCTGAGTCCCATGATCCTGTCTGGCCCGTGGTCATGAAGGTGATTCCCCTGGCTCGGGGGCATCTCATGCCACAGATGTCTGACCCTGTCCAGATATGAGCCTGATTCTCAGAAAGAATTTACAGGTTTTAGAAAAGCACCAAATTACATCATTTTCTCCATTCTTCTTCCAGTTTTATTCCCTCCCACTGCACAGTCATAGGGGCAGAAAAGAAGGTCTCTGATGTGGATCTGGTTTGAAGCTGCACTGGGTGGGCCACAGCCTTGCTTGTTCTTGCACATCTAAACCCCTTCGCAGTCTCCGCAAGCTAGATAGAGGAAACACCACCTTCCTTCTCCCATCTGGTCTGCTCCTTGCTCATGGGAGGGCTAGAACCAACCCCAAGCTTTGATGCCCCCAGACCTTAGCACAGGGTCCTCTCTCCATGATCCAGGGACAGAGCAAGAAGAGCAAGACAGTGTGCAGGCTCAGAGCCTTTGGCTTGGAGCAAAGGATATCAGCTCCCAGAAGAGAATGAGGCAGGCCATATTCTCATGCTCCTGGCTCGCTCGGATGAGCTGGGTTGGGGATGTCACCTAGCATTCGTTTGGCACAGATGGTAGCATTTTCTTTGCCAAGAAAAGTGGCTCCTTACTCAAAACGAGCCCTTCCAGGCCTTGTATGTGTGATGACAGCTGCTCTGGATGGTGGCTTCATGATTGAAGGAGGGGAATCTCCTTGTGTACCTTTAATTTGATTTTCTTACCAAGAAGATAAAATCTATTTTTTCTTTGCCAAACTGAAAAATATTAACACAATCAGATTTGGTTGGGGAGGTTGAGATTTAAATTTGGATACTGTAAAAAGAAGAGAGCTTATTGCAATTAATTTCACCAAAATCCATGTGATACTATCTTTGTTGACTAGGAAACCATCGGGGAAATCTGGAGGAGCTTAAAGGAGACCTGGGGAAGACCCTGCAGGAGTGAAATGGAAGGACCCAGAGGGGTGGGCTCACCCCAGGGGCTGGACCAGCCTTACAGGGAGCAGTTCTATTCATTTCTCTCTCAAATATTTATTCGTCACTAGACCCTGTTGGGCAGACCCGCTCATCAAGCACAACACAGTTACCCCTTAGGAAGTGAACATAAATCGATGTTGGTTCCTCTTATCAAGATCCGGCTGAGAACGAGATGAGCACAATGGGAAACTCTTTAAACTTCTGTCCCTTTCTCCTCAGCCCAAACTGCCCATTGTCGTAGAAGCAACATTCCATTCTCACCCACAGTTCAACCTCCAGAACATGGAAATGGCAGGGGCCAGCCAATCACAGGTTACAAACCCATGAGCTTGCAAGAGGACTTCCCCCGGCATCCTCAATCAATGTGCGTCTGTTCCAATTTCAAAACATGTAAAAAGGCAAAAAGGCAACTCTACCCTCCCAGAGATTTTTTTCTATCCCTCTTCACTGGGGAAAAAAAGGATGATGCTTGATCTGAATTCTTGCAGTGGCAACACAAGCCCCTTTCTCACCCATTCTTAGCTATTCTAAACATTTCACTTCTTGCTGAAACACTGCATCTTGTGCTGATGGCCAAATATCAGAAGACAAAGGTGCTGCCTTGATCCTGCTGCAGACTCCTTCCTTGGCTCGCCTGGTCCTGTCTGCCTTGTTCAGCTCTCCCTGGCACCATCTGCTCCTTACTCCTGTGGCTTTCCTTGCACTGGCTGGCAGGCCATGGCTGATATATCCTGGAGACAAAGGTCGTGAGTGCTATTAATGACAACTCCCGAGGGCAGCAGACGGACCACTGTGGGAGTTCCCCCTGCTCTTGGCCAACACCTTGTGTCAAGGGCTAAGAATAGACCACATCGGAAATGAGCAGGCAGGACCTAGGGACACCTGCCCCAGGCTGGCCCATCACATGCAGCACAGTGCGCAGGTCCCAGGAGGAGATGCTGCCCTTGTGAATCCCTAACACAAATCCTAGGACCCCAACTACTGCTAAAAATCATTCTCAAACCAATGAGGACAAAGAAATAATTTCCCTTTAGTATAGTGCCAATTGGTAACCCAGTGCACATCCCTCTATAAGCACATTTGGCCATCTGTCACGGCGGATACAGACAACCCATCATCTGTTAGATGAGCTCCCCTGGTCTGTTTGTCCATCTTCAACATAGCTCTGGGATCCTTGGGCTAGAGTGGGCCCGGGAGATTTGTTTTAGCTACAGACTTCCTAGGGGCTTTCCTTTAGACCCAGAAAGATCAGGAAATGTCACAGGCTGATTCACGGTCCCCACTGTGATCGTGGATAACTCACTTCACCTCTCGGTGCCTTGGTTTCTCCATCTGTAAAGTGGAGAGAAAGAAGGCCAACCTCTTTCTTCTCTCCTGCTCAGGGATGCTTGGAGGATTCGTCATTGTTGCCTATAGCAAAGCTGTCATATGAGAAAAAGTGGTGACCTCATTTCTTGGGAAATGGAACCACAGGAGGAGAGAGTGTTTTCCAGGGGCAGTGGCACCTGGAAGCCACAGGATGAACAGGGAGCACAGCGGGACAGGGAGGAGTCTCACATACCTGTAGTTCTTAGAGACTTCATAGCACTGTGAACCCAGGTCAGTGGTACCCTGGTCAGGTGACCCTTGGTCACCTATCTTGAGCTGGCCACTTGTAATTCTAACACCAAATCTCCTGATGTTAATTCTTCCTAAGGTATCAGAGAATATATGGAAGGATGCATTTGAACACTGATATTCATTGCGCTTTGGGCAGACAAGAGGAGTGAATGGAGAGTATTTAGAGACTGTTTTTAAGGTGGTTGCAAGCTCTTCAGGAAATCTCTCTCACCTTTGTTCTTCCTTACAATCTTTTTCAATCTTGATGCTCACCTCATCAAATGGACTCACCTCTTTCCCTCTCTGCAGAGTACAGAAAAAGAAAAACACCGAATCTTTTTCTTTTTAAACAATTGTTCCATCTGCCAAAATGTGGGTCCCAATGGTGGGTTTTCTTCCCTCCCTTGTGTGCTTTGAGCGGAACCTGCAGGCAAGGATTCAGAGACAAACAGGGCTGGAGAATAGCACTAATTTTTTTTTCTAAAACAAGGTATTTTTTTTCTTATAATTCGAATTGGAAATGTCACATTGAATTTCTTTTTCTTTCCTTTTTTTTTTCTTTTGACTATGGTTTGACTGTTATCAATTCAAATACCAAGATACACTCTGAGCAAGAACACAGACCTGTCCTGAGAGCCTCTGCTTTTCTTAGGACCTAACCTGGAGTGAGGGCAGGTGGGAGCCCAGGAGGCACTGGGGTTCCAGGGGGGCCAGCCGTGAGGCTGATTTTCTATCAGCTCCGAGAACCTTCTTGGAAAGAAAAATTCCAGAAGCTTCAACTGTTCTGCATCAGTCAACCTGGCTCTGGCCTTTTCCTTGGAGTTCAGGTGTATTTTGATATAGAAATTCTCACCAAGAAAAAAATGCCCCTCCTGGAACTGTCCCTAAATGAGATGGAGCTCGCATGAGCAGGTCTCGGTGGCTGCTGCCAACGCCTCCTGCTCATTCCTAGCGGAGCCCTGACCAGAACTCCTTTCCCTCCTGCTCTGACCCTGCTCTCTGAGGTTAATATTATTGTTTTGACAGCACAAGGGACGAGATCATAGTCTGGAATTCACGAATGACTTGTGCTTGACCGTGCATCTGACTGTTCTGTGGATAGGTCAAGTCCTGCTGGGATGGTTTATTTCCACAAGGTATTTCTGATAGTAACAAAAGGAGAGAATACATGAGACCTCATACCTGATTCTCCGTTCTCATCAGCACCCGCTTTTGACTGGGATGGATGGTGAATGAACTGTCCCAAATTTGAGAACAAGAACTTTGAAGATGGACACATGGAGCCACGGGGAACAACAGGACTCAGTAGATGGGTAGGAAGAATGGTGACGAAGAGGAAGGCTTCCAGAAGTATGCGGGAGGAGAACATTAGCGGCCATCTAGGCATTCCTTCCTATACTCTCTGGGGCAGAAATAGAAAAACGTATTCTTTTCAAACAGAGGAAATTGATTTTACGGAGTGACGTGCTTAAGCATTTTTTTTAAACAAAAGGCTCAGAG
This sequence comes from Homo sapiens, assembly GCF_000001405.40. NCBI lineage: Eukaryota > Metazoa > Chordata > Mammalia > Primates > Hominidae > Homo > Homo sapiens. Next base: position 10,889,471 of record NC_000008.11, on the reverse strand, counting down.
AAAATATCTAAAGAAAGGAGAGGCACATTCTCAAGAACAGATCATGTTATTGGAAGTAAAAAATCCAGGACTATCCTTCTACAGACCTAAGTCAAGTCACTCTTAGGGCCAATTTCTCTTTCTGTAAAATGGGAAGAATATGGTTGACCTACCTCACAGGGGTGTTGTGAGGATTAAGTAATCATGGCTGGTAAAGCGCTTTGAAGATAAAAGTATTATGGTGATCAGGCTTGCTTCCTGTTTAAAAATCTAAACACCAATTGAGCATCTACTGTGTGCAAGGTGCAGTGGAGGAAGGGAATATGATCCAGTTCCTCCACTCTCTTTTGATTAATGGATATATTTTAAAAGATTCCAAGAGGACAGAATAACAGAGTTGTCTCAATGTGGGTCAAGAAAGGAGTTCTCTTTCTGCCCCAGAAAAGCTACTCTCCTTTCCTTCTCAAATATTTAGACAAGAAGGAAGGGCTTTAAATTCTTTGGCTTCCATCAGAGAATGCTCCTGTGGGAAGCAAACAAATACTGGTTGTTCTGCTTCCTTTGTGGGAAAATGAAGGCAAATAGCAGTGAAAGTTCCTTGTGACCAGCACATATGGTTCTATTATTTCAGTTATTCCTTCTAGGCTCAGCTTCAGTTTTGCCATAGCCTTTTTCCTCTGTCTTCAGACCCAGAGAACAATTCACTTATGCTGTCCTGGAATAGCTGGGGATTTGGGGTTGATTGGTTTCCTTGGAGAGTCTGGTATACTGTTGTTTGCTGGAAAGTCTTGGCTTCCAAAGACAAGGGTCTTTACTCGAAAACAAATCAAAACATGCGACTGCCATTTTTTTTTTTATTTTTTTGGTGGGAGGAGTTTTCAATTTCTTAGCTGCCTCACATAAAGCAAAGCCTTTTAAAATGTCTCATTCATTTTTCCATGTGCAAAAAGTTCTTCCCTTCCCAAACATACTGAGTGAACCAAGTCTGGATTCTAAACTGTAGCACACGTCAAAGGATTCAGATGATGTGTACAGTGCCGTGCTGGAGGTTCACAAATTTCTACAAAGAGCCAAACTACCTACTGCACTAAGCAGGTTGGAATTCCAGCCCCAAATCGAAGCTTTCTGGAAATGCTCCCAGAGCCTTTTAGCTTTAGGAATGCCCTTTCAGTATTCCTAGGGCAGTCCCCCTGAATCCTCAGAAATCTTTCTGCCACAGAAGAACATCCTCAGAAGCCAGTGGGGGCTTCCTCTGTGTATTAGAACCAGAGAGAAGCCACTTGTTATTTTGAAAATCATTGTATGATGCCAGCCTTTAAGGAAAGAAGAGAGTTATTTTCTTTTCCTTTCAGAGGGAAGAAAGGACTGAGAGAAAGGGAAGGTGATTTGATTTGCTGTTTGGTTGCTAGAAGAGACGTGAGACTCAGAGGTCCATGGTGGCCTGTACCTTGGACATGGGACTGCGGAGGCCCGTGGTGAGTTTCCTTAGGCAGCTGAGGTAGTGCTGAGGTGCTACGCTCCTTTCTTTTCAACGAACCCTGGGCTCAAGGAAAGGGGGGCCTCAGTTTGGTGCTGCCAACTTGCCCAGATCATCCTCAGCGTCTCAGCCACGTCTCTGCCCCTCTCCAGCCTGTGTTCACGAGTGGCCCCCAACGTTGATTCCAAAAGGCCTGCCTTCTTCGAGGCCTATGCTTCCATGCACATTGCTTCAGGTCAGAGCTGTCTGTCCAAATGCAACCACTGCAGCCTTTTCACTTGCCTTGACACCACTGTTGCTGCATGCTTCCACCAAATATGCCCCCACCCCTGCAGGAGCTGTCATTTCACTCCCACTGAGAGGGCCTCCAGAATTGCCCTGGGCCTAGCCTGCCTAAAACCCAGGACAGGCTCTGCTTCTTCCTTTTTTTATATCCATGTGCCTTTAAAAGGCGTGGCCCTGGGTCCTAGTTGAGCCTTTACAGAAGTGGAGGGCTGGAGAGAACAGGTGATGTTACTTAGGCAGTTGGGACACTCACTGATAACCTGTGAAGCCAATGTGGGCCAGTAACTCAGAATGCTGTTTTCCCAGCGGCTGGGCTGTCTAGGGCATCCGCTCTTCAAAATAACAACAATCCCTGTGATGTGGTTGCTCACATCTCCCCCCTGCTAACCGCTAACCTCATGGCACCTGCTCATTATTGATGGCTTCGTTTGTGTTTGAAATTACATTGATTTTTTAAATGCCAGAGAGAGAGAGAGAGAGCTGAAAGCCACACGAACTCTGAGATGATCTGAGATTATGAAATTGCTGTGAGTTATGCAGAACAGAGGAGTGCATGACCATATAACTACATCCAAAGTTTATTGATCCATCGAGATACATAAATGTGCCGGTCTTGGGCATATTATTTGTATATATGCATATGTATCTTTTTCTTAAAGGGCTGAAACAGTTTGATGCAACAGAGTATTCTGATGTTTAGGGCTCTTGCCGGGCTTGAAATCGACCTAGTCTAGATGGCTTTTTCCTTTCTCCCAGGCACAGGGTCATAAAGAAACCCCTGAGCTGGTTTATGCCTTCATTTCCTCCGTAAGTGACAGAAAGCCAATAGCAGGGTTCTACGGGGTCTTGAGAGATTCTCTAGTTGCTACCAGTATTCTCAGCAGATTCACAGAACAACCTGGGATCCCCAGGAAGCAGCTTTCTAAACAACTCCCCAGAAGTTCTGGAATTTGAATCACACTGAGTACATCTGATCCATTAGCGCAGCAGTCCCCCCGTAGGGAAAGAGAGGGGAATGTGCTGTGGACAAGTAAGCCTGGACGTTACCGCTCTGAGACCGGCCAGTGGTAGATGATCTTTGGCTGCCAGGATCTCTGGCCAGTGACAACCAAACCTGCTCTGTCCAGCTCCCCTGCACCACCAATCTCTGCAGGCGAGTTGGAGGCTGGCCCCTTGAAGCCATGAGGACTTGGGGAAAGAGTCTCCTCTGCCTAAATATGAAGTCCTTCTGGCATCTCTAGTAGACAGGGGACACTGCAGGGAGTCCTGCTTTGCGGGAGGCAGAACGCATTTTTCGGCAGCTCTGGGTACCTCCCCACAGGAGCGGCAGCGTTGACAACTCTGGAGTCCTCCAGACAGACTTCAGCAGAAACCCAGGTGCCCACAGCGTGCAAAGCCACCCAGAGCCCCTTCTGCCCTCGGACAGAATTGGCATGACCTGGAGCGACACGATACTTGGTTATGTGGGAAAAGAGCGTTTCAGGTGAGCTGGAGGAAGCAGGTGCTCATGCAGCGGGGCACGCTGAACCCTAAGTTTCTTTCTGGAGCAGAGTGTGGTTCTAAGCCTCTTCTTCTGGCTGGAAGAGCAAGGGAGGCCACCTGCAGTGTTGGGATCCATGGTCTCTGGATGTTTCCGATCCAGGCAGGGGCTTCGTAAGAGTCCACCTGGAAGACCTGGTATCAGGTGTGAGGCAATCACAGGGTCTGTCCAAGCCTGAAGAAACCCTTTCAAGCCCAGATCCCCAGAGGTAGCTTTGGATCCCCTCCTCTAAACTGTCACACATGCACAGCCTGTGTTTCCTGACACTCAGGGTGTGGCGTGCGGCCAGTGGCTCCAGACGGTCATGCCAGCACCATCCGTCCCATCTCCTCCCCTCCATCTCTTCTCCCTTCCCCAGGCATGGTAGCCCCAGTAGTGAGGGCAGCAAATTGACTCTGCTTTCCCTACGATGGCCAAGTATATTCCAGCTTCCACAACCCCTTATCTCCAGCCCTGATCCCCGTTGTACACAGTTTTCATTATCTTTTTCCTTACATGGACTCATTTGTGACAAGACATGTTTTTAAGAAAAATTTTTGTCTTGTTTTTCTGGTGTAACAGAAAATTGGCTTTTTGGGGTAGGAAGAAAGAATTAGGAAAAAGACATGGGAAGAGGACAGTGCCATGCTGGAAGGGTTGATGATGCCACCCTGCCTTTGGCGTGGTGGTTTTCTTTTACTTTAAAAAAAAATACACATCTGTTGTAGAAAAAAAGTTGGGGGCTTGGGGAGTAGGGAAAGAAGGCAAGAAGGAAGCGAGGAAAGAGAGAGAGAAGGGGAAGAAAGAAAGGAGCCCCCTTGGGTGTCACTGTCATTTCCTGATGTCTGGGGCTGCCACGGTGGTTTGTTGTTTAAAGGAAATCCATTTTTCTCCCTGCAGCTGGGCTGAGCTTTCCAGCACTTTCCGGCTCTGTGTGTGCCTGAGAACGGGCCATGAGGTCCTGGCTCTGGCCTCACTGACTTCACCCCGCAGGGTCATTTTGGGCTTCTCTTGCGCCTGGTCACGGGCTCTCTCAACCCCTCCACCTGCCGCAGGGAGGCAGTCAGCAGAGGCTGGGAGACTGGAATCCAATCTCTCTTCTCATAACGACGGTGATTTTCATGGGCATTATTTTTGGGATTTGCTTAGCTTTTCTTGGATACTTTTCTCCCGAGAAGCTTTTCCATGTTCACTCCGTAAGGCTGAAGATGCTGCTAACTGATGCTCTCTAAAGCAAAACTAGTTGAACTTCTCAGGTAATTCAAAGCCTTGAGTACATACAATTTGTAATTTTCCCTAAAGGGCTAGCAAAATAGTCTCACTGCTCCTGTCCACCCTGAGCATTGGCTGTCTGACAAACATGTCTGTGTATGTATTTGCGGGTTTTCAGGAAGCAGAGTCATAAACATCATTACTTTTGAGATTCCAAATATTTCCCCCCACCACCATGCCGAAACTGTGCTTGAGCAAGCATCCATCTATACAAGGAAAGGTTGAGAACGTGGCATCTCCAAGCTAATGGCGGGTGCCCCTGTTCCTCTTCCACTTTCACTAGGACAGGAAGTTTGCTCACTGTGTGAAGTTTTAGTCACCATATGAAACTCACCTTTTCCAGCTGGGATTCCTTCCTTCTTCCCTTTGCCTCCATGTATCTAATCCTCACGGTTAGTTCTTACATCCTGAGAAGAGCCGAGTGAGTAGAATACAGCTTCCAAAGCTCATACCATGTTTTCCTTTACTCTGGAGTTTGCTGGTGTTAAAAATCATCTGTAGTGAACTATAGGCTAAGGAGAAAGCCTGTGAGCTGGACCTTCCTAGATGCAGGTTCATGACCACCTCCTGTTAACCAAAGTCTCGACCTAAAAGAATAGAAATGACTTGATTTCTAGCCCCCATCTCTCTGGGGAAGATCTCTGTGGAAGTGACTTAGCCAAAGTTTTGGGGGAGGGCTAGAAAGTACCTTGCCCTTGATCACCCTCAAACTACACAGGTATTGCTTATTGACACCCTGTGTGACAGGTCAGGGAGAGCCCTTATGCGTGTGATTGATGACACGCTATGTAATTAATGCACCCTTTGGATGGGGGAAGAAGTCCTTATTCTTAATTAATTGAACTGAGCACCTCATATGTGCAAAACATCGTCTTTGCCCATAGATAAAGCTGAGAGGGGAGGAAAGTACTGAATGAAAATTCCCAAGGTGTAAAGGCTAAGAGCAAAATCTTCACTTCCCACTCCTAGCAGCTCAGAATGCACATTGCCATTTCGACTTCACCTAGTACAGTTGCTGGACTGGTTCTTGGAGCACTAAGAACCTTAGATCAATGGAAAGGCAGAGGCATGGAAGCCAGCAAAATGGGCAGAGACCACTGTCCTAGAACCACAGGAAAAGACTCCCAGACACTCCCGTCTGTTATTGTAGGTGTGTGGTGGAAAATAGTCTAAGAGGAGATCCAGGGAAAGGGAGATGGTGGTGAGGTGGCTTTTCTGTTCCCATGAAGGGGCTAGGGAAGCCTCCTTGCAAATGGAGAACTCTTCTGGCAGAAGTCTTTTGTTTGGCCCTGTTTTCCACACAGCAAAAGTAGACTTGGGTAAATAATTCAGATTGTTGGAAGGTGATAGGAATCATTTATTTTCCTTATACTGAACTTGGGAGCATCACTTTTGGTATAGACAAGCATCAGAATTTGAAAACCTATTTTAGCTAAAACCTCCAGCTCAAGGAAGTAAGTATATCACAGAGGCTATTGGGTGGGACCCCACCCCACCCAATAAGCAGCCTCTTGTCATTGAGAGAAGCATTGGTCCAGGTTTGGGAAGAAAGGTCCCAGCACAGGGAGCCATTTTGATCCTGGCCCCAGGTCTCCCTATCTTGTCACCATCAGCTTGGACAGTGGAAAGTAAGTCTTGGGAGCCTGAAGTTCACACCAGCATGGCCAGTTGACCTCCCTTGTACAGCCCAGACCTAAAGTCAGGAAGGACAATGGCTGGAGAGAACGCTGTGCCCCTGTATCCCCCACACCATGTTCAGATCTTCCTGCCACAGATACAGATTCCCCATTCCCACGTGGGACGTGGCTCCCTGCCTGGAAGGAGAAACCTAGGCAGGAGTATTTCAAGGCCGGCAAGTATGCTAATAAAAATTAAAATGCCATTTAATATCCACTCTGCAGTCCTTCACTGCCTCCTCTCCTTTTCTGGTTCGTCAGTGGCACATTTAACTCTTGGTGCTCCAGATGGCCAATGACTTCCATTTTCTTGGCCAGACTATGAGGATGGAGTAATGTTGACTCAAAGTCAACATCCATGGTTCTCAGCTATGTGGACAGATGTGGACATCTGTCTGTCCTCATTAATCTAGACCTGGTGCTATTTGTGGCAAACTGTGCCTATGGATGTAATTTCCTTCATTTTCTTTCTTTCTTTTTTTTTTTTTTCGTAATGCATTGCAACTGAGTAATTATGCTAGAAAGACAGATTTCCATGTAGGACTTTCCTTAGCACACGACTTTTGTCCTTCTTTTTTTTTTTTTTTTTTTTTTTTTTTTTTTTACTGTTTTAGGAGAGCTGGGTTTTCAGTGTCTGAGACCCCTTATTTTTAAAAGAAAAAAAAAAGAAACTGTTTTTTCTTTTCTATTAGCCAAAAAGAAAATCGCATTAAAAAGAACAATGTCATGCTCTTTCTTCCCTCTCTCCCTGCTGAGTTGGAAGGGACAGATGCACATGGGCTGGGAGCTTTTGAATCAATTGCTCAAAAGACTTTTCTGTTCCCCCACCGTGGCGAGGTCAGGGCAGTGACAACAAACAATTTAACTTCTCGAACCTTGTGGTGCCTTTTCTCGTGGTGCTTCTCTGTTGTGTAACTCCACTCAAGGCGACCACTTGCAGCAAACAGCAACGCCAGCAAATGGTATTCTGTGCCAGTGCAGTAACAGACTTTAATGTATAAATATATACTTAGATATAGATATATCACCATAGTTATATAACTATATAATTGAGGTTCTGATGCAGCTTTGGTGGGAGTTGATCATTCCTCTACAAAAATATATACTACTCAACTGGAACTAATGGCTCTCTTGAGGGTACTGACATTTGGGAAAGGCACAACAGATGAGATGGGTTACTCTCCTGTGACAAGTTTTCTTCTTCCTTCTTGTGAAAGTTGCTGTCTCCGTAACACAGAATATTTGATAAGGGAGCAAAGTGCAGCTTCTTTTGAACTTCCTTTGGTGCTGATATATATTTCTTTTAATTCTTTGTTTGTTTTGCTTCCCCATTAGTGGCCAATAAGCTGCTTTCCCCAAAATCTTGACTCACCTATCAAAGGTGGCAGGGGACAGTTTGGGAATAAGAGGCTGGAAGTTGGGCATCCCTCACTTCGTGTCCTGACTCAGTTTCCCCTGTGACCTGCATACGTCCCACACATGGGTTCTCCATCTACAATGAGTATCATAATATTTACCTCATGGGGAAGAGTAACTTAAAAGGATTAACTGATGATACTGAATCACTAGATCATTATTAATTTGGAGACAGCAACTTGACATGTTAAGATTTTGTTTATATGTTGCTAAGACTTAAATCTTGGGGTTTTGTTTTGTTCGCCTCTTGTTTCTCCATCTCTGCTATGTTTTCTGTCCTGCCTTTGGCAATACCTTAAATATTCTGTAACTGATGGAGATTCACCTAGGGCGTTGGGTAGTGCTAATTTCTCCCAAGGGAACAACATCACTAATACTGTATAAGGTGCTAGAATCAAACCTCATTTTATATACTTTGGTTCTTAGAGAAAAACAAAACATGCAGAATTATTTCTGTGAAGCCTTACTATAGATTGCTATAGCCAATTGTTTATCCAAAAAGTGAGACAGAGAGAATAGAAAATGAAGATAAGATGCAGAGATTCTGTATAAAGTGTAACAAAAAGACCTTTGCTATTTCTTATATTAAGGTAAACTATCATATATATATATTTATATACATATATATATATATGTTTGAGGCAGATAGAATGGAAAAACGTACAGTGTGGTCATCTTTATTTTGTCAGTTAATTCACAACTTTTAGTATGTGTGCAAGAGAGGTTTAGAGTGGGGATGGGATAAGGGATGCCCAGTGTGATATGGGAAATCATTCATCTTTCTGTTCTGTTCCACATGTTAGTAGAAGGAGTAGGCTGAATGAGAGGAAAGGGGAATAAATCAAGACATAGATGTGCTTTTTAAATGTTCTGAGCATTGATGTTATGCTTTTGTGTTGTTTCTTCTTTATTCCAAGGTTTCTCTACAGTGCTGTAAAAATGTCCCCTGCCTAGGGCGCTAACCAATAACGTTTACCTCAAGAAAGCTTAAAAAAAAAAGAGGCAGTTTTTTTCCCATCTCTTAAAAAATAGTGTCCCTCTAACCAAAAGGTGAGGCATTTCCGCAGAAGTTCAGCAAGAGAAGAGAACCATTTCTGAGGCTTTCCTTCATGTCCCCATCCTTTTCTACCGCACCCCACCCCCTTTAGTTACTAATGAAAGAATCCAAGAGATTAGTTTTGACCAGAAGTGGGTTAGGATGTGATTAAAGTGTATTATTGGTGAATATAAACTTTGCCAGAACTAGCGGTGTGGGGTCCTTTCAAAGGATGGCTGTGTACTTCAGATGTTTCATGCTAGCATGTGTGTGTGTGTGTGTGTGTGTGTGTGTGTGTGTGTACTGTATATATGTTCCAGTGTGTGAAATGTCTGGTGGACAGAGAACAAAATACCGCAAGCAGACATGAACAGGAAAAGATATATATCAAATGCTATTTTATCAGATGATGCACTTGTTCACCTTGATGAGAAGCCACTGTTTCACAACTATGCAATCTTCCAGTTTTTCTCCCCACCCGTTCACCTTAGATTTCCAAACTGTTTTCCATAATCCTCACAGATTTTTTCCTTTGTACAAGAAACACAATATCCAATCCCTGGTTCAAGGTGAGCATGCTACAGTGATTCTTTTCCTAAATTTAAGAGCTAAAGAAAAAAGAATTTTCCTTTTCTTTAATTGGAAATGATTCAGTGTAACCTCGTTTGGTTCTGTAAGTGAACTGATGTGTATTTTCTGTTTCAGTTACATGTTTACAACTTGTTTTCATCCTCTTCTTGGTTCAAAATATTTATTTTCTTTACAGATTCTACTTTTTATATATGTTTTGGGGATGTGTTAACTTAAGGCAAGAAGAAAAATTTGGCTTAAGTGGAAAAATGAGCATGTGACCTCTGGGGCCGGGGGTGGGGAGATCATGTGTACCTGCAGCTGAATTAGTACTTACATCATGGTCCTGAGTCAAGACCATGGCAGGGAATCTGGTGGACTCTGGGGAGGACCTGACCTGGGTGTTTTTCTTTCCTTATTTGTGGTCATCTCTATGGAGTAACCTATACCCAGAGGATGGACTAGTATTTTCTGCCTTAGCTTTAGGCCAACTGTGCCCTTCCTAGCTACTCCACCCAGTGCCAAATCCCATGTCCCTTCTGTTGCACCACGGACTCCTAATACCTCTCCTCCCCTGCCAGCCACTGATGGCAACTTGCCCAAGTGGGGTTAATGCATCTGCTTTCATTTCGAAAGTTAGATATAAAGGGAATCTTTGAGAGCCCAGTGTCAAAAGTGCTCAGGAAATTGGCCCTAGACTGTGTGCCATTTGGAAACATTTTGAAACATACTCATAGCTGCAGTGAGGGCAGCGGGTTCTAGCACATTTACAAACTACCATCAAGCCAGTTCGGCTGAGCAAGACTTTGAGAGGTTTTTAAAAAATAGTTGAGAGAAAGATGATAGGTCACATGGTTACACAAAGCACAAACTTGGCAGGGGAAGCCCTGTACGCAGAAGGCAGCTTTGCAACTTCTCTGGTTGTCTGCACAAGTCTGAGTTTTGCACATGGTTTACAAGTCTTGCACAAGGTGGCCGAGCCATCCAAGACAATTTTTAAAAGAGAAATCCAGACACTGCCTAACTGCTCCAGCACAACATGCTTCCACTCGGCGGCAGGTGGGAGCTTAGATGAAATTCCTTTGGAGTGAAGAAGGAAGTCGGTCCTTTGATGAAGTGCATTGTCTCTAGTGGCCTCATTCCTTGCCTTCCCCAATCCTGCACATTCTCTTAGCTACTCAGGGGATCTGAACAAAGAGGTATTCATTTACTTTTGTCTTGTTCCATAGATCACATCTGCTGAGAACCATCCTGGGAATTTCTCACCCATTCTTTGGTCTTCTTTCTTATATATAATAGGAATAAAGGGTTCCTCTTCTCCTTGAAGTGAGTAGTTTGGAGACTTTCAGAGCTGTCCTGGGACCTGGCCCTGCATAACCAGACCCCAAGAAGCTTCCCCAAAGCTGACTTGTCTTTAAGGCTCAGAAAGTCTACAGGGGATCTGTTCCAGGACACCATGAAATTTCCCAACTCCTGGCCCTCTCTAAAAATCAGCTGTACATTTGGAGGAGTCTCTTGCAGGTTGCCAAGGTCTGGACCTGTGACCCCAGTCCCCTCTAGCCTGCCCCATTGGCACTCAGGCCTCTGGGTCTTCACTCACCTTGGGCAGAATGAAGAGTGGCCAAAGGTTGAAAGTGGTGGAGATCCCTCACTCCTTGCTTGCCCAGGGCCAAATCAGAGTGTCCAATACCCATTTGGGGGCTGTGACAACCTGCCGTTCTGGGAAGGGTCATGCCCACCTCTGCAGTCTGTGGCATTGTTGAGTTTCTGCCCAAATCTAGACCCAGGAAACCTGCCTGTTCGGAAGCCTGACAATTCATTCCCAGTGTAAACAGAGCCTTTGCTGGAAAAATCTTCCCTATCAGAGTGGATGAGTCCGACCCTGTGCTATGTGGGCTCTTGCCATCCACTGGACCCTGAGATCCTGAGTGGCCCATGGATGTACAGTCCTGAATGCCAGGCCAGAGAGGTCAGGGGCGGCCAAGAGCCCTGCAGGGCTGGCTGCTTCTGAAGAAGGAATCTGGTCAGAGATGTTGTGCTTCCCCTGATGGGAGTAGGAGACAGTTCCTTAGAGGAAAGAAGCATTTAGAATTACTGGGGTCTCAGGAATGTCACGTGTCAGAACCAGTCCAGTGTGGTCTGAGCGGGTGACATCAGTGATGCAGAGCAGAGCCCTTCTGGGGAGGATGAGAGGACCCAGATACTGCTCACAGTAACCAAGGGCCACAGATGTGTCAGGCTCTGTGCCCAATGCCTCCATACAAATCATCTCCTCTAAATCCTGAGGATCACCTGGTGAGGTGAGAAATCCCCCCTTTTACAAATGGGGAAACTGAGGCTCAGGGAGTCCTCACATTTGCACAGGGTCCCATGGTCAGTCAGGGGTTCAGCTGGGGGCAGACCTCAGTATCTCGGTTCGGCTTCATCCCTAGTGATCCTGCTCCTCTTCCAGGTGGACTCCACCTCATCCCCCTCCTCATGGCTCACAAACACCAGGGAGCTCACAGTGCCTGGTGTGGAATGTTTGGGACTAAATCCAGGAAGCCTGAGCATTGTTGTTTGCATTCAGTTGGCCCAAGAAACTAGGATAAGAGTGGGGAAAATTCAGGGACGATTAATGAAATACAGCGTCACATGGAAAATGATGCCTGCTTTCCAGAGGTCACCCTGAGCCCTACCCCTTCAGTTATGTTCTGGAGGAGATCCGTGGAACTGGAGCCCTCCCAGGTGCACTTTGAGTTGTCTGTTTGGGTTGTCCTGAGAACTTTAGTGTCTCCTATCTGTCTTGTTTTGTTTTTGTTCTCCATGACCTTGAGAGATGACTTTCAGATAAATGGATTATTTTCCTAAGGATATAGGGGGGATGAGAAGTCGGAGTTAGAACAAATTAAGAAATTTAAGCTTCACGGGGTCAGTTCTGAGGCAGTTTTTGCAGACAGTGACTGTGACTCAGCAGCGAGAAGGAGCAGTCCCGGAAGGACCCTGTGCTGGGCTAGGGAGAAGGCAGGCTGAGGTTGGGGGTGACCATGCCAGGGCCTGGGAACTGGCATCTGCTCCTGTCCTCACTGCTCTTGGGCTGGCCGTCGCCTTCCATGAGCCCCAATGTCCCAATCTCTAAAATGCAGGCATAAACTTGGTAACCTCTGTGATTGATCCAAGCCAGAAAGGTATGAAAAAAGTGAGCCAGGCAAATACATTTGATAAAGTGTCTTGAATGATGAATAGATACCTTCAGATTTGGGAACAGAAACCACTCTAGGACCCTAAGTCAACAAATGCAAATACCAACATCAAACTAGCAGGCTGAAGACGGTGATTTTCACTTCCATGTGAACCGGTTAAAAACAATAGAAATGAGAGAAGAGGCCGGGTGCAGTGGCTCACGCCTGTAATCCCAGCACTTTGGGATGCCAAGGCGGGAGGATCACCTGAGGTCAGAAGTTTGAGACCAGCCTGGTCAACATGGTGAAACCCTGTCTCTACTAAAAATACAAAAATTATCCAGGTGTGGTTACACCCACCTGTAATCCCAGCTACTCGGGAAGCTGAGGCAGGAGAATCGCTTGAACCTGGGAGGTGGAGGTTGCAGTGAGCAGAGATCGCACCACTGCACTCCAGCCTGGGTGACAGAGCAAGACTCCATCTCAAAAACAAAAACAAAAGAGAGAAATGAGAGAAGAGCATAAGGGAGAGGGTGATGGGGAGAAGAGCAGAAATGGACAGGAAGAAAGAGATTAGAGAGATTGGTGCGAGGGGAATGATAAGACTGCCATGTTCTTCCTCCACCAGCAGTCTCGTGTTTTATGTTTGTTTACAACAATTACATCAGCTTAATGGCTACCGAGCACCCTCTGAGTGAGGACATGCACACACACACACACACACACACACACACACACACACACACACAAGTTATTCTAATCCTGCCAATGTCCAGTGGTTACCCATGGGGAAAATCCCTCAGTCCTTGAGCATAGCTGGGGCTTCTTCAGAGCACAAGGAACAGTGGAATCTCAGAGTTTGAAGGAGACTCAGACACCACCTAATTTTTGCTCATCCACGCAGTCACTGACAAAAGGCTATCATACTTATTGTCACAGGCCTCCAAGGACAGAAGCTCCTTGCCTCCATTCATGATTGAGTACCACGTAATTGGATAGTCTTCCCTTAGAAGTGGCCTACTGCTCCCTGTTGTGATCCAGACTGGTTTCTTTTGCTTTGGGCTTCCAAGGGGACAAAGCCCCTGCCTCTGGATGAATGATCTCTGGGACACTTGGAAGTGCCCTTGGCCTTGTCTTGCCCAGAAACTTCCGAAGGCAAGAGTAGAAATTGTACCTCACCTTGTCTTTGCATCCTGAAGTTCAATGCTTAAGACAGACAGCAATCCTCCCACCAACCTCACAGCCCATCCACGCTGGAAGCAGCTGCTCATCTTTATTGTGTCCTGTTATTATACAGACTCAGATGAACTGTTTCTCATTCCTTTCCATTCATCAGGTCCAATGTTTTATGTTCAAAATTCAAATGTAAGTCTTCACTTGAAATGGATCGAGGAAGGCAGGAGGAGGCCCCTGGGTATTGCCTCCAAGGGGAATATGTATTTATAGGGTCTTCAAAGCCCTCAGAGCACTGCTGATACCATCCCCTCTTCCCCAAACCAATCCTCTTTTTGCATTTCCCAAAAACCCAATTCAACCTGGATCATGGCCTCCATGCAGCAGGAGCTCTGCTCGACATTGGGAAGACAAAGAGGAAAGACCGTCTCTTAAGGCACTCACAGTCCAGCAGGGAGACAAAGCACAAACCTATGGGCACTACAATCCGGCTTCTGGGAGGACAGGGTGGTTCTGCCCGGCAGAGCTGACTTAATGCCTCCCAAAGTTCACACGGCTTCTCATCAAGGGCCTCTCTCATCAGTTCCCTCTCCCAACCTACCATCATCCCCAAATGAACCAGGCATTACACTAGGACCCCCTCAGTCTTCCCCCTAACCTGGGCTGCAACTGTTCCCAGCTATTTCTCAACAGAGCAAATCCTGCCAAAAGTAGGATCATGTCCAGAGTAAAAATAACCACTAAACAATCCAATGAGCTTGATTCAGTTCAGCATTTAGCCCAACAGATGCCTCTGAGCCCTGTATCTTCCACATTTTCTCTAGAGTCTCTAGAGCCTTCTAGCCACGTCCAACAAACCCAAAAGTTACTGCTTGGTTTTCTTGCCCAAGTCCCTTAGGTCTCTTTTGGCCGCCTGTACTGATCTGAGCTGACCCTTCTTTGGTTGGTGGTTTCATGGCTCTGTTCTCCAAGTCACTGCCTCAGCAAACCAATGTCCATGTCTGCTTTCTTCTTACCCCATCTTCCTTCCATCCAGGACAGAAATATGAGGACAAAGAGGTCTCTGCAGTAGCTATCACTGCCTGACAGAGCATTTTATAGTAAAATTGCATTCACAGTTAAGATCAAGGCTGATGGAAGCCTTCTTGGTGGCCTGTTGAGCTCTCCATTGGAAGAGTTGTTCTTGGAAATGAGAAGGAGAAAGGGACCATCTCAATGTCCCCATCTGGTAGATCTTGCTTCAACCACTATGAGTGCAGATGACCCAAGAGAGGAAAAGCTGGGCCAGATCCATTACAGCTAAATTGATTTCCAGCCAGCAGGTGCCAAGGGCGCTCAAAGTGGTCCCTGACACAGTGGCTGTAGAATTGAGTTCTAACTCTAGGGAAGATGAAGAAACCCTGACTCCCTTACTATCGATGTTGGGCTGCTGAGCTCACAAGGTGCTCCAACCCCACCTGGCAAGAATACATAGAACAACCCTATGGGATGGGTTACTCCTATTTAGATAAATTAAAATTACTTCTTTTTTTCCTGGGCACAAAAAGCAAAAACAAAGACTTTCTTAATTTCACCAGGGTTTGCAATTGAACACATCTGATTCCCTGACTTAAAGAAATATATATGTATATTTTTCATTTTTGAGCAGGTATTTTTTTAATGGGGCTTATTTTTGGATTTGAGATCACTGGGCTTCTTGCCTTGTGAATCAATGCTTGCTGCTGTATTGCAAATGCATACATTGGTGACCGCAGTATTAAGCCAAATTTAAAATCTTAGTCTCCTCCATCTGTAAGTGTTATGTATCTACCTCATTATGATTTTTTTGGTTTCCTGTGCTTTCGTGTTGTGTACAATGTCAGAGGTGAAATGTAGATAAAAATATATATATATATAAATATATATTTTTTGCTTTGCAATAAAGTTCAAAGCTATAACACAGACTATTCCTGAAATATCATAGCCTTTTATTGTGCTCTATCTCCTTAGTTGTGAATTGTCTCGGGAAACTTTTTGCCTATTCACGAGAGTCAATATTGTTGTGTTTGTCATTTGATGAATTATTCTAATTATTTTAACTGTACTTTTTTGACACATTGAATAAGACACTAGGATTCTTGAACAACTCTTGGTTTCAAAGGTGCTTCATTTCTGTGGACTCAAGTGATCAAATGGAAGGGAAGTATCTCTGCAGACTTGAATCTTTCAGAAAAAATTATGGATCTCAATGCCATTGGGCTTTGGGTTTAGAACAAAAGGTTCGTGCGTAGGGGGAAAAAGGAAACATTGGTTTGGCTTTGACTTCTTGACGCTTTTGGTATTTATTGATGTCCAACCTTATTTCTTTTTAAAATTTCAATTTCTTGGCATGAAATTCGGTATTCATTGACTCCCTGGCATTCTTGTGTGATGTGGCTGCTTTTGACTTTTTGACTCCGCCATTTTCCCTAGGTTGATTTTATGTGTTGTGCTATTTGGTGGTGAACTATCCTGTGCCCAGCCCCCACCTCTTCTCTAAACGTTCTGGAACTCTGTTTCATACCACATGTTAAGAGGAACGGTGATTTGGAAACTTTTGTAGTCTACAAGCCAGCGATGCCATAAAGACTCAAGGTTTTCACAAGAATCTTGACCAGTTACAGTACAGATTCAAGGGATTGTGAATAGAAGGTGGATTGTTTGCAATGGATTCCCTTTATTTATGTGCTTGAACAGAATTGCTATCCTTTAGCTAAGCACATGTAGGTTGCGAACCCTAAATAATTTGTATGGTCCAACCACCCTTGTTTTTCTGTGTCTTTGGCCAAAATCTAAGGCTTTTCTTAAATTCCTTCAATATATTTTAAATGGTATAAAGAAAAGTCTATAAGTTAGAATAAAAGATCCTTAAAAATGATACTTCAACAAAACCCTTTAAGTATTTTATTATTCCCCAGTTCTAGGGCGCTACGGAAAAGTGATCATTGAAAGGGGGAATTATTTCCACAAATGGTGACATTGCCCATAAAATACATGCAATGCTATAGAAAAATGAATATTTCATAATATGTTTGTTTTTCTTTTTTGATTATCATAAATAATTGCTGGTATGTATTAGTAATGGACATTTTAACTTGTATTTGGGGAGGTTTGCTTTCTTTTTTAATGATGCTGAGTAAGCATTTAAAACAACCTGGCTAGGTTAGACTTTGCCTGTTCTTGACTATTTCTCTCTTTTTATGATATAAAGGTCTGTCTACGAATTGAAATGCAGATAAAACATGTACTGAAGGTAGAACACACTGATGTTGATTTGAAGGGAAAAATATAATGATAAATATATATATTTATATATATACACACACATAAGTAGGTGAGTGGGAATATATGATATATTCACACACAGGCAAACACACACGTGGGCACAATGACAGTATGCTTCCAAAGTTGGTTTTCTGATTCTGAGGAATTTGCCACCTCACTGAGCTTCCCAAGATTCCAAAATTTCCTTTGAAATAATTACATGTTTAAGAAAGAAATGTTTTGCTTGTTTTCTGTAGGTACTAGAAAACACAATTCTTATGATTCCCTATTCTTTCATATCCATTGTGACATATCCATTGTGCACTCAGAGGAGCCTGTTTTTAGGGAGACTTTGGGAGGATCCTTTCTTGTATTACCACCTTTCACCCCACCCAATGCCTTGAGAAAATTAGCTGCAGAGCCACCTACACCTGCTCATCTTGACTCTTGTCTTTCTGTTCATCTCAGTTCCCCAGTTTTTCCACAGGGGAGGCCTTGTTTCCTGGAGACCCTTCTGAAGTTTGAATACTGGAGTGAACTCTCTTTCCATGCTGGTTCTGGGCCCTCTCCACACCTGGTGCCGCCCTCCCTGGAATCCCAGCCCCATTGCTCCCCAGGGCACAGATAACGGGAATTTCAGAGTTAGTAGAAGGAATTTTTTGCTGCATCTGTGATCGAGGCATTTTAGATATACATGTTGGTAGCCCTAAGCATGAGGTTTAATCTATTTCTTATAGAGGAAGGGTTCACAATGGACCAAACTCTAAGGGTAACCCAAGGAGATGGCATAACAGGACTTCTGACCCAGACCAGCCAGTTTTGTTCTCATAGTGACCTTCTGCTCACTCATGAGCAAAACTCCCTTAGTTGATAGGGAATCCCTGATATGTCAGAGCCAGTATGGGAATAGGGAAAAAGAATTGAACTTCAATTCACTGTAAAAAGCATTTTCTTCTTTCCCTTTCCTTTTCTGTTTGTAGACCATATTTCTGCAGAGTGGGCTGGTCCTTGGGGCATGACCATTGTTGGGTTATTGTGGGGAGCTTTCTGCACTGCTGGGAGGAAGCTGTAGTTTTGTTTGCTTATTTTAAATCTCATCATTACACCTCTTTGTTGCCTGGAAAGGGAGAAGATGCTGTCCCCAGGATGTAATCATTCTAGATAGAGATGCTTTCAGTTCTGTTTATGGTTGCCAGTTGCTATTGAACTCCCAAGGAAATCTCCAGTTTGGAAACCATTTCTGACTGCCTATTTGGGTTCTTGGTTTTCTGCTTCTGGGCAAGAACAGCTTCTATGCTTTAGGAGCTTTGAAATCACTGGACCAGAGGAAGCAGATGTATTACAATGGGATGTGGCAGATTATGCAAGAATTTCTTTTACCCTAAACTCAAGGTGTTGTACAGCTCTGGTAGAGGATTTTTGACATTTCGTATGTTCTCAGGCCACTGGGTCTTCCCAGTGACCTTCCCTGCAAGGACAATGTGACAGATAATGAATCTATTTTACCCCAGTCGAGTTTCCTTGCCAGAACAGTATTCTCACTTCAAATTCAATTAATCATTTGATTATCAAATATTTATTGAACACTTACTCTACCAAGCAAAGGGCTAGTAACTTAGGGATATAAAGATGAAATAAACCTCAAGGCATGTAATACAAGATATGAGAAATGTACATTAAAAACCATACTGCAATGGAAAATGGAACCTAAGGAGAAGTGCAAGATGCTTTGGACATCCAGAACAGGAAGAGATACTTCCAAGTGAAGGTAGAAGGGAAGGCTTTGAAACGATGGCATTTGAGTTGAATTTTGAGGGATTCATAGCCTGCATGCAAATGAGTGAATCTGGCTGGCCATGCCCATAGTCATGATGAATCCTTCATTCGCTTACCATATTGATTTCTTTCTGATGAGAAAGCAACAGAATTTTCAGCAGCACATATTCAAGCCATGTGATGTCTTCCACTGTCTGTTAACATTCACCCAACCTTATTGAAAGAATAGCCCTTCAGCTGAAGCTAGGTTAAACCTTGGTTTCGAAATGTGATTCGGGGAATGGCTCTTCCTTGTGGATAACCACACTCCTTCTTCAAAGACTTCATGGACACCCCAAGAGTTGGACTTGCAGTTGCTCAGATGTACCCATGTGCATGCCTTGGCTCAAAGCTAAGCCCCTACAGCTTTGGTGTATCTAAAAACCACTCCTCTAGTCCTCCACATGTGGTGGAAGACAGGAGGAATGAGGCTTCAAGTGGTGATTTGCATGTCTCCATCTGCAAGGCACATCAGAAGAGTGGAAGCTGTCAGTGGACCACTTTACATGTGATTTCTGGAACCACTGAGTTTTTGAGGCCAAAGGGAAGGAACTTGAATGAAAAATGGAATTTCTTAAAGCCCAAAGCTGCCCAAGACACAGAAGATTCCAGTCTCTGATTCTTAATAGGGTTTTAGTTCAACCCTGGTCAGGCAAGCTTCTGGATATTTGAGGCCAGTGCAATCTCCTAGAATTGGTTGAGCCATGCAGAACTTGGCTGGCCCCAGGCCCTCACTGTAGCAGCCAAGGAGCTGGTTACTGTGGTCACAGCATTTCCTAATGAAGAATTGAGTCTTCAGGATGTGGGGTAAGTCCCAGTTTCTCCTATAGTTTGTGTAGTGGGTCCAGGTGTTTCCAGATACCATGAGAAAAGGAAGCCAAGACAGTTTTTTTTTTCCTGATCCTTTCCTCAATGGTCCCCAGTTCTCTCAGCACTACACACAGATTCTTCAACAGTTTGTGCACCTTGTTTCATCTTCTGAGACTTTAAGAACCACAGAAGCAAAACCATACAGACATTGAGACGAGAGATGCAAAGGCACAGAGAATTGAGACAAGCGGGAGGGCCTCCCCACAGACAGATCTGCTCCTGAAGCATTTAAAGTGTGGCCTGGCCTTTGACCTCAGATTTTCAGCATGTCTAAGTGGAAATGCAGGGGATGGCAGTTCTGAACCTTAGAACTTATTAATAGGACAAGCAGGCTTGGGATCCCAACTGGAACTCCCCAACTTCCTTCAGTCTTGTTCCTTATAATTATTCTCTCTTTAACTTCCATAAAATAACTCTACTGTTGCTGATCCATGGCCTGGAATCTTTTCATAATGGGTGGGATGGTGACCACCTGCATCCCTGGAGCTGATAGACAAACCATGTCAGCCAAGCATACATTCAGAAAAGTTGGACTTCTATTTTACACAAATCATTTTTAACTCCCAGCTTCAAGATATTAAATTTTAATCATTCCCTTTACCACCCACGATCTGGGGCTCTACCAAGCCTGACCACCATGCACCACAGGCTGACGGTGACCCCAGACTCTCACTGGACCCCATATTCCCCACACCCATGATGTCTGCTCAAGGGTGTGTTGCCCAAACCATCATTCATCTCAGATTTAACTCATATTTACTGAGCACTTGCTTCATGCCAATTTGCTAAGTGCTTTTCTATATATTTTCTTAGTTTATTTTACTTATTCCTTGTAATGACCTTTTTCAACTAGAGAAATATAACACATTAGTTTAATTTCCATGTGAGAAAAATGTGACCTAGGCACTTGAATGATTTGCTCAACTTGATTCAAAAGAAATAAAACCACGATGTGGGATCAAGTGTCTTGGCTGAAAGTCTTCTGGATTTTCCACCACACCTCTGCCTACACACTCCCTTGCTTGACTGATGGGACATTCTACCTTTCTTTTCTTCCTGCTGCCTCACTGAACTTTGAGAGGCCACCTCCCTGTGTGGTACATTTTATCTCAGCCTGCAGGAGCCAAGGCCGGTTTGACCTGTGTCTAAACAACCCATCTTGAGATGGCCCAAGAGCAGGGGCCCTTGAGGCATCAGCCTGAGACTGACATATGGAAAAGACATCTTTTTTTCCTCTGTTTCCAAAGATTTTTGCTGAAAATAATACATAAAATAGATCCTGTGAGAACCACTTTTAAAGCCAATTGGTGTTCTTCTGATCTTTCCCAGGAAGATCTTTTGGCAGAATCTCTCTATGTTGTAGAGAAGAAATCAGGGCATTGGGTGGCATCATTATATTTTGAAGCCCAAACTGCTCAAAAGGAACTGAACAGCAAATCTCTGCCTCTAGCTAAAATTGCTGCCTCCAACACCACTGACCTGAAGTACTGGGCTCTAGCTTGGCTTCAGGAAGCTTGCAAAGACCTCGGTGTTGCCCCATGTCAGCTGTCAAAACTGGCAGCCACCTCCCTGAGGTTAACGGAAGAGATTTCTTCCCTTGAGAACTAAGGTCTCAGTGAGATTCCTGGACTCACGCGCAGTCAATTCATTCTGTCCATTAGTCTTCTAACTTACGCACTCATTATTCATCTAGCAAAGATCCCAGACGTGTGACTAGACCCTGTCCATAAGTGATTCACAGTCTGGTAGGGAGCTAACCTCTGTACATCCAGGGCTGAAAAGTAAGATGAAATTAATGAATGCAGATAAAGCTCTCTCAAGTTCAAAGGAAAGGAAGGCATCTTAGCACCACCAAGCTCAAAGAAAGAGGAGATGACATGGGCATTAAGGACTGTTGAGCCTTCCTCATGAATGGCACATCCTGCGTTAAGGACATTAGGGAAGGTTATAAGGAAACAATTAAGATATATGCCCCCTTCTTTGCCTAAAAGTAACTCCCAGTGTGCACCAATATATTGGCTCCTTTGATAGCCATCATTAGAGGATGCTTCCTGCAATCATCTTCCTTCTTAATCAGTCACCAGGCGTACTTCTCAAACAGGAAAAAATGGCTTAACCACAGCAAGAAGAGACAAGGGGAGGGGAGAGTAAGGAAAAGATTCCTCTACTTTTGAGACGGATTGCTTTAGAAAGAAAGCAAAACGTAATCATGTTATCCTTGGTCTGGAAACTGAAGAAAGGGCCCCCTTACTGCGTCACCCCAAGGAAAGAAGAAGGACCTGAAACTCAACATCCCTATGCCTTTCTAGCTGTCATTCCTAGCCATTGTTTCTACATGTCCACAGACCCCATGCCTCCATCCTGAGCCTTTTGGACTTATAGAGTTTAGGTTAAGCAATATACTATGAATAGGCACATGGGTTACAGAGAACAAGAGAAAAGGATATTCTCTTAGGAAGAGCCAAGAGAGAAATGGGACACAACAGCATGACACAGCGGTCAACACAGGCCTTGGATCAGTTGACTAACCTTGAAAGGTTCCCTGTGAAATAAGAAGCTCCAGGTTAATACCACATTGCCCCTTTAGGCCAATAATGAATTCTGATCAATTCCACTTAAGAATCGTTCATTGTTTCTTTGTCACTGCTCTAACCTCATGGCAAATGCTGAGATATGTCTTGAGGTGATTTATCACAAGGGTTTCTGAATCATGATATATCACATTCATTGCATCCTTCACTTACCAGGCACCCATTTCCAAAATATTACATATTTATCTCCATTTTTAACACTACAGATTAGGTCAATGGTGAGTGCCTTTTTTTAAAAGTCCCTACTAATTAGCGGTGATGAGAAATAGTG
This sequence comes from Homo sapiens, assembly GCF_000001405.40. Taxonomy (NCBI): domain Eukaryota; kingdom Metazoa; phylum Chordata; class Mammalia; order Primates; family Hominidae; genus Homo; species Homo sapiens. Next base: position 10,867,078 of record NC_000008.11, on the reverse strand, counting down.
TTGTTTATTTTTTAACCTTCAAGACGTAGCTATTGTTTCTTCCTCAATTTCCTAGTTCAGTTTGGCAAACTGGACCACTGAAAGTCCACTAGGCGTTTATCTAGTGATTTCTCTAAGCATGGCTGGGTGAGAGCAAGTTGAAAATGACGTCTGTCAGCAGAAATTCGAGAGTTAGGAAGCTATGCTGTTGCATCCCAGGACCACAGAGAACTGTCATCCAGCCCTACCTCCCCTCCAAGCAGGGTCACCCGTTTCTACATTCCATTGCAGCAGCTGGAGTCCTGGATTTGCCACTAACACACCCCACGTGCCCAAGCACAGTTTCATCTTCTGCAAAATGGTGACACTCCTTAAAGTTTCTTCCCATCCGAAAGTTCTGTTATCAATACCCACTCATCCAACAAATGGCAAGAAAATTTAGCTTCTCCTTAAATCCATGCTAATGTTTATGAGCATAAGAACCCAAGGAGATCCTCCTTACATAGAAGGCAAGCATCTAAATCAATTCAACTCTACTTTTATCTTGCATTAAAAGATGAAGCCAATACAAAAATTAGCTGGGTGTGGTGGTGCACGCCTGTAATCCCGGCTACTCAGGGGGCTGAGGCAGGAGAATCACTTGAACCCAGGAGGCAGAGGTTGGAGTGAGCTGAGATTGTGCCACTGCACTCCAGCCTGGGCGATAGAGCGAGACTCCATTTCAAAAAAAAAAAAATAAATAAAAAGATGAAGCCAACTGCTCACCCTAATAAATATACTCACAATATATATCTTGAAGGTTAAAAACAAAAACAAAAACCACATTGCTTCCTCTAATCCCCTTTTTGTTATTGATGTCAAGGAGTTGAAATGTACTGGGGTGCAGACCGGAGCATTAGCTTGTCAGGAGATGAGAATCAGCCATATGGGATATACAGAGATTATTGACCAAACAAAATAAAGCCAAGCAAAACACTGCAAATTCTCCTGTCCTTAGAACGCCACTTAGCAAACGACCGCCGCTCTAAGAAAATGCTTTGGGTATGGAAAAGTATCGAACTTTGAGGTTGTCCGGGGAAGGCTGTGATGCTTTTATCAGAGGTGAATAAGGTTTTCCAGCACAGTTCCTAAACGCCTGTGGGGCGCTTTCACATGCAGTATCTCATTTGATCTTCTCAACAACGCTGTGAGTAATAAAGTCACACCCAACATGCAAAAGAGAACACTAAAGTTCAGAGAGGTTAGCCCACCTGAGGTCACACTACTATAAAGGGGTTAGGGTCCAATTTCGAATCCCATGCTGCTGTCTGTGATGTCCAAAGCCCCTTCTTTTGAGAGTTGGAGGAGCAGCAGACCACCTACCTCCCCACCAAGGCCCTGGACTGACAATGCCTGTTCTCCACCATGCCTAGGAATCTCTTTCAGCCAGGGTGGCTCCCAACAAATGGTAAATAGAACCAGATGGTCCTAGGTACCAAGAGTAGGACATCATAGCCTTGTCCTGGGGCATTTTCGGGATTCTTTAAGCATATCTTTACCCTTAAAGCCACACTACACATCATCTCATTTCCTAATTTTATTCTGTCCACTTCCTTATGTAAATACATCTATGATCACAAATCCTCAAACATGGTTTCATCTACAAACTGCCAGGCCAGAGAAACACCATTTGGAAAGAGCTGATCTAGTAAAGCAGAGTTCTGGGGATTGATGTCAGAAGAACATCATGGTGTTTGCTAAGGCCATTCAGCCAAAGCAGCCTGCACCTCTTAAAAATCCTCCCTTTGAGGGAAGACCCATGGTCAGCGGCTCCTTAGTTGGCTTTGCAGAACCACTCCCTTAGGGGGGCTCAGAGCAATGAGCAGAGGGTACCACCTCTGAATCGCAGAGGACCAAGTGGTGGCTGTGTTTTGAGTCAGGGCTGGGTGAGGAGTACAGAGAAGGTTTCCAGGACAATTGCTTTACTATGATAGGTCATGGGTGGAAACTGAAGTCTGGGAAAGCTTAGTAAGAGATGGGATTCAGAAGGCAAGTAAGGTGGGATCTCCTCTGGCCCAAGAAATGAATAAGTGTGAGCACCTTACGCAAAAAGCAAAGGACAGGGGCACTGGTTCTGCCTGATTCTGTCACTCCTAAAACAAACCCCAATGTGCGTGCTGGAGGAGGCCATGTGCTGGACTGATCACAGCTGTCCACTTCTACCCATGAGAGTAGGAACCAGACTGGTGTGGACGCTGGTGGACACTGAGCCTGTAGGGTCAGGGGGATCATTTTTTCCTTATTGAGGAGTGTGGCAAAATGTTTAGAGGAAGTCCAAATTTCCTGCTATGGCCAGATTTTAACCAAATGATCGAGTGCTTCCTGAGCTCACACTAACATCTCACACTCTATTTCAAAGTAAGAAAAACTTCCTAATGTGGCAGAGGAATTTGCATTTCTTCCCTTTCTTGGGCCACGGGTGTGAGTAAAGGGTTCTCTTACCTGAATGCAGGTCACTAGTAGGAGGTAGGTGGATCAAACCACAGGCTACATCCCAGGGGAGACAAGAGAGAGTGCTGCCCACACCCTACACAGGGCTGGCCAGTCCCACTCCCCTACTGCCTCAACAGCAGCCTCTTTCTGTCTAAAACTGCCTCTCCAACTCACTTAACCTAGGAAGAGTTGCCCTGTGCAATTAGGAGGGACTTAGACTGGGGTAGAAGGGGCCAATCCAAATGGCTCAAAGAGCTGCTATCTTGGGTTTAGGCCCCAGGATAAGGCTAGAGAGGGGCCACATGAGGAAGGCCAAAGACCAACAGGGATGATGTGTGGCTTCCGTGGGCTTCTAGCTTGCGGTCCGTGCCAAAGGGCCATCATCCACCCTCGTCTTGGGCATGCAGGATTCCTGGAGGCATTCTGATGCATCCTGCCTTTCTCAACCTGTCCCAGACTAGTTCTTGCTACAAATTTCAGAAGAGGATTCTCCCTCAGTCTCCCTTGCCTCTCCTCCTGTCCTTTAGCATGAATGTGAAGACCATTGCCTGATTACTTCCTTTAGCCTCTCGCTGTCTGCCAGACACTTGCCCAAAGGTGAGGCTCTCGGTGAACAGCAACTCTTGTTCCCAGATGGCCTTTTGCGTTCTTGACTTTCCCTTTCTTCCCTTGCTGACCGTGAGACTCTGAGGCACAATGGCCTTGACAAGGGTCCCTCGTTTATCAGCTGAAGGCTCCTCCCCAGCCTGGCCTCCCAGCTCTCATTTTATTCCATTTTTCTTTCCTCGGGGTGACCCCATTATGTTTTCCTTTCATTCCATGGGGTGCTGCCTCTTCCTCTCGCAACAGCCTGGGATGGTGTGGGTGACTGGTGTTGAAGCACAAAGCAACATTGCCAAAGAGGATTATGGTAGGAAAAAATAATAATAATAAGTATAATGGGAAAAGCTCAGTGATGTGGGAAACTCCCTTCAGATCCTCCACTGGTCAGCCCCGGTTTTCCAGTCCTTTTCTTCTGAAATTTTAATACCATCTATTTGCTATGATTGTTTTTAATGGAAGAAGAACATCATGCTAATGAGTTGTGCAAAGGACATCATTCTTTTGTTACTATAATTTAAAGGGGTAAAGACTACAATGAACCGTGTTTATGTTCAGATATCCATTTGTTGTGCTGGGTTGATTTCAGACTGGTGCATTCTCACTTATCAGGGACCTCTGATTCTAGCAGAACAAAATCAGCTATTTACTCTAGTTACTGTAAGCAGACACATAACTTTTACTGTAATTTGAAAAACCTTGCACTGTAATGGTTTAAAAAAAAAAGCAAATCTTATTGAAACTGATTTTGTATTTTTGATTACATCTGAATTTTCACATTTTTGTATCTAACCGTGACCACGGTAGCGCTTCCATAGCTTGTGTTCAAGGTCTCGTTTTCTTTCCAGATTGAATTCCTAAGATTGTGTTGATGCCAGATGTTTAAGGGGCAGGACTGGGGCCTGGCTAGCAGAACCTGTCATGGGGGTTGTGTCTTTGGCCAGATCATGAGCTGGCAACAGGAAATCTTGCCTAGATGGAGCAAGCTGTTGTTGCGTTTCATTGCGTGAATTCCCACAGACAGTTCATATCTCCAACTAATTTAAGGCCAACAGTTTTTGGCCAAACCTTTGCCAAGGACTCTCTCAACTGAGCTGCCCCCCACCCCTGCATTACCCAGCTTCCTGGGTAAGGGAGGACATTTTTGAAAACAAAACTTGTGAAATTAATTTGTGCTTATGATTTTTTTCTTCTTGCTGGAAACATGCTGGGAAGCAGAGAGCATGATGTTATCGCTCTTTCTGCTTTTCCAAACCAATACACCTGTTGTACTCTTTTGTTTCTTAGTGAAGAAAATTCTAGACACAGACCTAAATATGAACTCTTTTCCTCCTGTATTTCAGATTAGCAATTCTCCCTATGTATTCCTAACTTGTTGAAGTGTTTTCCTTCTTAGCATTTCTTCTCACACTTTACTTTATTTTTTTTTACTGAACAACAACAACAAACCCACGAAGGAACAAATAATCTCTTTCTCTTTCTCTCTTTCTCTCTCTGATGTGTAATGTTGTGTTGTCCAGATTCTGTACAAAAATATGTATATGATGTATCTGATATTTGGCAGCCACTGGCTGTTACTTTAACCAATATAATTAACAAAATGCATAATGTTGGTGTTTGATTTTTTTTTTTACAAAACAAAAAAACAACCTAGTTAAGATGTTTGTGTATTTTTGCATGGTTAAAATGTACTTAGTGCATTGAGAAATGTCGTGGAGGCACTCAGTGAAAAGGCCGGTTTACTTTTTGATCTTAATGGTAATTGGTTGTTGACTAGACTAATCCCTATGATGTATGTCTTCTTTAAGTTAGCATATTTCTATTTATAACTTGTTTTAGTACTCAAGATTCAGCATAGCGTATCTATCTATCTCTATTGTATTTACTGTTCCTTAAAACCAGGTTGTGGAAGTTCACTTCGTCTGGCTCAAATGTCTCCATTGCCGATTTCTGTTGAAATGTGTTCCATTTAATTTGCTGTACAGTCCAGATCTGAAGCACCCCCAGGGCCCATGGACAAGGGCTGTCATCTCTCCTTCCGGAGGCCTATTCCTTTGAGCAGTACTGTGGTTTTTCCCTTGTCATGGAACATCTTTTTTTTTTTTTAACCTAGTTATATAAAGGAGGATAAAAGACAGGAAATTAAGCAGAAATATAAGAAGTATTTATATTTTATACAAATAGCGCATATAATATATTATAGAGTGATAGACAGGCCGACTTTAAATGTGAATTAAGCAAAAAGGCAATGAAAGATATTGAAGGACTCAGAGAGATCTTGGGTTTTCCTCCCAGGAGTGGCACCATTTCAATAGGAGAGCTGCAGAAAAATGGGCTGGCCTTCCTTGTGCCTCAGTTTCACTCTAGGTAAGATTAGGAAGGGCAGTGTTAGGTGAGAGAGGCATCTACATTTTCTTGGGCCTTCAGTGCATTTAAAGTAAAAGTGGATCTTCAACTGCTTAAGAGATTGGATCGCTGTATGTTTAGAGACAGTGCTCGCAGCATCCCCTCTCCCCCCTTGGACATCTGGACTTGCTCAGAGGAAATGCATGTCTTAAAAGGCGCAAACTATTCTGGTTCAAGATTACCCTGATTTTCTTCTTGCTGGGATCTCAAGTCATCTCTTCAGCCAGGTACTTCTGCACAGCTTTTGAAAGAAGGCAGATTTGGAAAGCAATATCTCTGGGAAATAGAGGTGAATCTCTGGCACAGGGTTCGTTTGTTCTCCCTAAAGGAGTCAGAATCATGGACTTCTTTTTTTCCCCTGGGCACACAGGACTTTGCCATTCTATATTTTTCCAACCCAGACTCAGAGAGACACATCTCCCCCACTCCCAATGCTAGGAACCAGCATACACAGAAGGTATTAGAAGCACCTAGACAGATTTTTCCAGAGTCTGTGTTTTGGCAGACATTTGCCTTTTGGCAGAATAGTGTACCTATCCACAGTGAGCCATTCCCCCCTCCGCAAATCTGGAGATACAGCCAGTCCTCTGAAGTCTTGGGCTTATTGGCTGTGCAGTGAAACGTTAATCCTGATGGCCAGCCAGGTGGAAACCAGGACTGTGGTGCCTCTGCCTCTCTGACTCTTCACAGTTAAGAGCTCAGAGTGCTTTACAAACATCTTGTTTCTCGTGGCCACTGCACACCTCCGTGATATGCCTGGCCATGGGCACTGATCATGTCACTGTCTGCTGCTGGTGGGCATCTTTCAAGATCTTTTGAAATTTTCATTAGGTTCTAATGCACTTTTTACTTTCCCTGAGTTGAGGTTGACCGCAAAAGGGCAGGATTCCACAAAGATGTGGCAGACACTACTGCTCTCCTGTTTGGCTCTTTCAGGGCAGAATCTAGATGGGGCATTGCGGACATGCTGACATTGGTCAGGAGTCCCAAGGAACTTGCTAGAAAATGTACTCACCATTCCCCAGGAACAAGGTTGGCCCTCTTTGGATGAAAGGCTGGCAGAGCCCTTCATGATCCTAGAATTCAGCCCCTACCTCATGTCTTTTCCAGACTGATATCAGTTCTCCAGGACCATAGACTACAAATGTCAGGAAGGTCTCAGAGCATGTGGAGTCCCATCTCCTCTCTGTACAGATGAGGAAACTGAAGCCCAGAGAGAGATGAAGTGATTTACCCAAAGAAACCCAGCTCAAAAGGAGCAGAGACCCCCTCAGACCCTGCTTCCTGATGCTCCTTTGTCCCCCTCCTTACTTATAACCAGCAGCTCAGAATCCTTTTAATTTGTGAAATTCAGATATCATTCCCAAACTCTCATGTTTGATAGAAGTCCCTAAGTTTCTTTTCCCAATGATTATGGTCAATGTGAACATCCCAACCCAGCCCCGTGTTAGCCAAGGGAAGAGGGTTTGGATTTAGGATGTGAAATGAGCTAATGTCTCATTAACCTATATTTTTGAGGGGTAAGGAAGAACAATGAAAATAAGGAACAGCAGAATCTAAACCTATAAACTGCCCTTACTAAATCTCCTGTGAGAACAGCTTTTTTCTAAAAAATCTCAGTGGTCCATCCATCCACCCAGTGACCCTACCTGTTGTTCAGCCATCCCAACTTTCCTGGACGTCTTCCATTCCAGAGGCATCTGATTTCTCCAGGAAGTCCCTTTTAGCAGAGCCCGTTTCAGGAAACCGTCAACTTTTTAATCCAAGCAGGTGTTCATAATGTTTGTTATGAATTCCTTTTATTGTACCTCTCTCTGCTTTTATCTCAATTGAGCCACCAGAAGCCAAAGCGTGTTTTCCTCATGCGAAATAGTAGACCAGGAACGTCTTGCGGTGTCATTCTTCTAAAAAATGGCTGTTGGCCTCCTGACCTCACCTTCCCCTTTATACGAGCCTGGAGGCACCTGGCTTAGCTGGTGCGTTTTCCTTTGGGAGGACTCTTTGAGGTTTGTCCCCCAAAGCTTACAAAGATATAGTCTAGAATGTGTTTTTATTTGAATTTTTGTGGTTTTATTTGAATTTTCAAAATAAACTCTGTAATTTGCTACTGAGGCCCTTGATTCTTTGTTATCCCTGAGAAGGGCCCAGTGAGTCCCTACTCCTTTCCCCAGCTTCCAGTTCCTAACAGTCTCTTTCTAATTAAATAGATCCTTTTTTTATTCCAATTAGATTATGGTGCTGTTTCTCAAAGAGACCAAGTCCCTGAGTTGAAGATCTTTAAAGGGCTTTATTCCTTTAAAAAGGTGCCATTCCAGCCCTTTCCAGCTCTCACCTCCCCACTCCCTTATAAGTGACACCGCCTTTCCCCACCAGGCCCTGACTCAGGCTCCAGAGAAGACTGACCATGACCCTGTGCCACGCCAGGGGCCCAGGCAGGACCTTTAGTGACCTTTCCTGGAGGTGGGTACTCTGTGAAGAGGTGAGCAGCTATAATAAGTGATTTGTCTTGCCAGAAGTTAGGGTGGGTTTGGGTTCTCCCTTTGAAACACGGGGGCTGAAGAGCACTCTCTGGTGTCTTTATGGGAGAAGAGAGCGTCCAGAGTTGGCCAACGCTGGGGGCAGTTATCTGCGCAGCCTGCCAGGTCTGCAAGAAAGGGGACTGCAGCCGTGACCCCTAAGTTAGGGCCATAGGTCCCAAAGCTAATTTGTTTGATATTAATAAAAATTATAATTATTATCTATTTTAAAATAGAGTGATAGGGTTGGAAACATGGTATTTCACGACTGCATTGTCCTAACAACTCTTTCTCACGTGGTTCTGGAATTCCTTCCCACCGTGTAGCTATTCTGGTAGTGCACGCATGTGCACCTGCTTTATGTCCTTGCAGTCCATATCAAACCTTCCTTTTTGTACGTTACTGTTTGTTTTCTAAACCTAGTCCATGTAATTCCTGTATTCGCCAATGTTCTTAAACATACCAACACAGGCACGGCCCATGGCTGCTGCCTGCAGACCAGCTCGTGGCTCAAAGCAACACACAGACCTGAGGCTGCTATCTTTACTGAGCTCTGTTCACACCCTAGAAGGGTGTCTGCAGCTCGGTGAAGCAATAAAGGGTGCTTGCCATTATTATTATGTTCCGAAGGCTAATAGGCAGGGTGTTTAAAAATAGCTGCCTGCCTTTCAATATGTAAGAGCAGAGTTGGAGAACATACATTGACGTAAGAATGCAAATCCAACCAAAATATCCGAATCCCTGCAGAAAGAGCACAGGGTTCCAGTAGTGATTCTGCAGTAACTCCCTGTGTGACTCTAGACCCTTAACCAGTGGCTCTGTCTGTAACGTGAGGGATTCCTCTAGATTACCTCTAAGGGGTCCTGTTTTGGGTTGTGGATAACTTAGAAAATATATTTAAACACATATCAAAGTCGAATTGTACGATAAAGTTCCACAGCCCTACGGACTGGTTTTGACAACGATCATTAAATCTTATGTTGTTCGTATCCTCACAGTTTGATTATCACATTCACTTTATTAATTTATTATTATAATTCTTAGATTCCTGGATAAAATGACACCCATTTTTCTTAGGATCAAAACAAGATGGCTTCCACCAGAGAAAGAAAGGCCAGGCACGGAACTGGTCCCCACGTGGCTGGCCATTACAACTGCTGCTTCTCCCTGCTCCCATCTCATCCCCACGAATGTCCCACTCATGGGTGGCCCTGAGTCATCGTAGAACAGTGTGTCCATGCCTCTGCTTCCTCAGGCCCCAGGCATCTCATGGAGAGTCCTTTCTAGACTGCCATCTCATGCCAGAGGGTGGAGGGATTTCCGCCTGGCTTACCACAGTTGTGTGTGGTTTGTTTGCTGGCATTCTTTAGCAGCAACTGCTTGAGAGCCAGTTCTTCAATTCTAGGCAGTCGATTCACCCAGCATCTTGCCAGAAGTTGGCTCAGAATAACAGGCAGCTCTCCATGCTCATCCTTCCCGTAGCATTTCAAGGTAACTGTCCATCTCCTTCACTCTAGAGCAAGAAGAAAGGAGAAGCCTCTTCTATCCATTCTGTTCTGTCTCCTGCACTTTGTCCTGTGAGTGGAGTCAAGTTAAAGGAGCTTCTTTCACTTCCCCAGAGACTCCACCAGGACCTCACATTCCCAAGGGCATTGTAGCTGCCATTCCATCTGTTCTAGGGAGAACATTCATGAACCCTGAAAGGCTGTCCTCTTCTCCAGCTGAGCATAGGTTTCGCTCGGGCGTACAGGCAGCAGACCTGGTTTTCCAGGACACGTGCCATTCAAGGCCATTGGGATGGGCTGAAAGGTTGATAGCAAAGGTCTTGATCTATCTTTTGCAGGAACCTTGGTGCTTCCATCTTCCACTTGCCAGTCGGGTGACCACAGAAAAGAGATTCTGGAGAGTAGAAACTTCGGTCAAGTTGCCCCAAGTCAGGGATGAGCCTTCTTTCCATGGAGCCTTCCAAAGGGCAAGCCGTCTGCTACTGTGTACTGTAAATTCAGAGCTTCAGGAGCTGAGGCCTCCTGTGCTTGGGGGAAAGGTAGCTGAGGAGAAAGGGACACCTTCTCACCTTTTGTTTACCTTTGATCTGGCTGAACTTAGCTGCCCTTAACTTCTAGTTTGCTTAAGTCCTTATTGCCTTAATAACCACCTAATAAGCAGTCAGAACCAGGAGAGAAGCCCCTCCCGTGGAATCCATTGCAAGCCTGTCCCCAGTCTCCCCACTGCTGCTATGCCTGAAAAGAGCCCCAGCCCCGTCTCCAAAGCCCAGGGTTCGCCTCTTGCTGAAAGAGCAACGTTCCCAGGCTGAGGACAAACCCAGGACTGCTCAGGCGGAGAGATCCCTGCCCCCACGTTCACCACTGACAACCCAACTCCATCCTCAGTCTCCGTGGCTTCAGATCTGGACTCCGCACCCTCCTCCACCTCCACCTCTCTTCCCAGAGACCCTCCCCACATCATGCTCAGTGCTGTTTCTGAAGACCATCTAGACTTTTGTGTTCTCTGGAACATTCTACTCACCTTCAGCTGCAGCACATTTCTTCAGCCTCTCCACCAAGCTCTTTAAAATGAAAGGCAGTTACTGTCTTCCCTTGGACAATAATGAATGTATCTACTGTATGTGCAGACCATGTCGAGAAGTGGCTGGGTTAAGAAAAAAGAGGGTTTTTGTAAAGCCTGTTTATTTTTTTAAGTCAGTTTTGAGCATTTCTATTTTACCACCCTTCACATGGTTTTGGGGAACCCAAATTGTATCAAGGTCTCATGCCAAAACAAGCCAAAAGTTGTTTTCTTTACCTTTTTCCTCCATGCACCATGATTTCAATGATTGTTTCAGTGTCATTTTAAATGTTTTCTTGTGACATGTACTGATGATAAAAGTCATCTTGACAAAAAAAAAAAAAAAAGATTTATACATGAATCAGAAAGTATTTATTTCAATTTTGTACCTTTCCATTTTAATACATTATAATGTATTGACTCAACGGAGATAATATAAACAGTTCATTTTAATAACACACGTGTGTGTGGCTTTTCCTTTATGCATGGTGGGGGAGGGGCAAATCATCGTGGAGTGGAAAATTCTGGCAGCTGAGGGGCATCCATTGTGAGCAGAGGGTGGCCTCTGGCTGCACCAAATGCTTTCTGCACCTGGAAGTTAGAATCAGCTGGCACTGAGAGAAGAGGTGTTAAAGGGAAATTGAGAAGGTAAGTGGGTGGTGACGTCTCCAGGCACCAGCTGCCTCTCCGACGGACACACACCTTCCACCAGGTAGGAAAAGCCATGCACAGAGCAGAGCTACCCACTCCCGGAGCCTAAATGCAGGCTGGCAATTGGAGGTTCAGAGAAGGGCCAGGTAGGGGAAACCCCAAAGAAGCTAAGACGAGAAGAAGGTGGAGAGAAAACTCAGTGCTGAAAATGAGGGTCTGGAGGTGGGGAGAGGCAGAAAAGTCCTGGGTTGTATTTTCTCAATGTAACATTTTTCCCCCTAATGCCTTTGCTAGAAATTCTGCAAATAAATCCTTGGGGCAAACTGGCTTCAGACCAAGCCCCATGGACATCCAGCAGAGGTTTCTTCTTGCCCCATTAGGAGTATTTCTCACTGCTCAATTAGGAGGAATACAGCATCGAATACAAGCATACTCATTCCAGACTCTCCCGGATCGTGCGTGGCAGGTGGGGATGGGGTGAGGCTGTGGCTGGTGCAGGGAAGAGCAGGGAGAGCCAGGAGGGAGGGAGGGCATGTCAAAAGCGACTGTATCCAGAGGGTTTGATTTAAACATTTTTCAAAACATATGTGGCAAACAGCGTGGTGAGTGTATCTCACGACGTTATTCTCCACTCTTCTCTGCATGCTTGGACCTGTTCCACTTTCAAAATGTGTCATTTTGGAAGGAAAGGGAGGAACAACTACTTGAAAGGAATACACGTCAGTATGAGCCCTTTCTCCTCAGCAGAAGGTTGCCCCAAAGTACCTCCTCTGAGGCGAGAGAAAGGAGAGAGGAGGAGAGACAGCTTTCATCAAATGGGGCACCCAGGACTCTAGGGGAGAGAAGGCACGTTCTCAACAAATGGCCCTTTGATCCATCTCCCTCAACGTCCCTGTTCTCTCCATTCCCTTTTCTCCTTCCCGATATTTTCAATTCCGAATCTTCTATACCCGCCTCCTGGGTACATCCCCTTCAGGGCAGGCACCCAGAGCTCAGGCTTGTCTTTGTCAGAAAAGGAATGCCATGGAGCATAGAAACACTGAGGGGCAAGTAGAGGGGCCTCTTTCGCTTCCTCCGTCACCCGCACCCCACCTTCAGTCTGTCCTGAGAACACGCGTGACTCCTGGGCAGGGGACTGTGACTAGATTATTTCAAGTCCTAATCCAAGATGTTAGAAAGGAATCAGTCACCAATTATACCAAATAAATGCCTCTTTGGGCCTAAGAAGGGGCCAGTTTGGGGACACGTCTACCAGGAAAGAAACAGAAAGCCCCCTCCCATCCACTCGTTTCCAAATCTCTTTTCCAAACCTCTTATTAAACTGATGAGGAATCTTCAGCTTGCAGAAGGTTCAGCTGTTTAGAGAGAATTTTGGTTCTGCGGAGAAGATATGGGAAGCTCCTACTGGTTAGTTTAAACTATTAATAGAATCCTTCCTAAATTGAATTCTCATCAAAGGCAATTAGAGAGGACTCTTTTGAATTCTGGCTCTTGGGGAATTTAGGTCTGGGATTTAAGATTCTGCCTCTGTGCCAGCATATAATTGTGCTCGTGAATCTGGACCCTGTCTTAGCCCGTCTGGGCTGCTGTCACAAAATACCATAGACTGGGGGGCTTATAAACAACAGAAACGTGTTTCTGACAGTTCCGGATGTGGGGAGGTCCAAGATAAAAGTGCTGCTGGATTCAGCCTCCTGTGAGGGCTTTCGAGTCACAGACGGTGCCCTCCAGCTGTGAAGAGGCTCTCTTGGGCCTTTTTCTAAGGGCACTAATCCCATTATAAGGAATCCACCCTCATGGATAATCACCTCCCAAAGGCCACACCTCCTAATCCCATCACCTTAGGGGCTGGGATTTCAATGCTTGAATTCTGAGGGTACATAAACCTTCAGATTATAGCCGACCCTCTTTTCTCTGTGGTAAATGGAGACACTTGGGCTTCCTTGATCCCTGGTAGTTGGGGTTGCTGGGGGACTATTGTGAGCAAACCCTGTCACTGAGTGAACTGCTGTCCAGTTAGCACTTGCTGGCGCGCGCACGCGAACACACACACACATCCACAGGGCTCCCCACTCACAGGTGGCCCACCCATCTGCCCCTGGGACTTTGGCCCCAGCCATCTCATCATGCACTATGGAGGCCCGTTTGGACACTCTTCTAAAGCCAAGGCAAATGGAAGTTGAGCTACCCCTTCCTTTGTGCCCTCTCTTCTTCCTCATCCTGCTTCCTGCTTCCTGCTGGCTCCCTCTCCTGCTTACTCTCTCCCAGGCGGCCTGATCTCCTCTGCACCCAGGTGGAAGCCCATTGATTTGAATGATGGTCCCTTCTCAGAACCTCATTGCCACAGGCAGGTTGCAATTGCCCCTGGGCGTCAGGGGTGTTTCACCTCATCATCCCCGCCCTAAACTCAGGGAGAGGGGCAAAGCATTCCATGTGGCCTGGGGCCTGCCTGACACCCCCTTGGCTGCTAGAACTCTTAAGATTAAGTCTCCTGTTGCTTCATTGTCTAGTGGCTGTCTTCATCCTCAAAAGATGTCTTCCGTCTGGTGCAGTGAGCTGGCATTTCTTTTTTTTTCTCAGAGTGGTGCTGGGGGCGCATGCACTCCTGTAAGTTCACACTCTTCTCCTAGCTTCCCAGACCCTCACTTTACATCCATCAAGGCCTTTGCCTACATTGCTTCAGGGAAAGACCCACCTTCCCTGCCCTCCCACACACAGGCACCATGATTGCAAAACTGTGAGGCAGGAATGGTTGTAGGAGAGAGGCAGGGAGGGCAAGGGAAGCCCCGGAGCCTTGGGCCACCATCACCTGGCTACAGGAGACACCTTGTCCTTCAGAGCTGCTGCTCAGATCCCCTCCACACCCCTCCACCAATGCTGGAGAGGGAGCACTGATCTAGCCCAATGTTAAGTTTCCAGAAGAGGCTGCAGCGTGCACGGGACACAGAAAGTGGGAGCTGGTCTCACAAATGAAGAAGGGAACAGGCTTCAGGGGCTCCTTCGACATGACGTCATACTTAGGAAAAATATACAGCACAAAGCAATATTTAAGGATTTTTATGTACTTTGAAAAAAACCCAACTCTACCTGAATTATACTCCCAGATGCAAACTCTCCCCATCCACCTCCTCCTGCACGGGAAATGTGGTCTCAGCATCTGGGGAGGAGCTTTCAAAACTGGCCTAGGAATATGGAAAATCCGATGGATCCTACCCTCTGCCTGGGAATAACACAGACACAGAAGCCAAGAGGAGGAAAGAGCACACTCGGAAAATGTTCTCTTTTCTGTTCGTTTTCTGGGAGTAGCTGGTCCTGTATAGGCCCCAATCAAGGGCCTAGAATCATAAAATACTGTTGGATAAGGTTAAGAAAACATATATGTTCCTTTGGGAAATCAGGCCCGATTACAGCCTAGACTCCCTTATTCTCCTACTTGGTGAGGGATGGTCCTGGATTTGCTGTTAATGTTTAGGTCTAATTATGGCTCCTCTCAGCGGAAAACATCCTCACTGTCAGCTGCGTTTTGGCTGGAGTGTGAATTTCCATGTGGGGCGAGCATTGCCCCTCCAAGGGTCACCTTCCCTGGAACCTCCGAGACCACCAATGTGGTCTTCCCTTCCGCGCGCTGTCCGTCCCCTCCCCGCGATCTGCTTCCCTTCCCCGCGCTGACCCTTCCCTTCCCCGCGCTCCCCTTCTCTTCCCCGTGCTGACCCTTCTCTTCCCTGCCCTCCCCTTCCCCTCCCTGCGCGGACCCTTCCCTTCCTCGCACTGACCCTTCCTTTCCCCGCCCTCTCCTTCCCTTCCCTCATGCTCCCCTTCCCTTCCCCGTGATCTCCTTCCCTTCCCCGCGCTCCCTTCCCTTCCCCGTGCTTCCTTTCCCTTCCCCGAGCTAACGCTTCCCTTCCCCGCGCTCCCTTTCCCTTCCCCTTCCCCGCGCTCCCCTTCCCTTCCTCGCGCTCCTGTCTTTTAACCCCACAAGCACGCGTGAGGTGAGCTGGATCTTCCCAAGTGCCCTCACTGAGCATCAGGCAAGAGTCACAGGTGACAAGTAACCACTAGACAAGGAAATACAAACAGCCGAGCCTCCAGGGACCTTCCCCCTGCCTGCCTTCTCCCGGCCTTCCCCCTGCCTGCCTTCTCCCGCGTGTTCTGAGCTATTTCCGCCCTGGGCCCAGTGGGTTGGCACAGCCGCCAGACACCGTGCCCAAATCCTCCATTTCTCAGCCTCTTCCCTCAATAGCTTGCCGGCTTTTCCAACTAGGCCAAGAGAGACGAATCCCACCAGGCCGTTTCCCTGCCCCTTTCTGTTGCCTCCCAGAACCCTAATTCTTCTTCCCCTCGTGACTGATGCCACAAATAGCCTCGCCTTTTAGGGGAGACCACAACTCCACAGGGGCAGCCATATACTTTGTTGTACCAAAATAATCAGTTATTCAAAGAGTTCCAGCTCTGGGATCAGAATGCCTGATTATTATTATAACAATTCCTGATTATTATTATTATTATTGGCTCTCACTATCTGTAAACTTGTTAATATCTCCATGCCTCAGTGTTCTCATCTTTAAATGGGGACAATAGTACCACCCCCCTCACAGGGATTTTGTGAAGAATAAATAAAATTACATATATATAAAACATGTCAAACAAAAACGGTTAAATAAAACTCCATAAGGTTAAATAACTGATAACTTAGCAATACCCACCCCTCCCCCCAACCCCGGGGCCAGCCCACCTGGGTTTCCTAATCTGCCTGGCACCTCTCCCTACCCACTGACTCCCGCCTCAGCCTTTACTCTGAAAACATCAGAGGAGAGTGCTCAGAATTATGCCAAAGGCAGTTCTTGTCCAAACAGAAAGCTCTCCCACGGCTTCTTGTTTCAAAGCTCAGCATTCATCCGGGCTTTGTTATATGGACAGGGGTCCTAGGCCCAGGGAGAAGGAAAGCTTAGGATGGAAACTATTTGGGATGTGGCCACGGTGCTCTGGGGGCTGACCCGGTTAAACACAGACTCATCATCACAACTGCCTGCTCCTTCCTTAACTTACAATCCACTTTCGTACGTTGTTCCCCGCCGCCCCCGCCCACCGCCTCCGCTCCATATTCTCTTTCTCTCCATGTTGCAGATACAGAAACGAAGCCTCACAGAGGCCGGGTTACCTCCTTCCCTGGGGAGTGGCAGAGTTGTGCCTGGCCTGCTGTGGGCCCCAGACTCAGGCTCTTCCGGCCACAGCCCCTGGCCAGCCTGCTGCCTCCCGCTCCCAAACTCAACACGCCCCCTCCTGGAAAGCAAAACAGGTACTCACTGACTGCAGTCGGCCCTACATGGAGAACTATATGGAGCTCTAGTTAACGGTGGATGGATGTGCCAGTCCTAGGAACAGCAAAGCAGGAGGAAGAGCTCCTGAGACAGAGAGGGCACTGAAGTGAGTGCTAATGGCAAGGCAGGCAGTGCAGCTTGCACAAAAGCTGGAAGGAAGTTCCCTGCTCAGAAGACCTACGGGGAGACATCAGAAAGGCAGGGTGGCTGAAATCATGAAAAAGCATGAGCCCTCGAAGGGAATGAGACTATAAGGAAAAGAGGAGAAGACCAAACAAGTTCAGGTGATAGCTAAGGCTACACATCTGCAGGAGAAATAATAGCAAAGGGAGGGAAAAGAAAATGCAGGGAATTACCGGGCATGGTGGCTCACGCCTGTAATCCCAGTACTCTGGGAAGCCGAGGCGGGCAGATCACCTGAAGTCAGGAGTTCGAGACCAGCCTGGCCAACATGGTGAAACCCCGTCTCTACTAAAAATACAACAATTAGCCGGGCATGGTGGTGTGCGCCTGTAATCCCAGCTACTCTGGAGGCTGAGACAGGAGAATCATTTGAACCCAAGAGGTGGAGGTTACAGTGAGCCAAGATCGCACCATGGCGCTCCAGCTTGGGTGACAGAGCGAGACTGTCTTAAAAAAAAAAAAAAAAAAAAAAGAAAGAAAGAAAAGAAAAATGCATGGAATGGCTGGGTGCAGTGGCTCACACCTGTAATTCCAGCACTTTAGAAGGCAGAGGCAGGAGGATTGCTTGAACCTAGGAATTCAAGATCAGCCAGGGCAATATAGTGAGACCATCTCCACAAAAAATAAATTTTTAAAAATTAGCCGGGCGTGGTGGTGCTAGCCTGTAGTCTCAGCTGCTCAGGAGGTTGAGGTGAGAGGATCACTTGAGCCCAGGAGTTCAAGCCTGCAGTAAGCTATGATCACACCACTGCAGTCCAGCCTGGGCAACCGAGTGAGATGCTGTCTTAAAAATTTTTTAAAAAATAAAAGAAAATGTAGGGCAAGCAGAATATGGCAATGAAAGGATTCAGGAAGGTCAGGCAGTGGCAGAGAATGAGTGCCATGAGGCTGGGAGAGATCTTTGGTATTGGAAGGGACCAGCACACTTTGGAAGGTGCCTATATCATGACATCTTCACTCTGTGAACACTATGGAAAAGTGAGGACTTTCCCACCCTCGGTCGCAAAAAACAGCGTTTTGTAAATCTCATCCTCCACTAGAAGTCAAATTTTGGAGTCAGGAGGCATCCCCGTCATCACTGGCTTTGGGTGCGCCACGTAGAGTTGGACTTCAAAGAATCATTTGCTCTGTGAAAAAGGAAGTGGCCCCAAGCAAGAGTTGACATCAGTGAATGAAGCTCTTCCCTTCACTGTACGTCACTGTTACCTGGACATGTGGTGTTTACCCTGATGTACGGTTTCTGGTAAACCAAACTGGAGTCCATGACCAGACTCCGGGCCTAAGTGAGGCTGCTTCTCTGCCTTGAGTCTAACTCCTTCCCCAGCTGGCTGATCTATAAGCCTGCCACGCTCGTACTCACAGAGAGGGAGAGAGGTGGAAAGCAAGATGGGCAAGGCTTCCCGGAGAGACAACTCTGGCTCAGCCCATTCCTTTTGCCATCACAGAGAAAGCCACATCTAAGTTTGTGGCTTGTGACTTTTGCCACCGACAGTGACTTTGACCACTAGAAAATGTGGTCCAATTGGTGTCTTGGAATCTGACCCCATCAGTTCAGTACATTGTTAATTGTCTAATGGAGGAGTAAGCTGGAGGGTAGCCCACAGAATATGTCTTCTTAACCCCACTCCAACTTCTCCCAAGCTACTAACAGACATAAAATGTGGAGTCATGGCAGAGCAGAGCTGCTGCAGACACACTATGTGCACCAGAAGCCAGGGCGTCTACAGAGGACCCAATGGTGGCCAACTGAGTGACACTTTCAACAGCTCCGCATTCACATAGTCATCCTATAGGGGTCAAGTGGTTTCCAAAATGCTGACAGATTTCTGTCATGGGTGCCTATAATGGGTTTCCAGCATGCCTTGGAGTGAGTAGATGAGTTGGAGTTGAATTTCCAGGCAAGACACTTATGTCCATTCCATGTGCGGACCACACTTTCCACAGTTGCATGCCCCTTTTCTCAAATTAATGAATAGAAGTATTTAAACTATTCTGATATCATAAAGAAGTAACATGTATTTTTATTATTTATAAGTTTTGATAATATAGAAATGCATACTGTAGAAAATAAAAGTCTTCTGTAATGTCTTTCCCCCCTCTGCTGAAAATATCAGTATTAACAATTTGGAATAGAGTCTCCCCCAATTTTTCCATGCATATAATAACCATATATGTATGTATATATAGACTATTATATATACCTTTTTTGTATTTAAAAGTGGGATTTTAAAAAATGGGGTGCTACAGTTTTGCAAATGGTTTTGACTTAATATCTCTTGCAACAAAGTTTTTTTAAAGGGACTATGTATAAATTAACACTGTATAAATAAAAGTGTCCTAAAAGACTTAGAGATATTTCCTTAAAGTAATGCCTGATGCAAGTATTTGTACTCTATGGTCATGGCCTCCTCTTTATCACCCCCCTCAACCAGCAATAACCCCCGGCTAGTGATGTAACAGGTCACGATTCTGAAGGGTTCTATGTCCAAAGAAACTCCCCCCCACCACCCAGGAGTCTCTCATTTGTTACCTACATGGTCATCAGTTGTGGACAGATCAAGACAGTGGCCTTGGTGTATAGTTAAAAACAAAACAAAATTGTGTGCACTGAAAACAGGCACATCATATACTGAGTTCCTTCTCCGTGCCAGCTGCTGTCCTGAGTGGTATATATCACTTCATTGAATAGCAATGCATGTATTGTCTTAGTCAGTTCAGGATGCTATAACAAGATACCAGAGACTGGGTAACACAGTCTTATAAACAACAGAAATTTATTTCTCACAGTTCTAGAGGCTGGGAAGTCCAAGATCAAGGTGCTGGCAGAATTGGTGTCTGGTGAGGGGCCACTTCTCACCATGTCCTCACAGGGTGGAAGGGACAAGACTCTCCAGGATCTCTTTTATAAGGGCATTAATCCCATTCATGTGGGCTCCACCCTAGTGAACTAATCACCTCTCAAGGTCCCACCTGCAAATACTCTCACATTGGGGGTTAAGATTTCAATATGTAAATTTTAAGGAGGAAACCAATGTTCCATCTATAGCATCTACAGTACCTTTGAGGTAGGTATCATTGCTATTCTTACATAAATGGGGAAAAGAAAGCATAGGAAATTTAGTAACCTGCCCAAGGTCAACAGCTGGTAAGTGGCAGAGGAAGACATACATAGAATATGAAGAATAAGAGATGGAGCAGATTAGGCACCAAGAGCTGCTTGTAATTCTCAAGGCAACTGGCAGTGGCCACTTGCAGTATCATGAGGCATCCCATGTGCTCACAGCAACCCCATGGATTAGCAGGTGAGGAATCAGAGAGGGGACATAATTGTAGGTGTCACAGCCAGATTTGAACCCTTAATTTTGGAAGTCATTCTGTTAATTACTGCAGCGAGGCAAATCATTATGGGAAGGACAGACTATACCCACAGAGCTCCACAGGCTGTGGAGTGCTTACCTGGAGGGCAGCAGAAGCTAGAAAGAAAGCTTTAGAAGGGGTCAGGGAGAGCCAACAGTGAGACTCGGGAAGCCTCCTTAGATCACTCCAGAATGTCCACCCATAACCACCGGGATAGAGCCCCTGCCTGACATGATGCTTTCTCACTTAGGACAGGAGTCTTTAGCCAGCAGTGCAAGTCTGGAGACCCTCTCAAATGGGTGACTAAATCGGTTACCATCCCTCTCTCCGTTCATCATCTTGACTCCCACCTCATCCCCATACCTTCCTTGTGCAGGTATCTGTCTCCCTGCCCTATCCCCACTGCCCTCTCCTCTGCCACCAGCTGCCCCTGAAAACATTTTAGAATATAAGAAACTAAAGTGTCACTATCTCACTCAAAGGTTAGGGAATGCTAGTTTAGGACAATAAAGAAAGCAGTTATCAGACAGTGAAGAAATCAGGTTTTTCTTTTGACATAATAATGCTAATTTGGATTCCTGGGTGTGATTTTTGATAGTTGGGATTTACAGGTGTTCACAGTACTTTTGTGACGGCCACAGCTTGACATCACACAATGTTGACAGGAAGTATGCACAGAGAAGGAATCTCAGGCCGGAATTGCTGCCAGGAAGCCAGAAGGCATCCCTGGACTGTGATTAATATAGCGTCTTCTTTTCTTCACACTGCTCTTGGCTAGAGTTTGTCTTCTTTGAACTTCTATAACATACAGAAACTGTAAGAGAAGGCAAGAAAAATGATTACAGGAGCCCTAGGGGATGAGAGCGCTGAGTTGGCATTAACTGGGCATAGGACTTTAACAAAAACATTATCACTGACAAATTCTTCTGACCCAGAGACACAAGCAACAGAAAGCTGAGTTTAAAGCACATTGCAGGGGCAACAACCTCACAAAATCTGAGACTTTCCCCCAGGGGATGGGTAAATAAACATGTTGTCAATCATCCATTTCCAGTGTGTTGGACTAAGTGGGCAGGCCTTTTACGACACGATGATAGGACTGTCAGAGAAAGTGAGAAGGTCTTAGGTAGGGGCTGCAGGAAAAACCCTCCATGGAGTGATGAGCCTTCTGTTCCTTGGGCAATAGCAACTGGATTGATACGTTTGGGGAGTGTATGCATAAGCATAGGAGAGGTCTTCCAAAACTTCATGGAAAGGTCATATTATGCATGGATTTCAATTTTTTTGCACCAAAATACACTTGTAATAACTTGTTATAACATGTTAGAACATGATCTAGTTTGAGGCACTAAGACATCAATTTGAAAGAGCCCCCTTTCAGAACAACATGAATTCTGCTAAAATTGAAGCAAGAACAAACACCAAATTTATGGTGAAGCTTGGGTGGAATGGTGAAATCACTGATGCTTTATAAAAAGTTTATGGGGACAATGCCCCAAAGAAATAAGCAGTTTACAAGCGGATAACTTACTTTAAGAAGGAATAAGATGATGTTAAAGATTACACCTATAGTGGTAGATCATCCACATTAATTTGCAAGGAAAAAACTAAGTTTGTTCATGCACTAATTGAAGAGGGCTAATGATTTACAGGAGAAACAATAGCCAAACCATAGATATCGCAATTGGTTCAGTGTATACAACTCTGACCGAAAAATTAGAGTTGAGCAATCTTTCCATTCAATGGGTGCCAAAACTATTGCACCCAGATCAGCTGCAGACAAGAGCAGAGCTTTCAGTGGAAATTCTAAACAAGTGGAATGAAGATCCTGAAGCACTTCTTCGGAGAAGTGAAACAGGAAATAAACCACAGCTTCACCAGTACAATCCTGAAGACAAATCACAACCAAAGCAATGGCTACCAATAAATGGAAATGGTCCAGTCAAAGAGAAAGTGGACTGGTCAAAAGCCAAGGTCACGGTGACGGTTTTTTGGGATGCTCACACACAAAAAGATGCCACAGGCTGCATCAGTTGTCTTTAGGAAAATTAGAGAAATAACCCAAAATGTTGGTGAGGGAAGGGTGCAGGAGAGACCTACGGCAAATATCAATGGCAGAATTAGCTTGAAATACATGGAAAAAAAAAATCTCTTCTTCTTTTACCCTGCCTCCCCCAATGTCTACAATATACACAAATCTACTAAAATTTAAGATGCTCTTTCAAATGTTTAGTTTTTTTTTTAAACAGCAGTCGTTCAGAGCACATGATATTTTATTTTTCTGCATCATGTCATTTCAGGTTTATCTGTCATCACTAAAGAAAAAAAAAAAACATTGATTCTGTAACTGCCTGATGGGTTTCTCTCGCAGGCTAACCAGATAGACCTGGTTTATCAAGACAGGGGAATTGCAATAGAAGGTTTAATACACATAGAGCTAGCTAAATGGGAGACTGGAGTTTTATTATTACTCAAATAAGCTGTCCCGAAAATTCAGAAACTGAAATTTTTATACAGTAGTTTGGCAGGCAGGAGGCTAGGGAATGGGGATTGCTGATTGGTTGGGTTGGAGACGAAATCATAGGTAGTCGAAGCTCTCCTCTTGCATGAGCCACTTCTTGGGTAGGGGCCACAAGACCAGACGAGCCACTTTACTGGCCTGGGTGGCTCCAGCGGATCCATCAGAATGCAGAATGTTATGGTCTATTATAAAACACCAATCTTAGGTTTTATAATAGTAATGTTATCTATAGGAGCAAATAGGTAGGTTAGCAGTCTTGTGGCCTCTGGCTGTATTATACCTGAGCCATGGTGGGGCTGTTTCAGGGAGGGGCTGTTATCATCCTTGTTTTAAAATTAAACTATTAACTAAATTCCTCCCAAAGTTAGTTCAGCCTACACCCAGGAATGAACAAGGGCAGCTTGGAGGTTAAAGGCAAGATGGAGTTGGTTAGGTCAGGTCTCTTTCATTGTCATAATTTTCTCACTGTTATAATTTTAGCAAAGGTGGTTTCAATTCAAAGGCAAAATTTGGTTTCTTGGCTTAAAACCTTTACAGTTCTAATTTGCCAGTTACAGACAGAATGATTCTACTTTTTAAATACTTGACTTTTGTAAGTACTCACAGCTAGTATACAAATTGTAGGTTATTTGAAATAGTCAGAGTATTAGCAATTTCTGCTTCCGGCCATGATGGAGTAAAGAAACTGGATTTACCCTTCCACCTTCACTACAAAGCTGGGAAAAATAGACAAAACAATGGTTTTGAGACATTGAGCAACAGGCAGTGAAAGACTGCAATCCTAACAATTTGGTAATAAAGGAGGTGAGCCCTTTGATAGCCCTCATTTCTGGCCTGAAGAGTTTCCAGGTTGCAGCATAGGGAGACGGAACTCAGACAGAACCTGGAGGTCTCACTGAGCTAAGGTGACAACAATCAAGGAAGCTAGGATTCTTGGGGCCGAGTGTCAGAGAGAAGAGAATTATACCAAGGGAAACTCCAGATATTTGCAGAAGCGTCCCCTCAAGTCTTCAAATGAAGATTGAGCAACACTTGCACTGGAGGAAACTACTGGGAAAGAACCACCAGAGACAAGAAGGCAGAAAAATCCCCAGAGCTCACACAGGGCCAAAAGCAACTTGCGTTTCCCCAGTGGAAATAATTTCTAAACACATGGAGCATCAAGCAGAGTCCTTGACAGGCTGCTGCTTTAACAATGGGACCAGATTATAACTAAACTTAAAGACTATTGTGGGCCCATCTAGCAAAACTTACACAAAAGGCTTGCAAAGGCCACATTTTCCCCAAAGGACTTAACTATCCCAGAACAAAATATTTGAAGGAATACAAAAGCCTTCAGCCCCCAATAAAGTAACACTCACAATGTCGGATGTAAAATAAAAAGGTTACCAGGTGTGAAAGATGCAGGAAAATATGACTCACATCAAGAAGAAAAATGTACCAAAAAAAAAAAAAAAAAGCATTAGGAAGATCAAACAACAACCCATAACCTTACCAACTAGATATGGTTTTCAGTGAAGAATTAGAGTATTACCTTTTAGACTTTAATTTAATATGTATTTTTTAATTACTGATATTAAATGAACTATGAATGATCAACTTGGTGTCCTAGAGATTTTTTCCCCTTTACGTATCTTGAGCACTTTCTCATGTGTATTTCACTTTTCTGCTTGTAAGAATCAACATTCACTTGGCTTACCTTATGTAATGGGAGGTATATTAGAAGTATGAAAAGGAAATAAGACTCTCAGCTAAATGAACCAAGGTAGGAAAAAAGACAAATAATCGGACCTCACAGGGAGTGAAGGACCAAGAGTGCAGCCAGGCTCTGCAAGCAAGTTCGCTGGGGCCCCAGGGCCTCTCCAGAGCCTCAGGAGAAGCTGTTAGTGAATGAGTGTTCCCTCTGATGCTCTGCCTTAGGGAGATCTAGCCCTTATTATCTCAGTCTTCCTTCTCTTCATACATCTTTTGGCTTCTTTTGTTGTACAGAATGGCTTCTGGCCTGGATCATTCAAATCCGTCCTACATGCCTGATTAGTGTTGCCTAGTCTAGAATTTCATATAAATGGAATCATATAGCATGTACTTCTTCCACTGAGCATCATGTTTTTGAAATTAATTCAGGGGCCAGCGAAATTTTTCTTAAAGGATCAGACAGTAAATATATTAGGTTTTGGGGGCCACACAGTCTCTCCCAACTGCTTAGTTCTGCTGGTGTGGCCAGAAAGCAGCCAAACAATAGATACATTAATGAGTGTTTATCTATTGTTTAGCTGCTTTCTGGCCACACTAGCAGAACTACGTACTTGGGAGAGCCAACTACCTGTGTAGAAAAAAAAAAAAAGAGAAACTACTTTACCCTTGAGTCCATTCATACCTTTGCTCATGTCATGGACTGTTATGCAAAGAAAGGTCTGTGGATCATTGGTATCCACATTTTTAGACCCTGTTATAAATGCAGAATCTGGCTCATGCCTGTAATCCTGAAACTTTGGGAGCTGAGGTGGGAGGATCACTTTAGCCCAGGAATTTGAGACCAGCCTGGGAAACATAGGGATATCCTGTCTCTACAAAAAATAAAAATAAAAAAATTTAGCTGGATGTTGTGGCACATGCCCGTAGTCATAGCTACCTAGGACACTCAGGTGGGAGGACTGCTTAAGTCAGAGAGGCAGAGGCTGCAGTAAGCCATGGTCACACTATTATGCTCCAGCACGGACAACATAGTGAGGCCCTGTCTCAAAAAAAAAAAAAAAAGGCAGAATCTCAGACTCACCCTAGGCCTGCTGAACCAGATGTGCATTTTAACATGATCTCTGGGTGACTGGCGTGCACAGTCATGTCTGTGAAGTATTGCCCAAGGGAGTCTGCTGAGACACTGAAGGACAAGATGGAATGGGTTACATTGGATCACCTTCTTTTAACAAGTGCAATTTCCACTCCAGCTGGCCAGTTAAAATACAAACAAGATTCTGTAATTTTTTTTAAATCCCAAACTTAATAATATTCTTTTTCAGTAGATGATCTCCATTAATATTTCATAGCCATATAGAATGCTGGGGTTGAAACAAAATAGGAAACCATCCTGCATTCACCAAAAGGCAGAGTCCCTTCTACAATATTCCTCTGTGGCCTCTAACTGAGCGTTTCCAGGAGACACCTCATTGTAACAGAAGATCCAACGATAACTAACCATTTACCACCTGAACCATGGCAACAGGCCATAAATGTCTGCTTCGATCTTCTTGACCATCTTAGAGACAAAATTACCTTTCTGAAATCATATACCAACACAGGAGGTGCTTGAAAAACTCTGATTTCCGACTAATTCAGTATTCTCCATTCTATATAACTACCTTCCACTCTCTCTGGCATAATCCAATAGATCTGCTAATTATCCTAAGATTTTTGTGATCCTGCCTTCCTGAGTCCAGTGCCCTACTTTTAACCTTGTTCCCTATGTCACAATGTCACAGCTTTCCTGCCTTGGCTGGGAAAATTCCATTCACTTGCCTCCCCTCACCCCCTCAGTATTCACTGATAGCTATAAGCATCCTTTTGTGTTTCTTCTAACTTTTATGAAACTAGGGTTTACCTTTTTCATCCAGATTCCTAGTTAAAGGGAGAATTTCATTGTAAACAAGAATCTAGTCCTTCAATTGCTTTTCTTGGCACCTGAGTGGTGCTCTTTTTACCTTCCTTTTATGTAGGAAAGGCTTCTGTGTGCACTGTCACCTGAAGTTTACTGGAGAGTCACTCACCCAAAAACATGTCTTTACCATACTTAAAAGTGTTATAGCTAAGAGCTTATTAGAACTCCCCTGGAGACAGGGATACTTGAATTAAATTTTGCAAACATCTATGGAGCCTTACCATACTCACATTATTTTGCGAGGTGCTGGTACGAATACAGAAATGGATATAATAAAGGCAACCTTCCAGTGTGTGCACTGTGGTGGAGAAAATAAATAAAACCTTTGCCTTGTTGAAGGCATCCCATTATTTAAAGAGGTAACATTTTCCCCACAACTATTTTGTGTGGGGTCCCACAAAAAAACCGATAGATAGCAGACCTATCTTCTGATATCTATCTACTATCTATCTATCATCTATCTATCTATCTATTTATCTATCATCCATTTGTTTATCTATCTCAGAAAGCAGAGGTAGGGTACGAGGAAGAGATGGGACATTACAATGCAAAGTCCTCCCCTCCAGCCAAGTTTTTCAAACTCCTTGTCCATACAACATCCATGACCCTAAGTTCAGCTCTTTACACATTTCTTTTCCCCGTGAGGCTGAGCTGCTTGAGGGCAGGTCACGTCTTTCCACTACCCTTCTTGCCGGCACCTAGGGCTTCCTGATGGAGACCCTACAGGTAATCCACGTGAGCTTATGCTCCGCGGCAGACACGCCCAGGCGGGCTTTACTCACATCAATAGCTTAGTACGCACACTCCCTCTAGCCAATGAGCGAATACGTACTCCTTTCTCCACCTCCCGCAGGGCGGCCACCGCCCCCTCAGTCCCTCTTTCTCCCGTCACCTCCCCAGGTTGCCCCGCCCTGCTCCGCCCCCTCGCCGCCGCGTGCTCGAGGAGCGAGTCGCGCGCTACTGACGTCACCAGCACGCGCCCCGTCCGCTGCAGTCCGCCGGCGAGGGAGTTACGCACGTCCTGATTCTCCTGGAGTCTCCAGCCCGCCCAGTGGCCGCAGTCACCCAGGTCCAGAGGCGGCGGTATCACAGGCTCTCCGACATGTCTATGCTGGCTGAACGTGAGTGTCGGAAGCGGAGGCCCGACCCAGGCGCGTTGGTGAAGATGCCGGGTGACGCGCACGGCAGCCCGGAGTGGCTGGGAGCTCGGGTTGCCGGCGCGCCTGGCGCATGGGATCGGGGGACCGGGGAGCCGAGCCCGGCTCTGATTGTCCTGCTCGCCGCAGAGCTCCCCGAAAGTTGGCCGCAGGTCTGCTAGTGAGAGAGACCGCAAGTGTCTCCCGGAGACGCCGTTCTCAGAATCACCCTGGGTCGCGTGCGAAGTGGGTCAGAACACCGGGTCCCGGGACTGGCCCCGCCGCCGCCCTTTGTGGGGTCCCGGACTGGTTGCTTCACCCACCCCGGACCTCAGCTTCCTGAGGTTAAAAAGAGAAGGTTGAGCAGAAGGATCACTTGAAACTGTAATCACATTGTCCAAGATGTCTTGGACCCAGAAAAAGAAAAAGCAAAGGAGTTAGAAGTCTCAAATATGGGACGTCAGCCACTTAGCGAGGGAGTGCAGGGCTAATGTGTAATTCTAAGTGAGACTGGCGTTTTTGACCTTGTTAGTTGGCCACAGCGCCCCGTCCTGCCTGTTTACCTTTGACATTTATCTTCACTTGGTGGAGTCGGTGAAACCCCTGTCTCTGTAGAGGCTGCTGAACTTCTGAATTGTACCTGTAGCGAAGGTCGCTTGCCGCCAGATGGCAGTCATGCTTTGATCCTGAAAAGCGGGTCCTGCTTGGCGAGTTGTACAGTGAGCAAAGAACAGAAACAGCTTATTTAACAGATCAAGCAGACCAGCACAGGGATTTTGTGAAATAAGTGCTGTTAGCACTCTCTTTTCTAAGAGGGTGGAGGACTTAGGAGCACAAAACGAAATGGGTCAGGCACCATCCCGATTTTACAGGGGCAGAAATTGACGTTCAAAGGAAAATAATTTGCCCCTAGTCATTGAGGTAGAAAATGGCAAAATTGATCCAGTTATCTCTGTATCTTTATGTTCTTGCCAGTAAGACCAGCGGAGACCCATAGAAATGAGTATGTTTTAGACTGAACCCGTCGGTTCTATTTTTTCACCAGTAAAAAATGAGGAGTCAGGGTTAGAGCCTAGATAGCTAAGATCTCTTCTGGTTTTCGTATTCTTTGATGTTTGCTTAATTCAGCATGCACTTGGCGACTTTGGCCCTAGTTCTGCTATTCATTTATGTCTGTTCCTTTGATCAGTGTTTGTGAGGCCACAAAATCTTCTCTTAATATTTTTATCCCTAGGTGGCCTTAAATCAGTGAGATGGTGAACATGAACATAGTTTGAAAAGTCTGAAGTATAGAGGTGTAAAATGCTATTTGTAGGCATCAGTAATTCAGATTACATGATTTCAAGAGAGTGTTTTCAGTTCTCCTCTTCCCAACGTTATTCCAAATTGTCAAATCCTTGTCATTATAATATGTAATATTTTTGTGTTTTCTTTTTCGTAATTTGCTAAATGGGTATAGCATCTTCTGTAATTAGATACTTAGGATTGGTGTTGTTAAGAAGAAAAACCTTAGACAAATTATACAGAGTTTGATTGAGCAAAGAATGATTCAAGAATTGGGCAGCCTTCAGAACTAGAACCGGTTCTAAGAACTCCAACCTGCTATGTGGTCAGGCAGTATTTATGGACAGTAAACGGAAGTGAGGTACAGCGACAACTTGGTTAGGGTTACCGCTCTGATTTGCCTTATTTGAATCAGATGGCTGCCTGTGATTGAAGCCTAGCTGCTGTAATGGATTGAGGCTCACTTATATGTTATAAGAGTATACTCCTACGGTAGGCTTTCGCTTCCTTTAAGTTCTAACGTAGGTTGCAGTTCCTTATGTAAGGACTCAAGTACGGAGGCCTCCTCAGGCCAAATTTAATTTAGTGTAACAATACTCTCCTTCTGATCAACCTCTGAATTTTGAGAGATTGTTTAAAACTTCTGCCTCTGGCTCTTGGGACTCAACACGCCCTTTAGAGTAAATGGGATCCTAGCATAAGTCATGTGGTATTGAGCTGTTGTGTGGATGGTTTTTATTGGATTTGCCCCAAAAGTATCCCGACAGACCCATTTACAGTTAGATCTCCACATAGGAGTACCTGCTAGAGGATGGTTAAATACTTCCCAAATAGTGATTCTGCAGATTCAGGGCATTCTACCTGAGGCCCAGCGCCATGCTGTAAACACTGCTGTTCCAGATCGTGTCAAGGGTCCCCAAGATCATCCCCAGATTCAATGATGTGCTGGGGGATTCAGGCACAGGACTCAGCATATAGTCGCACTCACTGCTAAGATTTATTACAGCAAAAGGATGTAGAGCAAAGCCGGCAAAAGGAAAAGATGCACGGGGCAAAGTCCAGGCTAAGCCAGGCGTCAAGCTTCCAGAGCCCTCCCCCAGGGAGTCACACATAACACGCTTAATTCCTCCAGTAGTGAGTTCTGAGAGCAAATATGGAATGTTGCCCACCAGGGAAGCTAGTGAGAGACTCGGTGCTAGGGATTTCCTGGGGCCTGGTCACATAGACACCCTCTACCTGGGAGGCACCAAAATTCCTGGCTCGCAGAAGGAAAGCAGGTGCTCAGCATAAACTGTATCATTTGCATAAACAGGCACAATGAGCCACTCTTACCAGTTCTGCGAATGGTGGGAACCCTTGAGTTCCCTGTTATGAACAGGCCTTTCAAAGGATAGCAGTCAGGCCTTCTGTGTTAGTGAACAAAGCTGAGATCTGAGCACAGAACAGACTGTGGCATGAGAATTACAAAGGACATGTAAAAGGTGATCCAATTGGAACAGCTCAGAGGCAGTCTTTTCCTTACCATGATTTTCCACACCTGGAAACTTGGGTGCCATTAGAGCTGGGAAATGTTCCAGGGAAGCAGGGTTCTGGTCAAGTGAAGTCTGGGAAGCATGGCAGGCCTGCTCTGGCCTCCTCTAAGAGGATCTGCACATTTGCATAGTAAAGTTTCCGGGAGATTCTTCCATATGAAATTTAGTTTAACCCAGTGTTACTCATTTTCAATGGGAAACTGCCACCCCCCGCCCCCCCAACATCCTTGTTTGGAAACACTGGTGTGATCCCATTGATTGAAGCTAACTGCCATTTTCCCAGGGGAGAGGAATTGACCTTGAATAGCTAATCTCTTGTGTAGGCATTATAGTTTGTTTTATATAAGTAGGTAATGTGAAGCGTGTGCAGTTCTTAACTGCAGAGCGTGAGCTTATTCTCAAAACTGTCTCCTTCGTACAAGCCCTAGTCAAAGACCCCTGGCAAGCACTGCATAGACACATGAACTCTGACACACTGATGCCAGCTTGCATATAGAATACTGGCTAACAGGCTTCTCTCTGGTGTGTTGTTCATTAGCAGACGCAGTGTTATGCTGAGTATTTGCCAAGATAAGTAAAGTGGTAATTTAGATGGAACATTTTTGGGTCACCTTTTTTTTTCTGCAAAACACTACAAATTCGAGCCCAACTTGTTTTGCTTTGTTAAGGGCCTTTTTTTCTGCCTGTGTATTTGTAAAGGATTTCCTATTTTTGCTGGAGTGTGCATAGTTATGGGCCTCTATTGATTTTATGTGTGCCACAGTGAGCCCCTTTGACAGGGGGTCATGTTATTTTTTAATTATGTGATGAGATGGGCAAGGTAGGAGGGGTTGTGTTGATGGTGAGACAATGTGCTTATATTGATGTGGCAGATAAATGATAATGACACCTCCAAATTTCTCATTTCGCCACAGTCTACTTTTCAGTTTGACATTCTTGTGCTTTGAACCTTTGGAGTTCTTTATTTTTGCCATAATTTTCCTTAAAACGACAGTGATAAACTGGAGTTCATAATGATCAGTAATTTATATGCATTAAAAAAAGTTGCTTTGATGAGATTCAAAGCAGTTCCCTTAATTCAGTTATACTCCTTCCTTCCTTTTTTCCTCTCCCTCTTCTTTCCTCCTTTCTTCCTCTTTCCATTCTTCATTTTTATCGTTTATTCCATTCACATATTTATTGAGTGCCTGCTGTGGGCACAGTGATTTTTTTACTTCTTGCAATGAAGCCTCAGAAAAAAGACATGAATATGAGCCCTAAGGAGATGATGGTCTAATGGGAAACCGGAAAGGCGGATATAAATAGCCCTAATACAGTGGATGTTAAGAAACAGATAAGTTATTCTAGAAGTTCAAAGAGGGGTCAGAGGGCTTCAGGGCATCTCAATGAGAGGGATGGGATTGTTATTATCTGTAGGTCACATGTGTGGAGGGTACAGTTGACTCTCCCCAAGAGCATAATGACTATTGTATGTTGTGAATTAAGAATATAAGCTTTGAAGTTAGTAGGACCAAGGTTGGTTTAAAGGATCTGGTTTTTGCTTGGGGATGTTCGGCAAATTTCTTTCTCTAAGCCTCAGATTTTCATATCTGCCAGTGACAATGGTACTATCCACACTCGTTGGGGTACTGTGAAAACTGAATATTATGTACAGCGTTTGGAGCAGGTCTCAGGTTGAATAATTGGCATTTACTATTTTAAGCGCATCCTTGGTATTGCATGTTCTTTTGTATGTAGTAACGCATGGCAATGGAAGCTGTAATGCTGCTGCTACTACTGCTGATGGTGATGAGGATGCTGGTGTCCACAGGTGCTTTCAGTTGTGCTGATGGCGGAGTATGGAAGGCCCAGCTCTAGTATATTGAGCATTTGCTTTGCCACATTATGAGGGAACATTTCAGTTTTAATCTTAAGAGGTCAACTTATATGTCTAGAATATACATTTATTAGGGAAATCAGGATAAATGATCCAGTCTAACATTCTGTTGAGTGTTGAATTAATTTCTGTATTGTAATGTATGTCATATTTTACATACATACATAAAATACACAAAGTTGTGCATGTGTATGTTTGTGTGGTATTTTCCGGGTATCATCTCCATTGCTGATGATAATGCTTTTTCATTTACAGGTCGGCGGAAGCAGAAGTGGGCTGTGGATCCTCAGAACACTGCCTGGAGTAATGACGATTCCAAGTTTGGCCAGCGGATGCTAGAGAAGATGGGGTGGTCTAAAGGAAAGGTATTTTGGAGAAAAGCGGAAAAAAATCTGAGCTATGAAAAGAGATTAGAAATTAGGGGAAAACTTCCTTCTTAGGAGACTGGAAGAAACTTATGCTTTGGATCAGTAAGTGATTTTGATCCCAAATCAAAAATTGTTGTGACCTTATGATGATAAATTAGGATTGGACATAAGTGTCAACTTTCTATCATTTAAGCTGCCATGCTTAGCATCTTTCATAGACATTGCAACTAGGCTACACGCTTTTTCCCTTTCCATTTATTCTTGACTCCAGTAGAGCCTCTGCTGATACCTCTACACTTAAATGGTTCTTGTTGAGGTCTTTAGCGATCTCTAAGTGCCAAATCAGTGGGCCGCTTGTTTTGTTCTCACATTACTTAACTCCTCAGCAGTGCTGGATGTAATTGACTACTCTCTCCTTGAAATACTTCTGTCTTGGCCTCCACAGTGCTATTGTCTCTTCTGCTCTTCTTTTCACCTCACTTGCCACTCCTAAATTTGTTGCTGTCTCTTCTTTCTATAGACTTTTGATTATTAGGGCTCCTTGAGGCTCAACCTCAGGCCCCTTTTTTGCACTTTGCTGCAGTGATCTCATTCATTCCCTTGCCACACTTTGAATTAGCTAAAGTCTGGGAACTGTCATTTTTCTATATTGAGTCCAGTTCTGTCCTCTGAGCTCTAGATTTGTAAATTCAATAGCCTACTTGATATTTCCACTTGAGTAAGCATTTCAAGGGTATCATTTCTATTATAAAACTCTTGATTCCCCCAAATATATTTTTCCCAGGTTTTCCCCATTTTTCATACATGGCACCGTCTGCCACTTACACAAGCCAGAAACCTGACAGTCATGCTTGATTCCTCCGCCCTCTTGCCTCCCGCAGCCCAGTCGTCGTTTTTCTCCAGCCTCCCGCAGCCCCAGTCGTCATTCTTCTCCAGCCTCCCGCACCCCAGTCGTCATTCTTCTCCAGCCTCCCGCACCCCAGTCGTCATTCTTCTCCAGCCTCCCGCACCCCAGTCGTCATTCTTCTCCAGCCTCCCGCACCCCAGTTGTCATTCTTCTCCAGCCTCCCGCACCCCAGTCGTCTCTTCTCCAGCCTCCCGCACCCCAGTCGTCTCTTCTCCATGCAGGGCAGAGCCCTGCTTCAGCCACTGTCATCACTTGAGCTCACTGACTGGTCAGACTCTCAGCTGCCTCCCTTCCTCCCTCCTTTTTCTCCTCTGGCCCATTTGCTGTACAGCAGCCAGAATGATCTTTTAAAATATGGAAATTAGATCATGTCATCCTTAAAAGACCAGTGGTTTTCCATTGTCTTTAAAATAAAATCCAAATTCCTCCCGTAGGTTATGTGAGATCTAGCCCCTCCGTCATCCTACTTCCTTCATTCCTTAATTTGCAGAAGCCACCCTGGGTGCCTCTGAGGTTTCCCAGTACACTGAGTTTTTTCCCACCTTCGGGTCTTTGCACTTGATCTTTCCTTACCTGGAAAATCTTACAGATGAGTGCTAATTGATGCAGAGGACTTAGAGTCCTCCCCCATGTTGCTTTGTGAAAGTATTTAATGGAGAGAATCATCAACTCAGAACACCTGCCGTAGGCATCTGTGAGTTTTGTAGCAGTGCTCTGCTTCTGAGTATCAGTGAGAGGAATGTTCTAACTCTCTGTGTTTAATCTCCACAGGGTTTAGGGGCTCAGGAGCAAGGAGCCACAGATCATATTAAAGTTCAAGTGAAAAATAACCACCTGGGACTCGGAGCTACCATCAATAATGAAGTGAGCAGCAGTGTGTGCCTCCTGGGTGTCTTTGCATAATTGGCTTCAGTCTTGTAAATCTGAAAGTTGATTGGTTCATCTGCTTCTGACCATTGGTGCAGCACTTCTTTTTATTCACGTTTCCTCTTGAACACTGACGCTTTGAATGCATGGCACTATAACTCAGAGTCAGTGGCCTACCGCGCTTTTTATTTTTAGTATCATTGTTCCCTTTTGGAAAGGATCTAAACTGAAAAGTTTTGTTTCTAAGTTTTTGCAGCCAACATAATCTGGTAGGGAATCTGGGAAATTACTTTAGGTAAATTGAATTACTTTGGTTAGTTCCGTATCTCTGAGTAGTGGATTGGCGGAGCTAAAATTTTTAGCCACTAAAGAAAGAGTTTATATAAAGTTGATTTCAAATGTAGTTGTTGAGGGATAGATAACACAGATATACTTATTTTCTTAGAAGAAGCATTGCCCAGTAAACCTATTTCATATTCCTTTACCTTAAGCATTCTTAAAAATTGCTAAGAATGTGAGTAAGGCAGATTCGTACACTGAAACCCTGCTTCCCACTGGTTTGGGAGATCTTCATTCTCTTATAAAAGCCAGGTTCATTTTTTTATAATAAACTTATTAGGTAACCACCTTACAAATGGGAACTCATCGATTCAGGGGACTTAAGGTTCTTCCTCCTCCCCTTCCTCAGAGTTTTGTAAAATTGGAGTTGATGCAAGTCATTAGAAGATTTTAATTCTACCAAGCAAAGAAGAGCATTTTTTTGTCCCGCATGGTTCTTGTCCTTTCAACTATGGAATTTCCCCTAGTGAGAAAAAAATAGTCATTTCATTATGTTTTACTTTAACATTTAGCACACAGGTTGCCTGTTGATTATTTACTATATATTGACTTGATCGATAAGTCATTCACATTTGAAATCAGGCCTTAAGCTTCCAGGAAGCCCCTTTTTAATATTGACCTGGATAAAGAGCATTTTAACTTTATATTATTTCTTGAATCCACTTAAATTTATCAAATAGTATTTTGATGGAACATTTAAAATTTCTTAATTAACCACTGGATTTCCTTGATTCCAAAATGTATCATCTCAGTCAGTGTAAGTAAACTACAGGCTTACCTCTCGTTCATTTCTTTGATATTTTCAGGACAACTGGATTGCCCATCAGGATGATTTTAACCAGCTTCTGGCCGAACTGAACACTTGCCATGGGCAGGAAACCACAGGTAGGGAAATCAGATGACATAAGTTCTCAATGCAAATATGTTTATCTACTTTTTGTTTTTTGCTTTTATTATTTTTAGTTGACACATAATTATACATATTTATTGAGTATAGTGTGATATGTCAATACCTGTGCACAATTTGTAATGTACACATGTGTTATGTTCATCAACGTAATTAGCATATATATCACTTCAGACATTTATTATTTGTGTTGGGAGCATTTAAAATCTGTTCTTCTAGCTATTTGAAAATATAAAATAAAATATTATTTATTATAGTCACCCTACAGTGCTATAGAACACTAGAGCTTTTTCCTCTTATGTAGTGGGACTTTTATATCCATTAGCCAATCTTTAGCTGTTCCTACATAGCTGTTTTCCTTACGCAGCTCTAATAACCACTATTCTGCTGTCTACTTTTATGAGCTCAACTCTTTTAGCTTTTCCATATGAACGAGAATATGTGATATTTATCTGTGCCTGGCTTATTTCACTTAATGTCCTCCAAACTCAACCATGTTGCCTCAAATGAAAAACTCTCATTCTTTCGTAAGGGTAAATAGTATTCCGTGGTGTGTATGCACCACATGTTTCCCAGTTCATGTGTTGGTGGACACTTAGGTTGATTCCATATCTTGGCTGTTGTGAATAGTGCTGCAGTGAACGTGGGTTTGCAGGTACCTCTGCAACATGCTGATTTCCTTTCCTTTGGGTAATGCCTGGGAGTGGATTGCTGGATCATATAGTAGTTCTATTTTTAACTTTTTGAGGAGCTGCCGTACTGTTTTCTGTAGTGGCTACATCAACAGTGCATAAGAGTTCCAATTTCTCCATATCCTAACCAGTAATTATCTTTTATAATTTTGATAATAGCCATCCTAATGGGTGTGAGATGATGTCTCATTGTGATTTGGATTTCCATTTCCCTAATGACTGATGTTAAGCATCTTTTCATCGCTTATTGGCCATTTTTATATCTTCTTTGAAGAAGTGTCTAAGTACTTTGCCCATTTTTTAATTGGATTTTGTTGTAATCTGCAAGCATTTTTATAAACATTCTTGTTTATGAACAGTCTATTCCTTGTGTGTCATGTGTGAATAATCAAAAGATATTTGGTAGATTGAAAGAATTTTGTGGAGTGAAATAATGAATTAGACTTGAGTTCAGCAAACATTTATTGAGCTGTGTGCTGGGTACTAGTTTAGGTGTGAGGATCTGCAGAGGTATAAGACACAGTCCTGCTTGGAGGTAGCTAGCAGAATATGCTGGTAATTACCTGGTAAAATCACAGCACACATCTAACCATAGGAAGGTTTATTGCAGTGACGTGTGTGGAAGTGAGCCCAACAGTGTGAAGGGAAAGGTGCTTTGTTGGTATTTTTTCTAACCAGATTGGACTTTTTGTTGGAATGTATAACTTGGACAGTTTTCCTTATCCATAGGATCATGATTTTGAAATAACCTAACAGTTCTGTGTGTGGTCCTAATATGAAGGGCAATAATTTATTAGCAGAAGAAAAAGATAAGGAAAATGTTTTCTGAAAATACTGAATGACTCATATTAGGAAATGCAGGATCTATGAAGTAGTAAAGTTCAAGGACACTATTCCTTACTAATTATACACAGAAAACATCTTGATATTTACGATCACAGTTGAACTCAGTAGAAACACAGATAAGAATGTAAGCTTGGCTGGGCACGGTGTAATACCAGCACTTTGGGAGGCTGAGGCGGGCGGATCACCTGAGGTCGGGAGTTTGAGACCAGCCTGACCAACATGGAGAAACCCTGTCTCTCCTAAAAATACAAAATTAGCTGGGCGTGGTGGCGTATGCCTGTAATCCCAGCTACTTGGAGGCTGAGGCAGGAGAATCGCTTGAACCTGGGAGGCGGAGTTTGTGGTGAGGCGAGATCACGCCATTGCACTCCAGCCTGGGCAACAAGAGTGAAACTCCATCTCCAAAAAAAAAA
Source organism: Homo sapiens (assembly GCF_000001405.40). Taxonomy (NCBI): domain Eukaryota; kingdom Metazoa; phylum Chordata; class Mammalia; order Primates; family Hominidae; genus Homo; species Homo sapiens. The sequence goes on along the minus strand of NC_000008.11, from coordinate 10,829,691 downwards.
AGAATGTAAGAATGTAAGCATGAACATATAAGACTTGGAGATTAAATAGAATGCAGTGGTTTAGAGACAAACACCAGAGTTAGACTGCCTGGATTTTAATCCTGGTCTGACTTTTCATTTGTATGACATTCGGTAAATTGCTGAACATGGCTGTACCTCGATTTCCTCTTTGGTTAAATGGAAGCAGTAGTATCATCTTTGGAAGGTTGTTGTGAGGACTAAATGCATTATAACATCTAAGAAAAGCAAGCAGAGATACTCAGCACTGTAAGCCTCCTGATAGTGTGGCTGGCAAATCTAGAGCCATAAACCACGATTAAGGCCAGAAAATTTACTTTACTCTGAAGGATTTCATAAAGAATCTAGGGTTTTATTTTCTCTCTCTCTTTTTTTTTTTTTTTTTTTTGAGATGGAGTCTTGCTCTGTGGCCCAGGCTGGAGTGCAGTGGCACAATCTTGGCTTACCGCAACCTCCGCCTCCCGGGTTCAAGCGATTCTCCTGCCTCAGCCTCCTGAGTAGCTGGGATTACAGGTGCACACCACCACGCCTGGCTAATTTTTGTATTTTTAATAGAGACGGGGTTTCACCATGTTGGTCAGGCTGGTCTCCAACTCCTGACCTTGTGATCCACCCACCTCAGCCTCTCAAGGTGCTGGGGTTACAGGCTTTAGCCACTGCACCTACCCTCATGATTAGTAGATCACAGTGAATAAAATTAGCAGATCTGTTATACATTTTAATGAATGCTTATTAAACACATCTCTTTGGCAGTGCACCTCCTGATGAGCTGGGTTAGCGTAGGGGTGTGAGGGCCGGGCCAGCTGCTTTGATTGCTGCTTTGACAACAGTATTTTCCCTTGTCCCTCATTGATCCCGGTAAGAGGAAAGTTGTGCCTTTCCTTTGTAAAGTGGGAGGGGATACCCGGGAAAGGACGGCCAGATTGGTGCATAAGTCAGACTCCGAGCAGTTTCAGGCATGAGTGCACGTGAACAAATAGATAGAAAGTGATTCCTCAAGGCCTGGCGGTGCTCACGCATCCTTCTTGATACCTGCATGCTGAGAAGGTAGAGACGCTCACCAGGTGATTCTTCTGCCCTCTCAAGGCTGAGAGAGCTGCTCTGTGAGGGCACGGCGTGGTGCTTCAGGATGTGGCCTCTGCGTCATGTCTGCCTGGGCTTCGGTCCCATCGCGGGGGCTTCCTGGGTGTGCCTTATCAGTGTCGTCCTCTGTAGTGAGTTCAGGCATCACAGCAGCTCTCTTATGGAGTGGCTGTGGGAAGGAAATCCAAGAATTCATGGAAAGCCTCCAGTCCAGCGCCTCGTCCCTCATACACTTGCAGTCGGTAGGAGCCGCTTTAAGCTGATAACTTCCTCTGTGATTTGTGATTGGAACATCAGCATTGAAAATGTTATGTGCCATATGAAGTGCAAAAGAGAAGAATTTACTGGTAGGATGTCTTTGCAAAAAATCCAAGGTGTCCCTGGGAAGTGGCTGCAGAAGAGAATGTTTCAGCTTGTGGAAATAATGAGCCCGTGCTGGGCTTTGCCTCAAGTGCGGAACATCTGCCTTCACGTTCTTTCGAGCCTGCTGTATAGTTCCCATAGGGAACTATACCTTTGAAATAAGTGACTCCTGGGAGGGGTTGCAGTGCAGTCACATGTTGTTGAATGGACACGTGCTTGTTTCGCTCCACTGTCAGGGTGAGAGTTTCTTTTTTTCCAATTTCTCTTATATCCTCTGAAGAAGGTTGGTTTGTTGGATTTTTTTTTTTTTTTTTTTTGAGATGGAGTCTCGCTCTGTCACCCAGGCTGGAGTGCAGTGGCGTGATTTCGGCTCGCTGCAAGCTCTGCCTCCCAGGTTCACGCCATTCTCCTGCCTCAGCCTCCTGAGTAGCTGGGACTACAGGTGCCCGCCACCACGCCCGGCTAATTTTTTTTTTTGTATTTTTAGTAGAGACGGGGTTTCACCATGTTAGCCAGGATGGTGTCGATCTCCTGACCTCATGATCTGCCTGCTGCGGCCTACCAAAGTGCTGGGATTACAGGCATGAGCCACCGCGCCCGGCTGCTTTTTTTCCAGTTTCTCTAACCTCATATCTGAATGTTCTTAAAACTGTAGGAAAATTTAGTCTCTCTTCTGCCTATGATCGTTTCTGTGGCACTCTTCTGTCTGAACTTGACAAGCAGATACAGGTGAGAGAATGCAGGTGGCTAGCTAATTTATAATTGACTCTAACCCCAGATCAACCTGCTCTGATCAACCTTTCAGGCAAGGACCTACTTTCTGGCTCACATTTTCCCTTCCGTCAAAGGCGTTACCACTCGGATGTCTTCCTCAATGGTGTGTTCCTGCTCCTTTTGCCCTTCCAGTTGTCCTTCCCGAAACCCTGAAAAGGTGGCTTGGAGCTATTGCTGCTCCTCCATGCGTCACCTAATCGTCATCTCTGATCTGTATTTAGGTGATCATTTAACCTGTCTTACCTTTATTTACTTTTTAAAGGAACTTTTTATTTTGAAATAATTACAGGCTTGTAGGAATTCGCAAAATAATTCAGAGAGTCCTGAACGTCTTTCCCCCTGTTCTCCCAGGGTGGAGAGACATTACATTGCTGTGGCTTTTCGCAACCGGGAAGTTGACATTTGGTGTTACTGTCAACTGCACCACAAACCTTAGCCAGTTTTCATCATCTTTTTTTGGTCTCCATTCATTTGTACATGGGCGGATGGTTCTGTGCAATTTTATCACAAGTGCAGATTCATGCAGCAACCACAATGGTGAAGATACAGGATTGGCCACCACGGCACAGCAACCTCATGCCTCATCTTTGTATTTGTACCCACTGTACCTTCATCCTTGTCCCCTCGAAACCATTCATCTGTCCTCTCTCTCTGTAGTTTTGTCATGTCGAGAATGTTCTGTAGATGGAGTCATATGTTATGTTTGTAGATGGACCTCTGACTAAGCACAATGCCCTGGAGTTTGTTTTGGCCATTGCGGTGGCAGCGGCCGCCGCTCTTTACTGTGGAGTGGTATTCCACTGTAAGGATGGCCCAGGGGTTGCTCAGCTGTTCATGCATTCACACGTTGAAGGACTTGGGGGTGATTTTTGGTATTTTGCTATGATGAATAAGGCTAATGTGAACATTTGTGTCTAGGTTTTGTGTGAACACAAGTTTCCATTTCTTCCTCAAGGATTTTCTAAATTTCTGGAGGGCAGCCTGGCCTGATCCATAGTATGCAAATTAAGGAAATATTTCTAATCATTTGACTCCTAGAAAGAAAACAGAGATCCAGCAGAAGGGTGCTGTTGCAGAGCAAATGAATGAAAGAGTTCAATCATTAATGATAGGGCTCCTAAAATTTTCTTTCAAGACTATCCACTGTTAGGAGAATAAATGAGATTGGATTAGAAAGACTTTAATGTATTTTTTTCATCTTTTTTAAAGATTCCTCGGACAAGAAGGAAAAGAAATCTTTTAGCCTTGAGGAAAAGTCCAAAATCTCCAAAAACCGTGTTCACTATATGAAATTCACAAAAGGTAAGATTAAGCATTTCTTTACTTGTTATTGAAATCTACGTGTTTGTCCTGAGTTGCTTGAAGCATTTTAGCTCTGGGCCAATAGCGACTTCATGCTTTATGGACAGCTCCGACTGCATTGCTGTGAAACAGCGCTGGAGTCTTCGCATTGACTGTGGTGTGCCTGAGGATCTTGTTAGAATTCAGATCTAGGAGATCTGAGATGGGACCCAGATTAGGTTTTAGACTGTAAACAAGTCCTGTGGCTGAGCTAAAAAATGGAATCAGCTTATATTTAGAGGAAAACGGGACTTTATGTAGCTAGGTCAGAAAATAATTTTAATTTCTTGCCCAACATTTTTAGCTGCATGGTGTTTTTTCACAGCTGAAAGTTGGTGTTAAATAGCTTTTAATACGCCAGGTTAGAGAATTATGCTCTATATTGATACCTCCAGTGTGATAAAGCACACTCCCTGGTTGACCCTTTATTCCACGTAATTTCTCCATTTCACAGCGTAGGCATTCCATAGTCATTGCCAAGTCGGGTAAAAAGCCGTTTGAGACCTGGGTGAGAATTCCTATTCCTTCATCACCACCTCCCTAGCCCCTTCCCAGTATGTGAAATCATTTGTGCATGCGGTTGTTGTCTTCAGCCACTAGGTGGCGATCTTGCATTGGAAAGAAGCAATTTAACCTAATAGAACCAACTCCCCAGTTTGTCTGTAGAACAGTATCATGAATTAGAAACCTACTTATTACATAGTTTACATAAGAAGCGTGATGATGCTGCTGATGCTGTAATATCTAGTCTCTGTTGATGGTTCTTTCCTGGGAGGTTGGATGTGTTTCTACCTTGATATGCCAGGAACAGCACATCTCTGCTTTGGTCTTCTAGGAATGTCATGCGTATCAGGGCATTGCTGGGAAGCTCTTAACTTGTACAGCCAGCCTGGATAGCAGTGGGAGCTGGAATCCCCACTACTCTGAAGTATTGATGATGCTTTTCATTTAGGGCCAGGAGCCCAAAAGTGAGGGCTGGGTTTGGTTGAGGTGAGAGGCCGTGGCAGAGCTGAGTGGATTGGGGATTGTGTGCAGGGAGAGGCTGGGCCTCCCTTCCCTCTCCAGCAGCCGTGGCTCTTCCGCTTCCTCCGTTCTTTCTCTCACATGGAACTTTCTTGGCTGTCGCCCGTATCCCTTCTGACTGGGGTTCTTCTCCACCCCAGCGTGCTATGGAACAGAATACAGGCTTCCTTGGCCCTCAGTCCTTTTGAAGAGAGGGTACATGCTCACTTCATACCCAGTCCCTGAAATAGCATTTCTTCTTTCATTAGACTGTAGAGAAAAACTAGAGATCACAGAAGGTGCTGTTGCAGAGCAAATTAATAAAACTCAGTGACCTGTAACTTTCGGATGATGTGGCAGCCTTTTACGCTTTCACTTTTACAGGTAGAATCTTCTAATTTTCCTTTGATGCCAGACTGCATGCATGATTTCATCTGAAGCATTTGCTGAGGCTGGGATAAGCCTCTGTAATCTGCTTTAATCTAATGGATGCCGGGAGCATCTGCTTTCTATTTCTAGTTAAGCCACTCCTTTGCTGGGTGACCCTGTGAGACCGCTGAGTGCCTCGTGCCTTCGTTTTCTGTCTTCCAGCGAGGGTTCTGTATCTATTAGCCTTGCCTGGGGAGAAGAGGGAGTCAGTATGCAGAACAGAAGGATTCTCGGATCTATTGTCAGATTGCAGAGAAGAGCTGGAGTGGAGACGGGAAGGACATGCAGACTGGGCCTACGTAGGAAAGGGAGAAGGAAGCAAAAGTCCAGGGAGTGAGGAAAAGAATGGTTTATCAGCTAGCTTTCCAATCACGGTGCACACTTATTTTAAAGTTTCCTCTAGGGTGGACTATCTTAGATCACAGAAAATCTCACTCTGGCCATTACTCGCTCAGACAAGTCACCTACCCATTTCCCTTCAGACTCAGTTTCCTCTTTTGTAAAATGTGGATACATTTGTAAGTGACTATTAAGTTCTAAGGTAGGTTCTGTTTTATGATTTATTAGAAATGACCCATTTCATGGAACTTTTGCTTTTTCAGCATTGTAGATAATAAAGATTTTCGCCAGTGGGTATGCTGATAACGACTGTAACTCATTCACTTAGTTGATGAGGATGATTCATATTGCAACTCATGTATCGTCCAGGAAATCAAACAGGAAGATGCAATTGTACATAGCTTGGGAAGAGTGAAGATTAAAATTTTACTCTACTAAGATTACAGTAGCAAATAGTGTTGTAAAATTTGCTACTGCCTAAATATCAGCTGTATCATTATTTTTATTTTTATTTTGAGACAGGATCTCACTCTGTTGCCCAGGCTGGAGCACAGAGGAACAGTCTCAGCTCACTGCAGACTTGACCTTCTGGGCTCAAGTGATCGTCCTGCCTTAGCCTCCCAGCGTGCTGGGACTACAGGTGTGAGCCACTGCACCTGGTTGGTTATATCGTTTTAGTTCTGATATATAATTATTCCTTTCCCTGGTCCTGAGTTTATAATTCTAACTTGAGCTAATTTATTGTATAATTTTAAATGTCAGTTTTATCATACTTATTTAAAGGCTCAACTCCAGCTTGGTTTGTAGTTTTTTGTATTTTTTTTTAATGCAAAAGGTCTCTGCAGATAGAGGCTATATCTGCAGAGGGGAAAATGTCAATCGATACAAAGCCATTTCTGAGGTTTTCTGACTGGATGGTGAGACGTTGGCAGGAGAGCAGGAGAGCAGTGCTTCCTCCCCTCAGTTATGCAGTTGTTGGATGAAAGTTGCATAAACTGTAATTGTGCAGCTTTATCCTGGGAATCTTGCAGACTTCTTAATCCTTTTGAGAGTTTGGGCTATTTTATATGCTACTGAAACAAGGAAACTACATGCCTAACGCATGTGCAGGTGCTCGGCTTCCTGGTCGGGAAATACAGAATTGGTATTCACAGCGCAGTCAGCCCCGCCCCTCAGTTGCACACTGGTAGTGAGGAGCATTCAATCTCCTCTTCTGATTCTTTTGACATTTAAATAAATATCAGGTAGCACCTGGTAGGTCTGACCTGTGTCACTCACACTGACTCTTTCCACTTTCCTGGTTTATGGTGTCTTTTAGTGGAGTTACCCTTATCTTCTGCCCTCGGTTGACTGCCAGTTCTGTGTGTTTGCCATTTAAAAAGATAAAAATAAAAGTATGTCATTTTATTTGTCCTTCTTGATTGAATAATGCAAATGAATTTTCTAAACTATTGAAGCTACCTACATAAACCTTAAGTGTTTTTTTATTTTAGCAAACATATTCCTTGCCCTTCACTTCTTTACTCTCGGCAGCTCAACTCTGCTTTTCCATAGAGTTGGTTTTTTGAGCCTCAGTTCTAATACAGCTTGTTGGGTTATTGCTAAACTGTTTCCAAATCATCTTGATTCCTAAGTTCTCGTGTCAATGAAAGTTTTAGTTGCCTCCCATGTGTATTTCTTGGTATTGTAAATGTGTCTGACTATAGCAGTAATGTTCCTCCCTTCCCAGTAGCTACTCTGATAGACTGGGAAACTGATAATCATGATTATTAGACAAACAGCTAAAGCAAACCTAAATAGAGTGTTCTTCCTTGAAAGTACCTGCTCATCCTTGCAGGAACTTTCAGTTTGACTCTTGGAGGCCTTTCTTACTGGTTCTGGAAATGTTACGCATTGAAGACTAATAGATGAACCAAATCCAGATAGATGTTTCCTATTCAGTTTTCTTCATTGTCGTTTTCTCTAAGTTTATCAACAGTATTTTGTATGATTTGACCATAATTCAGAACTCAAACAAATAAGCTTTTTAAATGCTTTTTAAATTTGTCGTATTTATTCAAAAGCGGCCATAATTTCCTGGTGTTTATAAGCTTTCCATCAGGACCATTAATTAGTAACTATCTCAAGGTCACTTCCATCTTCACCTTTTTGTCCACCTTTTATGTTCCTTTCCACTGGTCTCTGACTCTTCTTTCTTCTCTGTGTTCTTGTTTTCCAGATCAAATCCAGAGCAAGGCCTGTAACAATCCTGGTTTCTACATTTACTTAAGTGAACTTTGCTAAAGGCTAAAAATTTCTGATACAAGAATCCATCATCAAAACTTTAGACACATTTGCACCTTCATTGATATAGCTTACTGTCTCTACCAGCTTGACAGTTTTCCCTTTGACTTTCAGATCTGTTTTGAATCTGTGTGTTCACATTTTGACATCATGTTTTAGAACTGTGATCTCGCATGTACCCTCTCTTCCTTAATCCCTCCAGCATTCCTTTTAGTCAAATTGCTATAGAAGAGACCTTAATTTGCATTTTCTAGAGTGTCTCTATTCCAGAGGATAGGTTAGGGATAGATGGCCAGTACACATTTTGAATTAAGTACAGCTGCCTTTTCTGAAGTACAAACTGTGCTTTGCATTGGAAAATGGGTTGTGCTGGCAGCAAAGCTGTGAGGACATCTCTACACCTCCGATGAGTTTGTCCACCTCTTCCCGCTACAACCAGTTTTCTTCCCCACTTTCCCGGTTCATTTTCTGCCGTATCTGTGGTGTGCATCGTCTATTCTTAAGTAGGTTTTCTTTTGGGTCTTTTTGTGTAGGTCCTATTTAATCATAAATGAAAAGCAGGAGGGCTTAGTGTCAAGCTCAGGTAGGAAGGAGAGCAGCAGCCAGAGCCCAGAGGAGCCTGCCCTCCTGGCAGGAACAGGTCATACCGCCTGGGCCACTTCATCTGGTACTGCTGCCTAGGAAACTGGTTTTGGCACCTGGTTTTGCATTAAATTGAAGAGTGTTTTGTTTTTTTAATTTCACGGAGTCACTGAGCAATATCATATTTAAGTGCCCCAGTGATAGTGAACTAGAACCTTCTGGGTCATGACATTACTTTGCCAAGGCAGTGTGCTACAGGAAACCAAGAAGACAAGTGAGTCTGTGACGGTGGAACTCGGCTTCCAGCGTGAGACTCACATTCCTGTGTCTGACCCAGAACCTCCCTCGCCCAGAGCCTCAAGCCTTTACATGGAGTAGTTACATTTTAAAATGCATTTACCATGCCGTTGACAAATGGGACTAGATTTGGCCTACTGCTCACAGAGGATTATTGGGTAGAAGTGGAAATTCCAAAGAAGTGAATTTTAAATTAGTTGGTTTGGGGGTTTGAAATTAAAGAGTTTAGTGTTTTAAATAAGAACCATAGAGCCATTTAATTTCCTACTCTCCCTATGTAGCTTTTTATTTAGAGACAATATAGCTAGAGCAGTAAAGAACATTTTAAGAAGAAAAATCTGAAACCCTGTCACCCTTTTACAGTATTTTTGATTTACATATATTCTTTTAAAATTTTTATTTGTTGAGTTAATTATTAAGATCCTGTGTGTCAAATATGATACGTTCTCATTCATGTGCATATGTGGGGTCTGGAGCTGTGTATCTAGTGATATTTTTTCATGTGTATTTCGTAATCTTCTAAGTAAGTAGCTCATGTCTCTGAAGCAAATGAGATCTATTTTTAAATGAAGAACCCAGAGACCCAGGAATTGCATCTTGAGGGCATAGCGGGAGTAGGGTGAGCTGTAGAATTTAGCTTTCCTTGCAGTCAGTATGCTCTAGGTTGTTTCTACAATTAAGAGAATGTCAAGAGTTCTGGTTCTAAAACATTTACTTGGTTTTAAAATTTAATTAATTTTGTTTACTAATGAAAGAGTTGTAATGAAAAAGTGGGTAGAAAGTCAGTAGTTTCAAAATTGTTTCTTTCTTTCCCAAAAGCCATTTTCCTTTGAGGTGCTGCATAGTTCATGTCTGCGCTCTTTCTTTTAGGAAGAACAGTCTTACTGAAAAGCATCACATTGTTTTTCTAGGGAAGGATCTGTCATCTCGGAGCAAAACAGATCTTGACTGCATTTTTGGGAAAAGACAGAGTAAGAAGACTCCCGAGGTATAAAGCCACGTACAGTTTCCGTGTTCCGCTTTAATACTGTCTGATTTTCACCTGTGTATAGGACTGTTTCTATCTATGACTAGTACTTTTCTGACAAACTTTCCAAAACACTTTGGAGGCTTCATGCACAGCCTAGATATGATCCTTTTCATAATATTAGTGGGTAGATAATGTTTTATAAGGAATCTTTAAAAAAAAGAATAAGTGTTTTCTGGTGTTTGGCTTTTGTTCTTTTTGTTTTGGTGTGAGGACTAGATTAAACTTGGGGAAGAACACCCATTGCCGATACAATCAGAGGGGAAAATATCTCTTCCATGGCCGAGAAGGGGAGGGATTTTGTCTGTTCTGCTCAAACTGCATTACTCCACTTGGAATGGAGGTGGGAGGAAGCATGTCACCTTCATTCTCTAGAACCAGCCTGTCCCATTCTAACAGCATTTGAGACAGCGCTAGATCAGCACCATCTATAAGGGGGTTTGATGGGTATTTCCTCTATTATACAATATTATTTGCCTTACAACTAGAAGAAAAGAATGGGGTGACTAAACTACACCCTCAATGGAATGAACTCCATAATTTATTCTAATTATTAAATTGGGCTGTATAATATTGCAAAGAATTTTTTGTGCTGTTTTGAAGTGTAAGAGACAGCCCTGGATATAGTTTGAGATATATTAGGATTATGGATTTCTAAAGATAACAGGCTAAAAGTATTTAGAACTGGCATTGTCTGAGAAAATCTGGAATATATGGTTGTGACCACTGTTACTCAGCTAATCTGGTATGTTGTACTGATGATCTTTTATTGGTTTGTAGCCAGGGCCCTTGGTGACCATAGAACAAAAAAGAAGACTTGGTTTATTGATTCCTGGCATTTTTCCAGACTGACAGAAATCTTTATTTCTAGGGTGGTGGTTTGTTTCTTAATAGTAATAATTTTTAGGGAGTCCAGAATTACCAGTGGTTAGAAGTCTCATTAGATGATTCCCTGTGCAGATTGGGACTGAATTCCTGGGTCTTTTAGCCCCTGTCTGCCCCTGCACCCTCAGCAGATGGAAGCAGCAGGCTGGGAAAGGATACCTGGCTTTGGTGCCTGCGCGGACTATGCTGAGTCACGGGATAGGCAGTGGTCACTAGGGAGGAGCCGCTCTGACATCCGGCCGTGCCGGCTGCTCCTTCACAAGGGGCTGCTGGAAAGAGCCATGGTCAGACAGGCTGGCTTCTGGTTGTACCTCTGCCCTCAGTGCTCACCGTGAGACCTGGACTACGCCACTCTTCCTTGTTCACCAAGGACATGGCCTCTGGCTTATCCCAGCCTCCTCTCCAACCCCTCTTCCTTGACTCTCTCAGTCGTCTCCGTGTCCTCAGGAAGAACTAGAATTCCAGTCCCGCGCCTCTTGAACTCCATCTCCTTTGCTCTGCCCAACAGCTGCCCCCACCCCACGATCACACCCTGAGCCTTTGTATCAACTCCACGTCCCTCCCATACCTTGAGATAACCCCCATCTCCCCAGCCCCGTGGGGCTCACGTGCCTTCTGTACTGGCGTTTCCACATCCCTGCACGTTGATCCTCTCTTCTGCCTGCTGCTCACCCACCACCCCCAGCCTTTGCCCTCCCGGACACCCTCTATGAAAATGTACAGTTGAACAGATCAGGGAGGGAAATGTTACTTGTGGGCTTTTGTAGAACTTTAAGAGAATTTATGTGTTTGGTGCAGAAAGCTCTTAGTTGTAAGAGATCAGAGGTTTCTGATCCTCTGGCAGATTTCTGTTTGAGAATTTATTGGGTGTTGGGTGCCTTGAGGTTTTCAACACTGTGTGGTGTTACTTGACTCTTTGGTAGCTAAGTCATGTTAAAGTGAGACATCCACCTGTGTTTGAGGAGCTTCAAAAGCAGTTCCCTAATGCTAGCCCCAGGAAAATCTCTTTTGGTCCAGTGTGTGTAGAGATGATCAACCTTGATGCAACATCGTGTTTTGTGTGAGATTTCCATTAGTCACATCTCTCTCTCTCTTCCAGTTCAGTGTTTTCTTCCAGTGATAAATTTAGGTCCTACCTGTTGGTGAGGTGGTCTTCTACCAGGCCCTGCTCTCCGTCTGTAGCCATAGTTCTCAACAAGGTCGTCCTGGCATTGCCTAATGAGCTTTAAACAAATGCTAATGCCAGGGTTCTGCCCAAGACCGATTAAATTAAATCTTCGGTCAGGGTCCAGGTATCTATATTACAAAAGGAGAAAAATTTAAAAAAAATTTTTTTTTAATTCCTCCCCAATTGTTGCAGCAGTTATTCTGACGTTCAGTAAGGAGCGAGGGTTGAGAACACGGGGATAGCCTGCCATGCAGCTGTACTGAGAGCTTCTGGCTTCCGGGTCGTGAGTAACCCTGAGGACAGAGCTCCTCAAGTCCTGCCGTGTGTACAGGTCTTCCCTGTCAAACTGCAGATTCCAACTCAGGAAGCCTGGGCGGGGGCTGAGAGCCTGTACATCCCCATCCGAGGAGCCCCCAGGTGATACTGCTGCTGACCTGTGTGCCACACTGAGGAGGTCGCGTCTAGGCAGTATTTTCCTTTTGACATGCCTGCATGTGTGCAGAAAACAGAATCTATTTAAATGTAATCACATTTAAGACAAACAGAGTATCTTTCTATAAAGCAAAATGACCTCTACATTTATCTTTGACATCCTTGTGGATGTTCATATGTTAAGTTTGCTTTTATTGAGGTATACCGGTACCTTCCTTGAGTAGACTATTGCTAAGAAACCTTAACCTTGTTAGTTACAACAGCCCTTATAGTCAAAGGCAGGAGGACTTTGATCAGATTTGTTTGAAAATACAACCTCTTTCGGCTCCCATCCTCAGTTGGCGGGAATGTTGTATGTTGTTGCTTCGCTTGACTCTCATAGCTCCGTCGGTCTGGATTTATATTTGGCATTGCAGAGGCCAAGGTGTTGCTGGAGGTCACCTCCCTCCAGAGTCCTGGAAACCGTGGTAGTGCGGGCCACTAAGGTAGCAGTAGCTCTGTGGGTGCTCTAGTTAGGTGCCGATGCTGATCTGTCTTCAGCATCCAGAGTTCCAGAACGTTGGCGTTAACCATGTTCTTGGCTTGGGTAACAGCATCACCCTTGCAATAAGGGAAGCCTACTGATTTTAATTTCTACAGCTCCTGACTGCCATCGTAGAATTCCAATTTTATTAAGCACCTGTGTGCCAAACCCTGTGCTGGATTTTTCTCATTTCATCCTCACAGCAATCCCGTCATGTAAATATCAGTATCTCCTCTGTAGCAGTGAGGAAACTGAGGCACAGAGAGAATTGTTAGAATGCTCCAAAATGGCACACGTGGGCTTTTAAATCTGTGTCCGTCCAATTCCAAAATCAGCCTTTCTCCGATAATACAGCAGTCCTGCCGAAGTTAATGAACTCTTTCTCATTTAACAAAAAATCTACATTGAAGGGGGTTAGTTAGGCCTTAGCAGCTTCTGTTGAGCTTCACCAGAGACACCAGTGGTTGATGCTGTATCGTAACTTTGTGGGAAAATGATTGGCTGTTGCTATTTTGTGGAAAATAATGGTTTAAATTTCAAAACTTCTTTACCTTACCTGTAGTCAGAGGTGAGCTGTTAGGGGTTGACAAGCATGTGACCAGGTGTCCAGGCCAGCCTGAAGAACGACTTGACTTCCTTATTGGCTGGAGGCTGAATTAAGAAAGAGCTTGAGCATCTGGAGCATAGATGTTGTGTTGCTTGTGTATTTTTTCGTCTCTCTATTGAACTGGATGATCTGAATGTATTTATATCTAAGAAACATCTGCAGCCCTTGATTAATAGTCATGAGGGTTTTTTCTTTAACTTTTTATAGATGAACAGGATGTTGCAAAGATAGTAAAGGGGTTCTGTGTACCCTTCATCTGGTTTTCCCCAGTGGTTACATCTTACGTAACTACAGTACAGCATGATGAAACCAGGAAATTGGCATTGGTACCATCTGCTCATACAGCTCTGTGCCCCTTTATCACATTTGTGGATTGTGTAACCATTATTATCTCAGTGAAGATCCTGAACTATTTCATTACCACCAAGGCCTCCCTTGTGCTAACCCCAATCATAGTTGCATACCCCTCCAACACCGCCCGTGACCCTGACAATCACAGCTGCCGACAGAATCGTCTGATTAGGAGTGGAATATCGTGTGTACAGACCACATGGTCTCTCCGTTTGATGCTGAGGCTGCTCAGATCTGCAGGGGTCACTACCCAGTGCTAAAGGCCGATTGTCGTTTCCATGATCTACTTCCTGCACTTAGCCATGCTCAGTGTTATTTTCTATTTTATGAGTCTTTAGAGAACTCCTTGTAGAGATCAAATCATTTGATGTCTTTAAAGTTCACTCCAATTGGTTAAATCATTTACTTAATAACTTCAGGGGTATGTTAAACTGTGAAGTGATATGTAAGTACAAAGTGGTATCGTGACCAGTTTTGTCATCTGTAGCCTGCTGGTGTTGGAGAGCTCATGGTGTTGGCAGTATCTCAGGGTACACTCACTATAGTGAGTTTGTGACCTCCTTTAAATTGCATGCAAAACATGTGTGGGCCCATGTGCAGAGCTTTCATTGGATTTTCGAAGGTGTCCTTGGTCCAAAAAGAAGCTTTAAAATCTAAGACTATGCATTTAAAAGTCTTCATTCAAAAAAAAATTACTTAAAATGTAAATTTTCTTTGTGCGCATAGTAGGAATGAACTTTGTGTTGTGTAGTGGAACAAACTATGCCAAGTAAAGAATGTGCTCTCTTAATTATTTTGAATATAATGTATAGAAATTAAAAGAAAATTATATCAAAGCGAAACAACAATCCAAGCTAAATGCAAGATTTCTAGGACATGTTTATGAAACTTAAATCATGCTTTCTGTCCTCTCTCTGACCTTTTTGCGTCTAATAAAGAAATTGCTAGCTGGGCACAGTGGCTCGTGCCTATAATCCCAACATTTTGGGAGGCCGAGGCGGGAGGATTGCCTGAGCTCAGGAGTTTGAAACCAGCCTGGGCAACATAGTGAGACATCGTCTCTACCAAAAATTTAAAAAATTAGCCAGGCTCAGTGGCATCCACCTGTAGTCTCAGCTACTCAGGAGGCTGGAGATGGGAGGATTGCTTGAGTCTAGGGGATTGAGGCTGCAGTGAGCTATCATCACGCCATCGCACTCCAGCCTGGGTCACAGAGTGAGACCCTGTCTCAAAAAAACGAAGAAAAAGAAGAAATTGCTTCACTGTGTTTTACATGTGGACTTTTTCATTTGTGGCATACACTGGCTAGCGAACACCTTAGAGAGGATTTTTGTTCTCATTCCTGGGTCCCCAGCATGTGACTGGCTCCAGTGCTTGGCACGTGGTAGGGATTCAGTCAGTTGAAGCCTCATCATTCTTCTCTTTTTAAAAAATGGACTTTGTTGCCATAAAAATCATGGTTTGTATAGCATCATGGTTGATATTTGAAATGTCTTTTCCTTTTGAAACGTTCTAATAAATAAGTATTTCTTCTCTGAGAGTAGGAAGTACTCATAATCTACATTCTACGCCATGCACAATCTACTTGTGGATTCTTGAGAAAGGATTATTGAATAAATGTTTGCTCACACCATTTTATGTTTTTAAAAATCAATCCAATTTGCCAGAAACTGGCTTTCAGACCTTGCATTTCACTCTAGAATAGTTTTTCACAGCTGTGGCTGTTTTTCATTGCTCAGAAGATAAAGCATTCCTACTGCTTGAAGGACTCTCCTCTGACTTCATTGGTGCTTCGTATTTCCTCCAGACACAGCAGCTGTCAGGAGGCGCTGTTTCCCTGCTGAATCCGGCTATTCAGAAGTACTTGCTTCAATGGTGAAAGATCATCACGAACTGCCAGTTGCTCAGAAAACTTCTCATAAACTGTTCTGTGTGGGGACGGCTGGTTGCACATTTCTAATTTCCAAGTTCTTCCTTTTCCCACCATCTTTGTTGTATATTGATTTGGAAGATAATAACTGGTTTGGAGTGCACCTAAATTGGAGATGTATGCACTTTCTGTGGAGACAAAGAAATGATCGAAGATAATGAATTGAGATTCCCAGGGCCCCTTGAGACCTGCAGCAGGTACTTGTGCTGACCGGTGCCTGCCGGGGCCTGTGTACATAAGCGTGTGTCTTCTCTCACTTGGTTTGCAATTTGAAGTTGGAGACACTGAAAAACAAATTCCATCAGTTCCTATCTGGTTGAACTTCCTGCTACTCTTTTTTTTTTTCCTCTCTCATTTTTTTCCCTCCCCCACCTTCCCAGTTTCCTTCCTCTCTCCAGCTTGTTTCCGGATTGAGCCTTATCACTAGAGAAAATACTCCGAAACCAGAGTGAGGATGGAGAATGTGTTACCAGCATTCTCACTTCGTTTCTCTGTCTAGCATGCTTCTGGCATGGGCTCCTGGCAAAATAATTCTCCTTTTCTTCACCTCTCTAACCTGATTGAATTAGAACCCTCATGAGAGTTTCACTCTCCCAGGATACCAAATCAATAATCATTTTCCTTGAAATTCTTCTGCTGGCTTTTGCTTTTTGAGGCAAAGCATGACTTCTTTGCAGTTTGTGTTCCTTTCTCGTCTCTGTCAATCTCCTTTTTTTCCCCATTGCTTGCTGATTATCCAGTCTGAAAATGAATTCCGAGCAGACGCTTCTGCTTTGCTTGGTGGAATTCATGAGGTATTTTGGACCATTCATTTTTCTGGTTGGATTCAATGCCTTAAGTTCCTCATGGGGAAGATCACTGAGAAGAGTCTCTTTATTGCCTTCATTTTTCAAGTGCCTTTTAATTCAAGGGTGTTTCTCCTTTTCTGAATTTTCACACTGATACCCAACATTTATGGTTAGGTGATTTTCAAGAGGGGTTTATAGGAGGTGGATCCCCCTTCCTGCACCTATCGCTCTACCCTCCCCCCACTCCACATCTGGACACCAAAGTAATCTTCTAATTAAGAACCTTGTAGTTAGGGAGAACTATAAGCCCACAAACAAGCCAATTAATACACTTGAGTTCCAAAATTCATTTTTTCCCAACAGTGATGACTTCAGTAATTCTTGTCATCATTTTGACCATTGATAACAGAATCCTGATTCAAAATGATCACTGTGAGCTGGGACAGTTGGCCAAAACATTTTCACTGCTTTAAGGTGAAAGCTTAGGAAGATATGTACAGTCATTTACTTCTAGAAAGATCTAATTTGCTAGCAGCTAGATGAAAATTAGTTAGAAGGTAGGACATGTATCCTGACCACAAGTTTAACCTAAGCCAAATTGTGTCTGGTCGCACCTGTCCTGAGCGCAGGCTGGGCGGTGTCAGGGAGGCTGGGCGGTGTCAGGGAGGCTGTGCCCACTTGCTGAAAGCAACAGACTTGTAGCTTGTGTTCCTCACAGGTGACTGTGCTTGAACGGCTCTGTGCGGGCCTGGGTGTCATGGGTGTCATGTTTTCAAGGAGTACGTTCAGGGAATTGCCTTCAGGGACAGTGGCGTCTGGAAAGCATGTTATGCACAGAAACAGATGGAAGAAATGGGTGTGGTTATCAGGGTGACAGTTTGGACAAAGGAAGAACTAGCACTGACTGATGAAATTCATCGAAAGGTAACAACTCAGGAAAAGGAAGCAGCCTGCATGGGCTGGCAGAG
The DNA here is from genome assembly GCF_000001405.40 of Homo sapiens. NCBI lineage: Eukaryota > Metazoa > Chordata > Mammalia > Primates > Hominidae > Homo > Homo sapiens. The sequence continues at coordinate 10,812,501 of NC_000008.11, read as the reverse complement.
CTGCTGGCCACAGTGCACGTCTCCTTGGGAGTGCCCTGTGCAGGTTCTGGTACCAGGCAAGAGTCCCAGCTAAATGCATTCAAGCCCTTCCAGCTCTGACCTTCTCTCATTCTGGAGTAAAGAGAACACGTGAAATGATCACATTTGAAACGGTGCTGGAAGGTTTAAGTCTTGACTTGAAGTTTTACGTTTTCCTCGACCACAAAGGAGAGGACATTACTTGGATTCTTCTTGATTCTTACATACTTGAGCAATTTTGGCTTTATCTACTTATGCGCTTTATTCAGTAGATGAATGTGAAAGGCTCTTGATGTGTCCAAACAAGAGATCAAATAGACTTCAGGTAAAATAGCAAGTCATCTGTCTTAGCAGATTCAAGACTTAAAGAGTAACTGCAACTGTTGAGTGTCAAGGTGAAGTTACCTTCACCTTGGGTAGGGTGTTCCAATTTTATCTGTAAACTCAGTTATCTATAAATGAGTCTTGAGTTACTTGTTTGTGTAGCAGATTCTGTTTTCCAAAGATGGCCTCAGTGATACCTCTCATTCCACATGCTCTTCTAAGTGGGCCCTTACCACCTCCACACCAGGAGGTGGAGTCTGGCCCCCTCCCCTCTACCCAGGTGGGCCTGGAACTTGCTTGTAGCCAAGACAGTCTAGCAGTAGGGTTCCAGGTGACTTCTGAGGCCTCGTTGGCTGGAACACTTGCTCTTGAAGCTTTCATGTAAATAGTCCAGCTGCCCCGAGCCCCAAGCTATGAGGAGGCCCGGTGCCCAGGCAAGCCCCCGTGGAGAGACCATGATCAGTGAGTTATGCAGGCACCCCGAGCTTGCCTGGGGAGCAGGTGCCTGGCCAGCTCCCCGCTTTGCTAGCTCTCCCCACCTTTTGACAATATCCGCGTGAGAGACCCTGAGCCAGGACTGCCCAGCCCAGCCCTTCCTCGAATTGCTAACCCACAGAAATAGGGTGAACAGGGAAATGGCTGATATGTTTGAAGCCACTGAGTGTCAGGATGGTTTATTGTGTAGATAAATGAAATGGCTGTCTTAGGATTTGTCTTCCTGTGGTTCTGTGATTAGACATTGATACCTGGTATCAAATATATATACCTGGTAGAACCATCTGAGCCAGTAGAATGAGGAAATCAGGTCATCTAATGAATGTTCTACTCTGGTTTCTTCTAAAGGGCAACTGGTTCAGGGCCATATAGTGTTGTGAATAGGCACTTGAGATCTCGTTTCATATGCCTGCATTTGAGCCCAAGAGTAGTTTGAAGACTGTGTGATTTGGGGCAAGTTATTTAACCTCTCTGAGCCCCAGCTTCTTCATTTGTAAATGGGGATAATAAAAGATCCAGGGAGGATTAAATAATAAGCCATGAAGAACTCTTAGCGAAGTGCCCAGCACATGGTAAATGCCCAGTGCAGCTTAGCTGCTGCTGCTGTTGAGACCACTGTCGTCACAGTCAGCACCAACACTCTCACAGTTTAAAATGGCCAATAATAACTTATAGGAAACATCCTTTGGAACTGAGAAAATTGTATCTGTGTGTGCGTAGTCACAATATTTAATATAAACCTACTGAGTGAACAGGGTCATTGCTGAGAAGCACGTCCTTCTCAAAGTCCTCTAGTGAAGTGACTCCTGTCTGCCATTTTGCCATTACAGCAGTGGTAGAGGACATCCTAACGCGTCAGTTTTGTTTAATTGATGTTGAAGATAAGTAATGACTAAGGCAGTGACCTTCTAATACCATGTTCTCTGCAGTTTTGGGTGGAAGTACAGACATTTGGTTACTTGTTTTCCTTCACAGTAGTGAGCACCTGCTGACATGCTCGGTAGTTCCCTTGTTGACTGCTTGCCTTCCCTTAGGAGACTGGGATCCCCGTGAGGGCAGGAATTTTTATATTTCCTCATATCTAGAATTATGCCTGGCATGGAGTGGGTTCTCAATAAGGTTCTTGCTGAATTGAATTCATCTGTTGAAATATGCCTTGAACAATCTGGGGACACAGGAAGGGAGCTGCTCATGCTCACTGAGTCTGTCAGGAGGCACAGACACACAGAAGAATTGGAAGTTGAGCTAGGCCTGAAGGGTAGGAGTTCTCTGGCTGGACAAGGCATCAAAAGGCAAAAGCAGCATGAGCCACGACTTGTCCCGGCCTCCAACACAAATGCCAGTGGGGTCCAGGAATATAACTAGCAATGTGGAAGTCATCGTTAAATCAGTTGGGAAGGAAGGAAACAGTAGTGTCTTGTCTGAAGGCTTCTGATATGGTTTGGACGTGTGTCCCCTCCAAACCCCATGTTGAATTGTAATCCCCAGTGTCGGAGGTGTGACCTGGTGGGAGGTGTTTGTGTTGTTGGGGCGGATCCCTTATGCATGACTTGATATCCTCATGGTAATGAATGAGTTCTCACTCTGAGTTCACACGAGACCTGGTTGTTTAAGAGCCTGGCACCTCCTCCTGCCATCTGGCCATGTGATGGGCTGGCTCTCCCTTCTCCTTCCACCATGATTGGAAGCTTCCCAAGGCCTCACCAGGAGCAGATGCCATCGGCACACCTCCTATGCAACCTGCAGAACTGTGAGCCAAAATCAAACCTCTTTACTTTATAAATTACCCAGCCTCACGTATTTCTTTATAGCAATACAAAAACAGACTAACACAACTTCGAAGATTCATAAAATTAGAATGATGAACGAGGATGGTGATGATAAAGTGTGTGATTGCATAGCAAAGACGAGCTCCTTAGAGCCGCTTTGATGAGTGTGCTGTCAGTGGACATGTTGAAGATGTGCTTCTTGTCCTGGATGTGTGAATGTTCCTATCTGTCCTCCTCTTGAACTTCACTTCTTTGTGTTTTCAGTGCCCTCACAGCATAGGAACAGGTAAGAAGCTTAGAGAACCCACAGTGCAGTGGGATATTGGCTGGCTGGAGTGACTTTGGTGTGAATAGTGCTTGAGATGGGTTACTCACAGCCTCTTCTAATTCAGAGTGCAGGGAAAATGAGCCCTGTGAGTAAGAAGCATTACAGAGCTATATTTTCTATTGAGCACAGCTTTTGATAAAAGGAAGAAGAGCTAAATATTGACTTTTGGGGCCTGTTCTGTCAGTGGTCTGTAAATCAACAGATAAATTATTGCTCTTCAGAAACAGGAAGGCTACTCTTTCGCTTGAAGACATGTGTGCCTTTCTTTTATTTGTTCTTTCTCTTTATTGGTAGAGGATCTTCCCTCCAGCCACTTGCTCCTTAGGGGTTTTGTTAAGGACTGAAGGGGAACTGAAGGGAGCTCTTTTGATTTATCTTCTGTTCTTTCCTTTTGGTCACTCCACAGGGCTAAAATAGCCGAGTTGGCTTTAATGTGTCGCCATTAGAGACCAAACATTAGCTGAAATAAACCATCATACCTCACAATGAAAAATGTCCTCTGATTGGCTAATTAATCAGTCAAAGGGGAATGACATGGCTCTCGGCTTGAGGGACTCTGCTAGAGAGAAACAGGCTGTTGATAAATGGTTTTCCAACAAATTCATATATCAAGGAAACTTAGTCATTTTTTAACTACAGTTTGTGTGACTGCAGTTTTTTTTCCAACTTTTCCTTTTCTGCTGCTCTTGCTTTTTAGGCTGTGTTTTTGTGTTGTTGATAGAAAAATATAGGAGTTTAGATATGAGAAAATAAATGCTTCCTACTTATTCATGTCAGATAGGCCGATTGGTTTTGACTATCTAGGTTTACCAATAGGTGAAAATCAGATTGTTTTTCCCAAGATGAAATTATCTTTTCCTGGCTTCCTTCCGAGTTAAGATCTCCAGCTTCTGGTCCACATTGCGTGAGTTAAAATCTTGGCTCTATCAGTTGCTAGCACTGCGCTACTGGACACGCTATGTAACCTCTCTGTACTTTAATTTTTGTATCTTAAAACAGGGATAATAGTAACATCATCTATTAGGACTGTTGTCAGAATTAAATGAGATCACATTAAGCATTTGAACAATGACTCATAGATAGCGATTATGTGTTAAATGCTTGTTATTTTTTAATCAAAGTAATATACGCACCTAGATGTAAAAAAATTAAGCTCCGCCAAACAGCTTTTAAAGAAAGAGCATTCTGTAGTCATCCTTGCCACTCCACCTCACAAGCCTCCTCCCTACAGCACTTTCAATTCTTCCTCAGTTATTTGGTATTTACCTTCATATTTTACAATAATAACTTGCATTGACATTTTTCCATGTCATAATTTTTAAAATGTGGACTTCTGTTTTGGTAGATTAAGATCTGGGCCTTTACACCACTCAAACTACTGATTGTATTGTATAATGATTAGTGAATTTGTTATTTGGGGTTTATATTTTTATTGCTATGTAAATATCGTACCCTGCTAAGCCAAATAGTGTACAATAATAACATTTCCTGTAACAATTTTTGGTTGTTTTCTGATGGGAAACAAAAGCATTCTGTATATCTGTGTGATTTTGTTTTTTCCCTCTAGACTCTTTGGTAGCCTCTTAATATAAAACTTTCAGTGTGTCAGCTGCATCAGATCATCTGTCAGCTGGATCTGTCTCCCAGGAGACCTCTCTCTTAAGATTTCCACCTCCCGGCTCCCTCAGGACTAGGTGCTGGCTCGGCCATTTCCCTGGCCTCCTGGACTTTTCCCCAGCCTTGCTCCTTTTAGCTCCTCTGTGTCCTCACTCATCTTCCACAGCTTTCTGAAAAGGGCACAGGTCTGAAAATCTCTATTAATACTGTGGCAGATGGTCTGGGTATAGAATTCTGAGTTGAAAATCATTTTCCTTCAGCATTTTGAAGGTATTACTCTAGTGTCTTCTGATAGCCATTGTTGCAGTTCTTATTTTAGTCCTTAGCACAGACCTGTTTATCTCATTTTCAGAAGGTTTTAGAATCTTAACATGCTCAGATTCTAAAACCCTATGGGAATGAGTTGGTTGGGCGTTTTTATTCACCAGGCACTTGGTAGAACTTTCAGTATGAAGATTCATATCCTTTCATGAGTTCTGGAACATTAGCTGTTTCATAATTTTTTCCCCTCTGTTTTGTCAGGAAGCCAGTAGTTGAAGCACTGACATCTTGAATTCCTCCTCAGATTTTTCTTTTGTCTCCAATTTTACTGTATCTTTGTTCTACTTTGGTGGGGGGGGGGGTGGGGGGGGGATTTTCTTGATTTTTATTTTCCAACCTTCTTATTATAAGGTAAGTTTTGCTGTCATATTTTTAATTTTCAAGAGCTATGTCTTACTATCTCATTGTTATTTTTTAATAATGTCCTGTTCTTGTCTCACGGATACAACCGTATGTTCCTTGGCCTCTGGAGGCATTGTGTTTTTCACACATTCGCAGATTGTTTTCCTGTCTTGGTCCTCTGAGTTCCTCTTTTCTTTTGGTTTTGGTTTGCTCCCTTCATGAGGGAGGATTTCCCCCACATAGTCCGATGATCCTTTGCCGTCTGCTGTAATTTAACAGTCAATTAATGAAGAGCCATTTGGAAGCTGTTTGCAGAGGCAGCCTTCTCAGATGGGGAGTTTGCCATTTCCTTAGGGAACCCCCAGATGTCAGAGTTGGCGGGTCTTTCTGTCACTGGGGCTTGGCTTCTCTAGAGAAGCCCTCTCGCTGGGGCCATGGACGTGGGCTCTGGTGGACTAGTGGGGAGGTCCTCCTACATGCCCTGGCCTCCCTCCTGTCAGGAGCGCCTCCCCTGCCCTCCGCTGCATCCTAGGGCCTGCCGGCAGAGCCTCTGGGGGTCAGTTTTTCCAGGGGTTATACCTTCTGTTCCCTCACATGTTTCTCTTGTAGAGGAAACACTGGCTGCTGTTCCCCACTCTGGAAAGTGGTTGGGCCATTAGGCTCAGGGTATTCAGCAAATCGTTATTGAAGGAAAGGAGTGGAGAAAGACTAAGAGAAAACCCTTTCAATTCAAAAGTGTAACAAACCCTTTTCTCATCCATCATTTCCACAATGTTATAAACTGTTTCCTCTCAATACATGTGAGGGGGGTGGGAATGGTTGCATTTTTCAAATCTTAGACCTGGCATCATTCCCATTTTAAAACACAAACAGAAAACACAAAAACTTACTCTGTTTGCTCCTCAGATTTACTTCCTTATGAGTTGTATTTAAGTACGGCCGTGGTGTCATGGAGACCTCTCCCCCACACGTGCGTCCATGAGCTCCTACTGCAGCTTGTTGGATCCAAGCCTGAAGAAGGTTGAGAAAGCCCCCACTGTGCAGTGAAGGAGATGGTGCTCTGCCTCCTCCCTCAGCACTAGTGTGGCCCCTTCCTGTGCTCCGTCACCCCCTCAGCACTAGTGTGGCCCCTTCCTGTGCTCCGTCACCCCCTCAGCACTAGTGTGGCCCCTTCCTGTGCTCCGTCACCCCCTCAGCACTAGTGTGGCCCCTTCCTGTGCTCCGTCACCCACTCAGCACTAGTGTGGCCCCTTCCTGTGCTCCGTCACCCCCTCAGCACTAGTGTGGCCCCTTCCTGTGCTCCGTCACCCACTCAGCACTAGTGTGGCCCCTTCCTGTGCTCCGTCACCCCCTCAGCACTAGTGTGGCCCCTTCCTGTGCTCTGTCACCCCCTCAGCACTAGTGTGGCCCCTTCCTGTGCTCCGTCACCCACTCAGCGCTAGTGTGGCCCCTTCCTGTGCTCTGTCACCCCCTCAGCACTAGTGTGGCTTCTTCCTGTGCTCTGCCACCCACTCAGCACTAGTGTGGCCCCTTCCTGTGCTCCGTCACCCACTCAGCGCTAGTGTGGCCCCTTCCTGTGCTCCGTCACCCACTCAGCACTAGTGTGGCCCCTTCCTGTGCTCCGTCACCCACTCAGCGCTAGTGTGGCCCCTTCCTGTGCTCCGTCACCCACTCAGCGCTAGTGTGGCCCCTTCCTGTGCTCTGTCACCCCCTCAGCACTAGTGTGGCCCCTTCCTGTGCTCTGCCTCCTCCCTCAGCACTAGTGTGGCCCCTTCCTGTGCTCTGTCACCCACTCAGCACTAGTGTGGCTTCTTCCTGTGCTCTGCCACCCACTCAGCACTAGTATGGCTTCTTCCTGCAAGTTAAGCATCAATCTTCGAGTACTCTGGTTGTCTAAAGTGTATCATGGAAATATGCCATTCCTAACTTATCTTACTGAAACATGGGGTGGGTTGCAGAAAGTGCTCTGAACCTCCATAAATACATGCTGGTTGTTATTACCCTGACGTGGATGTCTTTTGCGTGTGCCTCCTGTAGCCAGCAGGCTGTCTGTGCTGGATGGTTCCTCCAAGCACGCCCTGCAGGAGGTCGCAGCAGGTCAGGTAACTTGCCCCTGGCTCCATTTTCCTTTCCCACAGAAAGAATGTGAGGTGTTCTGCCAGGAGAGACAGGCCTCACCTATTGCATTTGCCTTTCTTAGTAATAATAATTGTCCTATTGGGAAAGATTAGTGGAAACTGTATTTGTGATGTGGAAGAGAAAAGAGGAATGAGCTGAGTGCCACCAGTCTTCACTTCATTCCGAGGTGTGAACTCCCTTTGTAGCGTCAAACCAAGTCTTCTCGGGGGTCCTTCTTGAGTTTTTGATTAAAGTATAGGCAGGGTCACTTCATATGAGAATGATGTTGAGTAGATTAAACCCATACCCAGGGTTGTGGGGGACAAAGTACAAGCACTAAGCACATTTTTAATAATTGGATATCTTACTTAGCTAGAGTTGTTGGATCTTGAGTGTGATCTGTGATTTCTTTTTTTTTCTTTTGACATTACCAGGGCCTGCTAATTTTGTATTTTTAATCCTCCAGCATTCATCTTGCTTTTTCATTCCTTCCGATGAAACCATTCCTAATCATTATGACCCCTAAATTGTAATCCTAAGTAGCCTCCCCGGCCCCAGTGTTTCCTACTTGCAGGGCATCCTTTCAGAGCGTTTTGAGAGCTTATTCTCAAAATCGGCTCTTCTCCAATGCTGCTGTCCCATGTCAGCAGTGCCCAGCGTATGACAGATGCAGCTCCCTTAACACACACACCAGACCCTTGCCCAGCTCACGCTAATCTGCTTCCCTGATGCCGATGCTTGCTGGCTCCTGGTACGGACCTCCCGGGGCTCTTCTCACCCAGCTCTGTGTCACCCACTCTGCTGCTGCCTCTTTCAGGCCCCTGAGCACGTTCTGGCTCATTGTTTTATTTGGCAGGTTTTTATTAAATTCTTCTGTGCTAGGTACTGTTCTAGGCTCTGGTGATGAGAGTCACTGCCCCCGGCGGCTAACACCGCAGTGACATCTTCATGGAAAGTTTCCTCATCTCCATCCTGCCTCTCACTGCGCTCTGCGTTGGTCTGAATTTGCTGATTACTGTCTGCTGCCTGGCATGCTGTCCTTTCAACAGTGTGTGTCTTCCTCTTCTGCCCATATGACAGAGGCCATGGCTTTGTACTTTCATAGGCCCTGGCTCAGGGTCGTTAGTAGTTGCTCACTAGGTAACTAGGTAACTATATGAGTTCGTTGGTATAGTTAAAATGATAGCTAATTTGAACTTCTTTAATACTCATGGGAATCAAGGGTAGTTTTACATTGCAGGTTGATTTCCTTGCTTCTTAATTGATAGCCCTATGAAAGAATTAAGTTTCTCCTTCCTACTAAAATCCAGACACATTATCCACTATACTAAGAGTTATACAAAATTCACTTTCATAGTAAATCTGTTTTCAACAGAAAAAGAGTATTTTTCAGTCTAATAAAGAACCTACTATTTATGGTTCAGCCTTAGTACCACGGAAGTAGAACAAGCAGACCTTGTGTGCTCCTGACATAATGCAGTATAAATCTGAACTCTTCCTGCCAAAAAGCTGAACCTAAATCTAATCAAATCTCTAGAAGTATTTTTCATTCACAGAAAATATAAGTTATAGAGATGCAATCTTAGAAGGAAACAAACAAAAATCCAGAATGTGGGACAGAGCTCGAAACAATTGACCCAATTTCTACAATAAGTCAGTGGAATGAAAAAAATATGGGATTGTGGGAAAGAATAGGGTGTGGTAACTAGAAAAACCCTAAAAGATACAAGTATCATGCGCTAGTGTAGGCTTTATTTAAGAGCTGATTTGAACCATAAAAAGACGTCCATGAGCTGGTGAGGAAACTGATGATAGATCGCATTAGATGCCAAGAAATTATTGTCTGTTTGATTAGATGTGCTAATGGCACTGTGATTGTGTAAGGAAATTTCCGTACTTTTTAGTGGTTTTTACTGCAGCATTCAGGATGAAATGACTTGATGTCTGGGATTCACCTTAAAATATTTCAGCAAAGAACAAAGCAATGATGTAACAATGTGGCAAACTTTGTTAATTGTTGATAGGAATATTAGGGTTCACTAATTTTTTTTGTATATTTGAAATTTTTTGCACAATAAAAAAGTTTTTTTAATCTACTAATAATATGTTCTTTAATATTTATTTAGTCCCACCACAGAATGGTTTAATTTTGTGTGACATTGAAGTTCACAATGTCATGGTCATCCTGCAAGTGTGAAGTTGCTAGTGTCCAATTTATTTTTGCCCTCATATGTCCTAGTTTATTTCTTCCTTAAATCCTTTCAATAAGTCTTCTTGCTGTGTATACTAATATTAGTAGAAGTCAGGGCTGGAAGCAAACAAAGAGAAGAAAGATAGTTGTCCCAGGAGAATCCATATCTTGGTTCTTTACTGGAATATAATTCCCCAGTCCTCTGAGCAGAGCACCCCATCCCCCACCCTGGAGGTCTGGTACATTCCCTTCATAGAGATCTTCGCCCAGATCCCATGGGACCGAAGTGAGGTGTAGAAGCAGTAGAGTGCCTGGTTCCACCGGGCCCCTGCCCTCTGTGTACTCCTGGCTAGTGGGGAAATCAAGGTTGAGAGTAGCAAGCAGTTAGGAAGATTTAGGAATGCAGAGTAACCAATAGGTTTTTGTTGATACTGGATTCTGGCAAAGAGATAGGAGTTTCAGAATGGGAGCAAGCCCAAAAAGTAATTTTTAAATCATAAGATGATGGAGTGGAGTACAAAGCTATTCCAGGCCTGGGATATCCAAATTTGATTGATGTCTCCAGAGTGCAGGTTGTCTTCATACACGTCAACCTTGTTCTTGTCTGTGGGGTGAAGTGCTCCAAGGGAATGTCATGAGTGTATCAGTGTATGAGTGACCTGCTGTGTGTAAGTCACAGAAGTTTGTCTCCTTGGCAATTGTTCCCCAGGTGCGGTCAGCCTTGTGAGCTTCCCCCTAAAGCAATTCTCTGTTCCAGGGGAGGGAGTTCCCTGGCATTGAATGCTGCAGGCTTTTCGACTTATTCCAAGGAAGTTCTTGATTATGCTAAAGTTTTTTTTTCCCTTTGCTCTTCCGTCCCCCAAACTACCTTTTTAACTTGTTCATTTCTTTGAATCATTTGGGCCCTTTGCTTTTTCTTCTTTGTACATCTTCCAGTTTGTCAGTAGGATGTAGCTGGCACTTGTACGGCATGCATTGCATCTTCTGCTTCTCCATTGCGGGGATGGGGCAGTACTGTGAGATTGCTGCATTCCAGTGGTGCTTGTGCATTTCATGTTTTCCTTGACACTTCCTGTGACAAGCTCTCTCATGGGGCCAGGACGATACCCGTGGTCAGCGATGGAGGTTCCTTTATCTTTTAGGCAAATCTGTTCTCCTGGCAGTCTGGATTCTTGAGATATTGCTCACAGGTTTAAAGCATCCAGGAGCCAGGTTAGAATGATACCACAAATTCTTTTTCATTAGAGGTGGTTTGCTGTAGTTCTGTAAGGTCTGATTGCTTTAAAAGTCAGAAACTTAGGCTCAAGTCCCAGCTCTGTCACTGAGCCCTCAGTGTGACTTTGGATCACACTGGAAATTTTATAGCTGGAAAAGACCATCTAGGTCTTCCCTGGACTTCCAGAAAAGGAAACTGAGGTTTATAGAGGTTAAGCTTGCCCACTTCAGAGCTGGGCAGAGAGAATTCCAGCTTTTTGCTTCTAGGCGAGGGGACCACACCATACCTGCTCTGATCTTCTTCCTCCTCACTTGGGAAATGTGGATGACAGCCTATGCTCACTTTAGCAGTTGATGAAATTGTATGGATTGAAAGTACTTGGAGACTCTTTAAGGCATAAAGCAAATGTGCAGTCATCATTTTCTTGGAGGAAGTAAGTCTAAGCAGATAGCTGGGGCACCATCATCCTCTCCTCCTTTAGCATATGGGAGGGGAGTTGGAAGCACGCTTTCGTAAGCCATCATTGGAAATCCATCCCTTTCCTCTATTCACTTCCCCCTTCCTTCCCTTTCTGCAGGATAGGCGTGATTAATCTGTGGTACTGGGAAGAAGAGTTCACTGAGGTTTTTGTGTTCTGGAATTCGGTTTTCTACCAGCAGTGTCTTCCTAAAATATATTCCTCTTTATCTTGCTGAGATCATGATAAAATATAGAGCTTCTACTCCATTATCCATCTATTAAGAAAATAGAGAAAGCTGAAGAGACTGATGCCAGGGACTCCCCCAGGGGCCGCCATCTCACACTGACTCAGTGTCCATCTTGCAGAAAGGAGAGTTGGGACAGATTTGTCATCTGCATGCTTCAGTATTTGGGTCCTGTAAGCTGAGCGCCTGGATCAAGTGGTATGGTCTGAGGTGGGAAAGCAAAGAGAAGAGAGTGCTGTCCTTTTTCATTTGGGGCTAGTGTAACATTAAGAAATTTTACTTTATTCTTGGCCGGGCGTAGTGACTTAGGCCGGTAATCCCAGCACTTTGGGAGGCGGAGGCAGGCAGATCACTTGAGGTCAGGAGTTCAAGACCAGCCTGGCCAATGTGGTGAAACCCCATCTCTACTAAAAATGCAAACATTAACTGGGTGTGGTGGTGTGCACCTGTAATCCCAGCTATTCAGGAGGCTGAGGTAGGAGAATTGCTTGAACCCAGAAGGCGGAGGCTGCAGTGAGCTGAGATCACGCCACTGCACTCCAGCCTGGGCAACAGAGTGAGACTTGCTCTCAAAAAAAAAAAAAAAAAGTTTATTCTCAGTCAGATCATGTAAATAAACTCCATTCTATTGTTTTAGAATGATCATGACCAAGAAGAACCCAAGTTACTTATAACAGCTCTTTCAGTAAAAGAATCGCAAAATAATTATCATTGACATTATTTAAAACTCTGCGGTAACATCTGATTGCATCAGTGTCGTTTAGCAACAGGTTGACTCTTAAGTCGGACAAGTTCATTTATACATACGCAGTGTTCTTGTTCATGAATCCTTAAGAATAATACCAAATGCTGTACATCAGACTCTTGTTAGGTAATATTCCTGCACCCAAGGTCTCACTTTGTGGAAGTGACAGTGGAGATAGAAAAAATGTTATTTCCATCAAAACTGAGAAGGAAAACAATCCTAAAGACTAGCAGTAACAGATGCAAGAATGGTGTGGTGTAGTAGAAAGAGTCCGGGATGTGTCATCACGCAGACCTGGATCGCAGTCTCGGCTCTGCCCTTGTGAGTCATATGACCTTTGGCAGGAATTTAACCTTTCTGAGCCTTAGCAGTCAGCTAGTGGAATGACAAATAGCCCAGTAAGGACTAACTCAGACCGTGGTTGAGAACATGTTCCCTATTCAGCTTTGTTGGAAGTGGCCCTAACTTGGAAAAAACCTACTTTGCCCAGTAAAATTCCCAGCATCCATGTTCTAGTCTGTAGTCCTTGGACATTGTCCTCCCTTGATCCCCTGCCAGCGGCTCCTCTTACCTAATGGCCCTGTGTCATGTCCCGTCACTCAGACATGCAGGGATTGTGGTTCTGTCTACTGCACCCCAGTTTAGAGAGGGACAGTAAGTGGGATTAGACTGCTGTGGAGTGGTCACCAATGTGGTCTGAGTGGCTCCACTTTTGCCCGAATGCTTTCTCCCAGTCAGGCCGCTCACCTGTCCATTTCAAAGCGTATTGAAGTTGGACCTCCATAAGCCAAGCAGGTGTGTTGGGGAATGAACTGGAATCTTTGGTGGCAGGTCTAGAATGCAGAGTAAGAGAAATGGCAGAGCCAGGCAGAAGAAGGATGGAAACAGGAGCAGACACGTCTGTCCCATCATTTCCCCAGCAACTGTCAGGCCTCGGGGCCTCAAGGAGAACTGTTCGCTTGTAAAAGCAACAGCAAACACGTGAAGCATGAACACACCCTTTAAAGTCTCAACAGTTCTGTTGAGACCATCTTAAATTGATGATTGTATTCAAATATAGTTAACAGCATAAAACATAAGTTTATGTTTATAATAAAATTATTTAAGTGAATCTGTTACTTTTTGCAGGTACTCTGTCCAGATATAGATTCCAAATACACTGAAAAAAAAAATTGACAAACTAGAAAACCTTTTTTTAAATACTGTGTTTTATTGAAATAAAATTTAAATATTATAATACAGATGATCAGTTTCCCAAGAAAGTAGGAAGGGTTCTTACCTCTAATTTCCTTGCTGTGAAAGTGTACGTGAGTACAAACTCATTTTTCTAATATCAAATCATTGCTGCTTGTGCACAATTTGGGAAAACTGATTATTTTCTGAAAAACTAACACCAGGAGGAGCTACTAAGCAGTAATTGATTCACCGCCTCCAGTTCTAAGCTGGCAGAATCACCCGGTGGACTTATTAGAAATGCATATTGTAGGCTCTGGCTCGACACTAGAAATCAGCATTCTTAACAAGCTCCCAGGTAATATGGTATGTAATTTCAGAAACAGTGACCAGGCCATTAGACTGAAAATAATTCACCTTTTCTGAATTTAGAAAAGGTGTCTCTACCTTTTGAGAGAGTTGCAAAAGTAATTGAGGAGGAGATGGAAAGAGTTTAGTTTTACCTGGCTTACTGCCAAGAGACTTTCCTAAACGGCCATCGGTGCAGCTTTTGAATTGCCTGGTTGGCTTTTTTTCCCCAGGAGTCCTGGCTACATGTTTGACTGATAAAAAGAAGTTATTTTTCTCTTCTTTAGTAATTTCCACTGTTATATTTTCTTTTATATATATCAAGTGGAAGTGTAACTTCATATTGACTTCTGAAATCATGTGCTAGTTAAAAACTGGTAAAAATAATATGTTGCCACAGTCTCATTCTGATTTGTTTCCAATTACGTTTGAGGGAAATGGATTTGGGAGGGCCTGGAAGTCAACTTGAAGTAATAATTTCTCAAGGCTGGAGCCTGTGCTGCTCTCATTATTTCAGCAGCACACATGTGAGTATGCATACACGCACACTTCAGTGGGCATTTAATAAGCATTACCCAGGCCACATGGACTCTAAAAGAAATGCAGTTAAGTTTTCAAAAATGTTGGCTGAGCAGTTTATTCAAAGGCAGCCTACCCGTGTCCTACAAACATCCCAGAAACATGTGTGTGGATGGGGCAGTTCCAGGATGGAATCTGTCTCCCCGTCTATTCCTCACTTCTAGTGTAGCTGTTACTCCTGAAAAGTCAGTTCAGTACTTCATTATTTTCTTTAAGAATACTTGCTTTATTTCTGATAGAGTGAAGTAGTAAGGACTGTTTAGCTCATCATTTAGAATGTCCCACCTGCATGCATTGGTAGATGGCTGAGATTCTCCTGACATGGTTGTGTTAGTGTAGATTTCTTCTCTCCATCAGACAGTGGAGAGGTCACTAGTTCCTGCTGTACCATTTCCTAATTCAAATTTTTGAATAAATTATTTTGAATTATGAGTTAATACATCTCTGTGACTGAAAATAAGCTGTTTTCTTTCTCTTCAAATTATATGAAGGTATGAAAAGGTGGTTTGAGGCATCTTTTGCTGTGATGATGAAGTGCTAGAAATAAAGTGAATTTCAGGCACCCCTGGTGGTCCTCAATGCTTAGGTTTCTTCTGAATCTGATTCAGGGGTCCTCTTTTTATTTTGAATAAAATAGTGGCTTACATATATTCCTGAAGCTGCAGTAATCTACATGACTTAGGCCCTGTTTGTTTTTAGAAAGTTGTTTCTGTTTTTTTGTTTTAAACAACAATATTGTCTCCTATAACCATGTGTTCAAAACTTTGAGATCAGGAGAGGCCACTGTTGACTGTTTGAGGCTCTGCTAGCAGGCTTGAGCTAAGTGCAGTAGAAGTGTCTTCCAGCACACCCTTTCTGTCACACAGTCAGTGGCTTACTAACAACAGTAATGCCTTGTATTTGAGGGAGCTTTTGGTTTTTAGAGTGCGGTTGAAACACTGTTTCCTTCTAGGTCCCTGAAACACCAACCCTGAGAGGTAGGAACTACTCATGAGGAAGCTGACAAAGGTTAAAGTAACCTGGCTGAAGACTCAGACTAGTGAGCGTGAAGACCCCTGCTGAAAAACCAGGCCCTTCTCCCTCCACGGCAGCAACACTCTCCGTCACCCGCTTTACTGTACTGGAGGTTCACGTGTGTTACTGGGTAGGGGAGACAGAGAGTGGATCAGCTTCCATTCAAGCTGTGGGGCTGTTTCTTCTGCTTGGTTCTTACTGTCAGCATTGCTGTAGGGCAGAGTTTCCCAAAATGTGTTCCTTGGAACCATCAGTGTTGCTGGTAGATGTTTGGGTTGGGAGGAGGGGAGTGCTGATAGTTGTCATTGTCACATGCTCAGATACATTTGGGAAACACAGATTAAACATGTAGATATTTAACAATTTTTTTCATTGCATCCTTCTTAGAGCCTTTTATATGGTAATGAACATGGTTCATCTCTAAAACTTAATGTTACTTTTTTGACTGGAACCCTTTTTTTTTTTAACAGCTCTTAGTATAAGTTGAGGAAAGCTACACAAGGTTACTAAGGGGAAAAAATCGCAGATAAAAAATGTGGGCAGAGTAATGGATTCTTATCACCTGTCTGGAGTGAGCAAGTTTGTTTTCTAGGACTTCCCATATTTTAAACATTGTATCTTTTAAAGGAAATCTATTATCAGAATAGAACTAAACAAAGAGAACAGCAGCCCGGAAGGCATGCCTGGCCAGCTCAGTCCTCCTCTCATAGAGAGTTCTTCATTCCCTTTCCCAAGCTGCTCTCTGGAAGGGGGAGCTGATGGCTGAGTGAGTCTTAATGGTAAAGGCTGGATACGAGAGGTAGAAATGGAACTCATCGGATTCTTGCGGGTGTCTCTACTCTGGTTGAAATTAAACAAATCGCACCTCTTTTATTGTCCATTTCCCCCCGGGGATCCTGTGCCTTTCGCATGCCTGGAGTCTTTGACTTCAGATGGAAGTTCTTTTCCCCCAAGCTGCCCTGTTTCTTGGGTTTTGCTCACAGTCCCTTGGAAGCCTCTCTTATCTGAGCCAATCAAGCTCCTTCCATGCACTCAGCAGATATTCTCTGTGCTCTTCTAAGTCATTATCTGCGCTTTTCAGAATCTCCCATCCCGTTATCATTTGAACTGACTGGTTCTCCAAATCTCTAAGCTCTTTCACCACTTGGCCTGCAAAGTCATCAGCCAGTTCGCTTTTTGAAACACCTGTACCTTTCTTCTGTGACGATAATAGTTTGTCTTAAACCACCTTTAGGCAACTAAAGCAATGGCTCTGTTTTATTCATCCATACAAAGCTTTGTTCAGTTGAATGGGACAGAAGCTTAGGCATCATGAAAAAAAAAAATCAAATGGGATTTGTGAATAGGGCCTTTTTGTTGTTTTTTGCTAACTGTCATAATACTTGGCATTCCGTAACAGAGATTTTGGTTTAAAAAGTGAGATCACTTTACTTTTGACTTTACCTATTTAGGTAATACAGTATGCTTTGAGAGTCTTGGGATTTTTTCTTACAAGCAGTGACTATAAAAATAAGTCATAAAGTCACAAGTTAAAGACTTTTATTGGGCTGAGGCAGGTGGATCACGAGGTCAAGAGTTCGAGACCAGCCTGGCCAACATGGTGAAACCCCATCTTTACTAAGAATACAAAAATTAGCCAGGCATGGTAGTGTGTGCCTGTAGTCCCAGCTACTTGGGATGCTGAGGCAGGAGAATCACTTGAATCCGGGAGGCGGAGATTGCACTGAGCCGAGATCGCGCCACCGCACTCCAGCCTGGGCGACAGAGCAACACTCCGTCTTGGTGTGGGGGAGAGAGACTTTTAATTTTTACTTAAGGTGACGTTGATTGTTAAAAATTTTGCTGGCATCTTTAGAAAGGACCCTTTCTGCTTCATTGATTAGAGCAGCTAAGAAAGACAGCCTGGGAGCAAGCCAAGCCCTCTGTTTGTAGCCAGGTCAAAGACATTGCTATGAACTGAACTTGGCAGAGGCAGAGGTTTGATAATCCTTAGCCCTGGAGATTTGGTGAATTTTCTTACTTCGATATTAGGATTTTCACCCAACCAAGTGATTTGTTTTTTGAATGAATTAATCTTAGAATTTTGCATTTATAAAGTCAAGAAGCTTTTGGATTTTGTCTTCTGATTCTCTGAATGCATACCCACTTTCTAGATGAGTATAATATTTGTCCTTTTTAAAAGTATTTGGAAACGTGAGGTGTTCATTTCTAGCGTCACCCTCCTTTATCACCACCTGCATTCTTCAGCAATGTTAAATCTCTCAGTCTGACACAGATGGGAAGCTTGCCCTGAATAAATACAGTAGATAAATGGTCTTTCTGTTCCTGGGAGGAATTCAGAGCACTTGTTATATTGATGTCACTAAAAACAAAATGGAATCTTAAAAACATACATGCACTCGGATTTTAGTTTTAAACCCGTAAAAGTCTAATTTGAACGCATCTTCCCACTCATTTAAAAGTAGTAACAGCAGCTGAGCGCAGTGGCTCATGCCCGTAATCCCAGCACTTTGGGAAGCCTCGTGATCGGACGGATCACAAGGTCAGGAGTTCGAGATCAGCCTGGTCAACATGGTGAAACCCCGTCTCTACTAAAAATACAAAAATTAGCCAGACGTGGTGGCAGGCGCCTGTAATCCCAGCTACTTGGCAGGAGAATCACTTGAAACCAGAAGGCGGAGGTGTTGCAGTGAGCTGAGATTGCGCTAGTGCACTCCAGCCTGGGCAAGAAGAGCGAAACTCCGTCTCAAAAAAAAAAAAGGTAGCAACAGGCGAAGGGTTTGCTCCTTTTTACTTTGTAATACTGTTCGGATATTTTAAGTCAATATATGATGAAGCTACTTTTTGTGAATAAACAAAAGTTACTTTTCTGTGTAGGTTAACGGAAATATTTGAAATTTTAAGATCTGTATGTTTTAAATGTAATTTAAAATTTTATTTTTAAAAAATTGTAATTTAAAATTTTAATCGTGATAGATTACCAGTGATTGAGCATTAATATTTTGGTTCATCTGAGCCCATTTCTAAAAATACCCCTTCACTGCCACTTCATAACGTTCTCACTTTTGAAGAGAAAAATTAATGAAGAGAGTTATTCTGGTGACGACACCTGCTTAGCAACTAGCAAGTCCATTTTTTAAAACAGTTTACATTTGTTCAAATTTAAAAACATTCCTGATCTTTGAATGTAGTTATCTTCTCACACAAATGCTATGTTGAGCAGCGTAGCTTTTACACACCCCAGTGGAATTATTTTGTCGCCTCTTTGAATCTGTTACTAGATACTCATTGCAATATTTGTTTGAAGTTTATCTTGAGTTAAATCTGTACAGGTCATAAGGAATATACTAAGAGGCTCCTCAGTGACTCATGTTGTCATGATTTGTTACAACAGCATTAAGTGTATTCATGTTGCTGCTTTGACAGAGATCCCTGAGGCAAAATGGTTTGTAAATTCACTATACTTTTGTTTTTCAAGTAAGGTCTTTTTTTTTTTCTGGCTATTGAAATTAATGACCTTTAATAATTAAAATTAAAACAAATGCCCCCGTTCCAGCGGACGTCTGTGTCCTTTCTTTAGCATTAATTCCTTAGAAGCTTTTTGGTAGAAAGGTAATGGTCTAGGTCAAGCTTGTCCAGCCCATGGCGGGTGGGCTGCATGCTGCCCAGGGCGGCTTTGAATGTGGCCCAACACAAATTCGTAAAGTCTTTTAAATGTTGTGAGATATTTTTGCAATTTTTTTTAAATAGCACATCAGCTGTCATTAGTGTTAGTGCATTTTATGGATGGCCCAAGACAATTCTTCTTCTTCCAGCGTGGCCCTGGGAAGCCAAAAGATTGGA
This sequence comes from Homo sapiens, assembly GCF_000001405.40. NCBI lineage: Eukaryota > Metazoa > Chordata > Mammalia > Primates > Hominidae > Homo > Homo sapiens. The sequence continues at coordinate 10,793,356 of NC_000008.11, read as the reverse complement.
CACCCCTGGTCTAGGTGAAAACATTTGGGCAAACTAAGCTCAGGAGCATAACTCTTGGCTCAGAAGAACTTGTCAATAATAATTTGGTTTGTAGACCAGTTAATTGAGCATTATGTAGATAATATGCTTGTTAAAATAGTTTAGAGGATGCAGACACTAGGAGTTACAGACTTGGGGGCAGGAGCTCTTCAAGCTTACACTTCTTGAAGCACCTCAAGCGGAAGATCATGCTTTCGTCATCATGTGTATCTACCCCTAGCAGAGTGTTCGCGCATAGTAGGCACTCAGTAGATGTTAGCGAGGGTCAGAATGGCACGCCGGGAAACACGTTCATTTGGAGCAGGATCTAGCAAATCCATGGAAGTGGCAACAAGACAGTCTGGACAAGGGCTGAGGTGCAGTGTGCGGTCAGCTTCCACCTGGAAATGAAAGCTGCTTGACTGGGAGAGGTAAGGGGGCATCTCAGATAATGAGATGGTGTATTGTGTATACTCACACTAACTAACATAGTAAACATTATGAGCTAAGTAATTCACACAGGTGACAGCTATGCCATGAGGAATACAATGTAGACTGCTGTTTATCACATCACAGCAATTAATCGTGTCCCTGAAGTAGTTCTTTTTTTCCTATTACAGTCACCTATAGATACAACCATTTAATCTCAAGATGCTAAAAATACCTTTGCCAGAGTACCGGCGGCGTGTATGTGGTGTACCATCTGCAAGCCTTTCATGAATTCCATTCCTGAGAGTATTTCTGTTTGTTGTAAACTGCTTTACTTCATCTGTTTCTCCCAGAACCACTCCTGAGTGATGGCGGGTGCCAGGCGCTCTTAACCATGGACTGTGAAGAAGAGGCACAGTCTGTCCCTTCAGGGAGCGCACAGCGTCACGGGGGAGGGACGGTCAATGATTTTGATGCGGTTTGGTTAACTGTTGAGCTGGAGGCAAGGTGTGCACGTGGCCCCCGGGGCATCTCCCTCTCAGGTGGGTTCCTGCCCTCCTGGAGGAGGTGTTGTCCTTGCTAGTCCATAAAGGACAAAAGGGTCAGTAAGAGAAGATGCAGGAGGATTTTCAAGCAGAAGTAGCAGTGGGTGCGGACGTGAAGTGGAAAGAGGGCAGAGAGGAACCTGCAGCTGCAGGCCCATCCAGCGCGGAGAGTGCAGGGAGAGCGAGGCCAGCGCATCTGCGGGGCCTGCTGTCATCCAATGAGAGGATAATTCTCTAGGTCTCTAAATAGCTGGACCTTTATCCAGAGACTCAGACTCCAATAGCTGATCGTAATACAGACAAGCTCCAGCGCTACCCTTGCTGGTCCTGAGCGGGAGAGAGGGGGCGGTCCTGGCCAGCACGGAGAGTTAAGAGTCTCATCACTGCCAGGTGTAACTGGCACCTCTGTGGAGAGACTGAGATGGGGCATGTTGTCCTGGGGGTCTCAGGGCCTTCAAAAGCTGCACGCTTCTTGTCAACCTGGAAGAGGGCAGGATGTCTCCCCGCTCCCAGGCAGGAACCGCGGCAGCACCACAGGCCAAATGCAAGTCCTTTGCCTCGCGCAGTGCTGGAGAGAGGTTGCCGCCACCACCCTGGCGTCTCTTCCAGGGTTTATAGTTTGTAGTCAGACTCTCTCTAGAAAGCCAGGGGGCCAGCAGATCGCCCAAGCACATCAGCAGCCGCCACAAAGATGGGGGCTGGAGCTCCCCAAACCAAAATAACCCACCAGTCCTTTTAAAAGAATATAGCTATGTTTCCAACTTTGCACTGAAGCCTAAATTCTAATTGTAGCTTCACAAGCAGGTTTCAACAGTCCCCTTTATTCTCAGTTGGAGTTTACCAGCTGGCATGCCACAAGTGGATTGTTGGTGGTCCGAGGGGTTGATCCCCTCAGCCCTCGTCACGGCCAGGAGCCTGGAGCAGCTGCCATCCCTAAGCTGGTCACTTCATACTGTGCCTGCAGTGACCCAAGGATGCTGTGTACTGAGCATTTGCGATGTGTGCTTCCACCGAGGAGGGACGGGAGTCACTAGAGGCTTCAGATGCTTTAGCTGCAGCTGGATGTTGAAAAACAGAGTCTTGTTATGAATTAATTTTGACTTTTCTGGTGGGTGTTGAAAAATAAGCTGAGGATCTAAAAAGGGGGGATTTTGGCTGGGCATGATGGCTCATGCCTGTCATCCCAGCACTTTGGAAGGCTGAGGCAGGCAGATCACGAGGTCAGGAATTCAAGACCAGACTGGCCAACATAGTGAAACCCCATCTCTACTAAAAATACAAAAAATTAGCCAGGTGTGGTGGTGCGCACTTGTAATCCCAGTTACTCGGGAGGCTGAGGCAGGAGAATCACATGAACTTGGGAAGCGGAGGCTGCAGTGAGCCAAGATTGCGCCTTTGTACTCCAGCCGAGGCAACGGTGGGATACTCTGTCTCAATAAAAACTGGGGGAGGGAGGGGGATTTTTTTTTCCCTGAGAGCCCCCATTAGACATCTGCAGGGAGTATAGACTGTTTGTTTTGCGTGTACTTGAGAGCTTCTGGGGCTTTGAAGTATGGGACGGGGCTGGTTGCTTTTGCATTTTAGAAAGATCCCTTTAGCAGCAGAGATAAAGCACTAAGAATGAAGAGGGCAAGGAGGGGCCAGACTGAGGCAGGCAGGTAGAGGTCGCTGTTCCAGAGGATGCCAGAGCCCGAGCCTGAGCCTCAGCCTGAGCTGCTCAGTGGTGGCAAGACCCAAAGAGAAAGGGGCAGCTTGGTGGAGTCATGTTGGGAGGTCGAGGCCCTGGGATTGGGGGCTGACAGTATGGACCAGTTGAGGCTCCGACAGCTTGGATGGATGGTGACACGGCTCCTGGGAGAGGAGCGCACGGCAGGGCAGACGTGCAGATGGGAGCAGCTCTGGATGTGAAGCCTCTGCTGGCTCACCCTTGCTTCCTCCCCCTGGCTTGCCTGTCATCTCATCGCTCGTGCTGTTAACTTTTCCTCCACATCTGACCTGATGCTGTGAGGTCCTTCACTTCTTTCATGTACTCATCAGTGCATGTCAGAGCCTTCTCTGCCATCGAGTTGTGACTTCCTGAAAAGCCTCTTTTGTTCTCATTTGAACACTTTTTCTGTCATTTGCTGTGCTGGAAGACTTTTTTATTCAGCCCCGTTAGATCGCTTACAGACACAAGCCGGTGGGGTGTAGTTGGGGAGGAACCTTGAGAGAAGCATGGGGACCTTCTGGAAGGGAAAGGGATGAGGAGGGAACCTGAGTCCTGAGAGTGAGTGCAGACGGCGCCTCCACCTGTGTCTTGTCGAGATGAGGGTCAGGACCTGCCGCTTGGCTGTGACAGCATCCTGGCCTCCTGAATGCAGTTGTCCTCACAGAGAGAGCACTCTGCCCTAGGCTTGTAGGGTTTTTTCGGTGTGAGTTTTTAATTTCAAATATTTTTAAATTATAAAAGCAGTACCTGTCCACTCTAGAGAAACCATGACCTGTACATAGTACATTAGGAAGAAGGGGGAAAAATCCATGATCCAAACAGCCAGAGATAACCACAGTGAAAAGCTGGGCACGTGGAGGTGTGTGTGTGTGGTCTCAGTGGTGTGTACCCTTCCTGTCTGTCTCAAAAGCAGGGTCATCGGATACGGACAATACTGAACTTGAAAAACAATTGAACACGTTTTGTCTCTTTAGCAGCTTGCGTTTTTGGCTCTGCCACTGGGCCTGTGACATGTGTTGTTTATGGTCCCTGTGCTATTTGAGGACATTCCTAAAATGCTACTCCTCTGACCACTGCCCTGTCTACATTGCAAGGGAGCTCCCCTCTGGACAGAGGCTAAGATGAGTAAGTTCTGGAGACCTAGCATACAGTATGTTGACCACAGTTAATAAGAACACACTGTGTACTCGAAATTTGCTAATAGATTAGATCTTAGGTGTCCTCATCACTCCCAAAGGTAACTGTGAGAAGTGATGCATGTGTTAATTAGCTTGACTGTGGGGATCATTTTGCTATGTATATGTAGGTCAAAACATCACATGGCACACCTTAAACATAGAGTCTTCCTCTGTCACTTATACCTTATTACATCTGGAAAAAAAGGATGCTCGTCCAGCATGGCTCCTCATCTCGCTGGCCCATCTTCTGTCTATGCAGGGTCCCCTCAGTTACACTGTAGTTACATGGTCAGTTACCGTCAGCCTTGGAGAAGGTGGGAGTCTTTTATTCCTGCTCCATGTTCTGTCTGCCTATGAGATGCCTGCTCATCCCGTGAGGGAAGGCGCTGCAGCAGGAGGGAAGGGGAGGCTGGCAGGAAGCCGGTACTGGGCTTGTCCCTTTCACGCTCCCACAAAGGGCTCTGCTCTTCAATCCCCACCCCCACCCTCATCCTGCTTTTCCTGAGCTCCTCAGTTCTGGTATTACATAATATTCCTGTTAGGACCAGTTCCTGTTTTGCCAGGGAGAGGAATTGTGACTCTTTCAGGGAAAAACCCTGTTCTAACATTAGTAGCGGTCTCTGGCGGCCAATCCATGATCTCATAAGGGAAACCCACCGCTTTGCTGTCTGAGTCAGCGCACAGATGGGGTCACCTTTCTGCCTTGGTTGGCTTCCTCTCAGCCTTGTTTTTCTGCAAGAGTCCACGATGATTTCTCCTAGGATAATGGAACTGCCAGGCTTCAGGTAGGCCACTTTCTGTGACCACTTTCACTTAGACACAGATGCCTTAGGTTACTTACTGTACTCCAGGAAGAACTCTAATGATATTATACCAATAGATATACATTCACTTTTTTTTCCTGTTTTTTTTTTGAGACAGTGTCTTGCTCTGTCTTCCAAGGTAGAGTGCAGTGGCACGATCTTGGCTCACTGCACCCTCCACCTCCCGGTTTCAAGCGATTCTCTTGCCTCAGCCTCCTGAGCAGCTGGGATTGCAGGCACATGCCACCATGCCCAGCTGATTTTTTTGTATTTTTAATAGAGACAAAGTTTCACCATGTCTTCAACTGCTGGTCTCCAACTCCTGGCCTCATGTGATCTGCCTGCCTTGGCCTCCCAGAGTGCTGGGATTACAGATGTGAGCCACTGTGTCTAGCCTACATTCACTTTTTAAAACTGTTGCTTATGGAGAACTTTACATGTGTATAAAAGTAGAGAGAATAATAAAGGAGTCTGTCTGTGCCCAGTACCCAGCTTAACAATGATCAATTCGTGGCCAGCCTCATTCCAGCTGTACTCCCACCCCTCTTTCCCATTACTGAAGCAATTCCTACACATCACATCATCCTATCTGTATGTATTATATATCTAAAAGATAAGGACTCCATAACACACAGTCACAGTACTGTTATCACACCAAAAAACATTAACCACAGTTTCTCAGTATCATCAAATCCAGTCAATGTTCAAGTTTCCCCAGTTGTCTAATAACTTTTTACTTTGAATATGTATTTGAATCTAACAAGGTCTGTATATTATAGATTAATTGATAATGTCTTTCAGACTTTCTTAACCAATAGGTTCTCATTCCTTCTCTCTTTTTTCTTTGCAGTTTATTGTTGAAGTCACCTTGGATTCCTTGTCTTACAGAATTTCCCATGTCCTGAATTTTGTTGATTTCACCTTCCCAGTGGGCTTTAATGTATTCACTTCGTAAAGAGACCGTACACTGACTCACTTTAACCACATAGATTACCATCCCTGCTGAATCCACATTTATCCTTAATTTCCCTTGTGTGGCTTTTTACCAAAAGGTAAATGGTTCTTGCCATCACATAGCTTACAGTGTAATCTGAAAGATAATAATATTGTAAACTCTTTCAAAATACTAATGTCAAATAGAAGATATGTCAGCCAAGCATGGTAGCTCACGCCTGTAATCCCAGCACTTTGGGAGGCTGAAGCGGGATTGCTTGAGCCCAGGAGTTGGAGACCAGCCCGGGCAACCTAGCAAGATCCCATTTCTACAAAAAATTTAAAAATTAGCTGAGTGTGGTGGTCCATGCACTTATAGTCCCAGCTCCTTGGGGGGCTGTGGTGGGAGGATTGCTTGAGCCCAGGAATTCGAGGCTACAGTGAGCTGTGTTTGCGCCACTGCTCTCCAGCCTGGTGATAAAGCAAGACTCTGTCTCTTGGAAAAAAAACAAACAAACGTGTGTGTGTGTGTGCATAAAATATGTGTATGTGTGTATATATATGTAAATACATTTATATATATAATATATCAAATATAGACATTTCTGCTATTTATGCATTCATGAAAAATATTTTACAAAAATATAAAAATAACAGAGCTCATGGGAAAAATTGGGTAAGAGTCAAACTGTTAAAATGTATGTCGTTTTACAACCAGAATACTTGTTGCCTACCCCTCCACACACACAGTAATTGTTCCCTCATGAGATAATTCACTGAGATCGGGGGGCTACTTGGGAGTCTTAAAAATGTTCAAAGACAGTCGAATAGACATGCTCCCCATTAGGGGTCCACAGTGGGGTGCAATCTGCCACTAGCTGAGGGCTGTCTGGGGAGAGGCGCTGGGTGCAAGTGCAGTTTGCAGGTTGGTTCCTGGGAGTTGGCCTGCAGAAAGTTCCTAGGAGTGCTTTCAGGACTGCTTTCTGGGGGAGCAAGAGGGAGGAAGCAAGATTACACAGGGAGAGGATTTGGCCTGCAGTATACACTGAAGTTTTCAGCTGACTCCACAGGGAGCTCTTCCCAACTGCCCCAGATCTTTGGAGGGGGCAGAGTCTTTGTGCCCCTGCATTGACCAGTCACAGGGTCCAACCCTGTGGGGTGAGCCCTTCTGGGGCGTAGCTCACGCTTAATTTTCCTAAAGTAGGCTGGAGGGGTCCTGCCTATGCTGCAGCCACGCTGAGACTTGGGACTTTTTCTTTCTTTCTCAGGGTTATAGTTCTGCTCACACTGTCTTGGCTCCCCTTGCTTAGGAAATGTCACGTTTGAACCGTGCAACTCCCCACTTTTACTGGCACCATTCCCCTGTTTACCAAGACAGCCACGCTACTTGGTGTTGTAGAAAGAGCCAACCATGCAAGAGAATAGGAAGGCCTCTTCACTTTTGTATTGGCTTCAGGAAGGTATTGATGCCGTTTATAGACCTAACTCTGATGTTCAATTATCAGGTTTGTCAGTCCCAAGAAATTCACCTAAAATGTAACGTCTCTTTAAATATATTGGCAAGGAAGTGAACAAATGATTAAGAATAATTTTTTAAGATAACAAGGCATTTTGAATCGATGAAAATGTGAAAAATGAAGGATTATAAACCAAAGGCACTAGTGGATCCACATACAACCTGGATGTCCTCAGTGAGGAAAGTGACTGCCTCCCTTTTACTCACCGTGGTCTAGCTCTGCGCTCGCCACATAAACTCCCTTAATCTGGTAGTGATATACGCAGTCCAGAATCTTTTCAGGTAGCTAATCCTTCCATCTTTAATTTGATTTTCAGGGTAACAAACCTAAACACTTGTCTAGCTAAAGAGAAAAGAACTATTCTCAGTACACTATTTGTGTTCCATTAGAGTATGTAGTGTTTGTTCCTTACATGGAGTGGGGTCCTGTACACACGTATATGTTGGTATACATACACAAGCAACAGACCTCCACATACTGGGTACTTAAAAATCGGTCTTTCCACACAAGTTAGTTCAGTGTTGTGAAAAGCATTTGTATTTAAGATCTTTCTTATTTGAGTTTGGGGTTTGAGAACTTTTGTTCTAGAGGAAAAAACAGCTTCAACCCCAGCTTATTGTTCAAACTGTCCCAGTGGGATTGCTATAATAAGAACTAATTGTAATTAGTACAACAAATGTTTGTATAAGTGAGTGCTATCCTATTGCTTGAAGCTACCTGAAAGTGTTTTTTATAGTAATTTAAATAAACATTTTCCTGTGCCTTAGGAGTTCTTTGTAATTCAAACTGTTTATAATTAAGTCATTTGGATAATTTATCACCGAAGCATGATTGGATGGAGTCTAAGAATCTTATCTTTTCGTAGACTGGTTCTAAAGTAAAGTATTAAAATAAGATTCTGATGGGTTAACTTGCTACGCCAATCCTTCCATAGAATAATGCAAGAAGCAGCTTAAACTTAGCTTGAAGTTAGTAGGATTTCCTTAATAGCTGTAAGTGTAGTTTAGAATATCTCTTGATGCTTATCTGTCTTTAAATTGTAATCTTATATAATTCCATTGGAACTACTTTGTAACAACCAGAAATTTCTGTTTAAAACACAATCTTGAACTAGCTTAAAACGTTATGGGAATTTTCTAAAAAGAAGTTTTTTTCCTTGGTAAGATTTAAATGATACGCTCTTTATGTTTATTAGGGATCAGAGTGCTGGTAGGTTTTTCTGTTTCTGAAGGTTCTGTTAATTCTTTTCTGAAGCCACCTGAGCCTCTAGGAAGTTCACTCAGAGTTTGCATGTCTTCGAACAGCGGGCAGTCTCTGCCAAAGAGCACGAGGCTGAAATGCTTTAGTCTTTGATTTGTCATCTGTTGTTCTTTGACAAGTTTATCTTTTCTGCATCAAAAAGGCTTGCTTTAAGCAAAGTACTAGCATTAATGACATCCCCCCTTCAGTCACCTCTGTCCCCTAACTTTAGTCCAGGCTCCTTTAATTCACGTTCTGACTCTTAAAATCACATGGAGGTTTTAAATTTTACCTGACTGGTTTTGAAGCATTTTGTGGGCCTGAACTCCAAATAGCTTTTTAACAAGTGCTTAAACTTACTTTATGCCTTTCAGTAAACTAGGTTTTGTGAGGTTTATTTTTCTGCAAGCAGAAAAGCTAACTTAGGAAAGCTACTTTGCCTAAGTAAATCTGAACATTTCATGTCAGCACCCTTTCTAAAAGGAACATAGCTTTTATAGGAAATTGTTGAGTAGACTTTGGGAATCAGTGCAGTTAGTTTTCTTTTATTTCTAGGTAGCGCTGAAACTTGTAAGTAGAGTATCAGCTTTAAAATAATGTATCGAATTCCGATTCCCAAATTGTTAAAAGTTTTAGATTGGATTTGTGTGCCTGCTTACTTTGTGATCCTAAGGAGAGCCACTTATAAGTCTTCTAAAATGTGTGATGTGCTTTCTAAAGTAAAACAGTGATATTATTCATTTAGTTAAATCAGTCATTTCGTTTTAGATCAGCCTCCTCACTCTCATCCCCTGTGTCCTCCCTGCTATGGAGATCTGTGTGTTATTATACAGGCAGAAGCATGACTTTCACATTATTTTGTTTTTTAATGGACCTCAGATACTCTAAATTGGATTAATCATGATGCATGACACATTATCATCATTGGTCAGAGTTTAGTTTAGACTCTTTATAGGGATTCTTACAAGGCTTTAACCACTGTTAGGCTCATACTGTGGAGGCACCTTCTTAACATTAGTGAATAAAATCAGCTGTCTTTGAGTTGAAGTTACAAGTGATTCATAAACAGAGCCTACTTTCTAGTCATCTGTGTCTTAAAATGTTAGGATCAGGCTTGAATTGACTCAGTGTCTTTACACAAGGCTATAGTCTTAGAATGACTCCCTTCAGGGTAATATCTCATTATTTCATAGTTCTGAGTAATAGTACTTTAATCATTTTCTTCCTGTTTCCCTCTCCCCTCCAATTCCTTTTCCTACTTAACTCAGATGTTTTTCTTGCTACCCAGTAGCATTATTGCATGACAGATGATTAAATGGGTAAGGTATAATCCCTGTTCACAACCTCATCAGGAAGTCTGGGACATTCACAGTCAACTGGAGCAAAGGCCTTGAGTGCTGTGCCAGAGGACTGGGGGCATATGTGATGCAGCGCTGGATTCAGCTTGCAGAGATCAAGGAAGATAACCTTTGTATGTGTCTTGAAGGAGCAGCAACTGGCAGGTTCAGAGGCTTTCCAGAGAGAAAAAAAGACCATATCTGCAAAGACACGGGTTCTTGAAAGCACAGGTCCTTTTGGGGAACAACAAACACACTGATGGCTAGTCTGTAAGTGCTCCAGACACTTCTCCTTTCTGTGTTACTTTGAAACAAATCCATCCCAGAAATCACTATTTCATCCACAGGTATTTTAGTACTTGAGTATTTATCTCTAAAGGTTAAGAGGTTCTTTTTTAAAATGTATAACTCCAGTGCCATTATACTCTATAAAAATTTATAGTAATTGCATACTATTAATAAGTGTTCAAAGCTCAATGTTCATAAATGTCATAAATTTCAGTTTTCTTTACATTTTCATGGAATTAAGATTCAAATAAGGGTCACACGTAACAATTGGTTGATATATCTTTTAAATTTCTTGCAATCTATGGAGTCTCCCTCCATATTTCTTTCTGTTCCTCTTTCATTTTTAGAATGAAATTTGGAATGTGTGTTTCCCCTTATTAGTAGATTACTCTGAGGAACAGTGCATATAGGAAAGACAGAATAAATATTTATATCCTTTATTTAGCAATTTCCAAATGAGGAGGTGCTCTAGCATTCTCCAAAGATGACTGGAGGGTTTTCCTTTTTTTATTGTTCGTGAATTGAAATGTTTGACGTTTCAATGCATTGCAGCTATTATCTTTATTGGTGATCAAATTTTCCATTTCTACCCAGTGGGAGTCTGGCTCCTGAGTACTTTTTTTTATCTGGACAGATCTCACTTTGTTGCCCAGGTTGAAGGGTAGTGGCACCATCTCGGCTCACTGCAACCTCCGCCTCCTGGATTCAAGTGATCCTGCTGCCTCAGCCTCCTGAGTGGCTGGGATTACAGGCGTGAGCCACCACGCCCAGCTAATTTTTGTATTTTTAGTAGAGACGGGGTTTCAGCATATTGGCCACGTTGGTCTTGAACTCCCGACCTCAGATGATCCGCCTGCCTTGGCCTCCCAAAGTGCTAGGATTACAGGCGTGAGCCACTGCGCCTGGCCTCTGAGTACTTAAAAAAAAAAATTTTTTTTTTTATCGAGTATATTTAAAGCTGTACATGTTATGAGTTACATATATGTAGTGACATAGTTACCCATTTTCCCTTCATGGCAAGAGCAGGTGTAATCTCATTTAGTGAACCTCCTGACACAGTACACTGTTATTAGCCACAGTCCCCACACCATACCTTAGATCTGAAGTGCAGAGAGCTAAGGTACAGTGTGGGGACCTACACACCTGCTACTTTGCATCCTTTGACCTACATCTCCCCATTTCTATCCCCCACCCTGCTCCAGTAACCACATTTTATCTTACTCTCTATTTCTATTCCATCTTATCAGTGAGATCATGCAATGTTTTTCTTTCCTGTCTGGTTTATTTCACTTACCATAGTGTCATCTAGGTTCATCCATGTCGTGGCAAATGGCTGGATCTCCTCCTTTTTAAAGGCTGAGTAATATTCCACTGTATACATACATACACACCACAGTTTCTTTATCCATTCACCTGTGGACAGACACTTAGGATGTTTCCATGTCTTGGCTATTATGCAAACTGCTGCGGTGAACATGGGACTGCAGGCATCTTCACAAGGTGATTTGATTTGCTTTGGGTATATTTCCAGAAGAGGGGTTGCTGGGCTATACAGTAATTGTATTTTTAATTCCTTTGGGAACCTCCACACTGTTTTTCTTTGAGGGTATGCCAATCTGCATTCCCATCAGCAGTGTACAGGGTTCCTGTTTCTCCACACTCTTGCCAACACTTATTATCTCTTATCTTTTTGATAATAACTCTCCTAATGGGTGTGGGATGATATCTCATGATGGTTCTGATTTACATTTCCTTGATGGTTAGTGATGTTGAGCATCTTTTGGTCATGTGTATGTCATCTTTTGAGAAATACCTGTCCAGCATCTTTGCCCATTTTTTAATCAGGTTATGTATTTTCTTGCTACTGAGTTGCTTGAGTTCTTTTTAAGTTTCAGATATTAACTTTATATCAGATACATGGTCTACAAGTATTTTTCCCTAATTTGTAGGTTGCCTTTTCATTGTGTTGATTGTTTCCTCTGCTGTGCAGAAGCTTTTTAGTTTGATGTAGTCCTGTTTACATATTTTTGCTTTGGTAGCCTGAGCTTTTGGTGTGATATCCACATTATTGCCAAAAGCAGTGTCAAGGAACTTTTCTCCTGTGTTTTCTTCTGGGAGTTTAATGGTTTTAGGTCTTATGTTTAGGTCTTTAATCCATTTTGAGTTGATTTTTGTATATGTTGTAAGATAAGGTCCAATTTCATTTTTTTACATGAGAAACCCAGTTTTTCCAGCACCATTTATTAAAGAGACTATCCTTTCCCCATTGTGTCTTCTTCATGCTCTTGTCAAAAATTAGTTGACTATAAATGTTTAGATTTATTTCAGTTCTCTAACCTGTTCCATTGGTCTGTGTGTCTGTTTTTTGTGCCAGTACCATACTGTTTTAATTACTATAGCTTGTAATATAATTTTACATCAAGAAGTGTGGTGTCTCCAGCTTTGTTTTTCTCTCTCAGAATTACTTCAGTTATTCGAGGTCTTTTGTGGTTCCATGTGGATTTTAGAATTGTTTTTTCTATTTCTATTAAGAATGCCGTTGGGATTTTGGCAGATTACATTGAATCTGTATATTGCTTTGGGTCATGTGGACATTTTAATAATATTCTTTTAATTCATAAGCATGGAATATCTTTCCATCTATCTGTGTCCTTTTTCGTTCATCAGTGTTTTATAGTTTTCAGTGTACAGGTCTTTTACCTCCTATGTTAAATTTATCCCTAAGTATTTTGATTTTTTTTTTTTGATGGTACCATAAATGGGATTGTTTTCTTGGTTTCTTTTTCAGCTAGGTTTTCATTTGTTTGGGATTTATCCTTGGCGTGCAAGGCTGGTTTAACTGTGTAAGTCAGTCAATGTAATGCATTATATTAACAGATGGAAAGACAAAACCACGTGATCATCTCAGTCAACACAGAAAAAGCATTCAGCATCCTTTATTGGTAAAAACTCTCAACAATTTAGGTACAGAAAGAAAATTTCTCAACAAAATAAAGGCCACTTATGAAAAACCCATAGTTAGTGTCATAACTGATGGGGGGAAGTGTGAAAGCTTTCCCTCTAAGATCTGGTACAAGACAGGGATGTCCATTCTTGCCATTTCTGTTCAACATAGTACTGGAAGTACTATTAAGAGCAGTCAGATGAGAAAAAGAAATAAAAGATCTCTGAATTGGAAAGGAAAAATTAAAATTATCTCGTTTGCAGATGACCTGATCCTATATGTAGAAAACCCCAAAGACTACCAGAAAACTGTTAGAACTAAATGAATGCAGTAAAGTTGCAGGATACATGATCAACATACAAAAATCTCTGGTATCTCTATACACAGATAATGACCTGAGTACTGTTGAGATGACCCTAAGTGGTATTTAATAGCTTCCTTCCAATCTAGTGTAAGAGTTTCCAGGTCCACTGTGTACATTTTCTGCCCCACACTTGGAGTCGTCCCTTTCTCCCTGATTCCTTTCTTTGTGGTAAGTGATATTTAGCGACACAGTCTAGGCGTTGGGGTTGTTCATTTCTTCCTAGATTGGTCTTCATTTGTAGGCCTTGTTACATGTATAAAACTATAATTTCTTTATGATAAAATATATCCTGAGTTTATAGTCATATTGCCAGATTAGATTTAGGACCACAAGTACTTAACCCCACTCATCTTTTATCTTTACTTCCCGACAGTAAGTTTCCTGGAATCAACAGGTTCCAGAAATAAAAGCATTAAAATATCACAGTACTCATTTGCTTATTTCCCATTATACACACAATAGTTACAGAGTAATGCCAATAACTTGATCATTTTAAAAAAAGAGAGAGAGAGATTCAGAGGGTTTGTTTTGGGTGTGTGGCAGTTCTTTTTGTCTTTATGTATTTCCCATTCAGTCTATACAGTTAAATTATTATGTTTTCAGTCATCTGGAATTTCTTTTTGTGTGGCTCTTCACCAGCTAGTTGCAGAATCAAGTTTGTTTCATTTCACTTTTAGAAATTGCTTTTTTGAATTTGATTTTGTTATATGTCCATTGACTTCTGTGTTCCATATTTTATTCACTTCGTTATTTTATACATTTATTCTTGGTTCTGTGGTTTGAACTTTGCACGGCCTTTAAGTGGAACCTGACGCCCAGGATCTTTCTTCACAGTGGTCATCTCACTGTCAGACTCTGCAGGGCTTGCTGCTTACACATAATCCTTTAAAAAATACGGCTAGATTGTAGGCAGTCTTAAAAGTAAACAAAGAAAATACATCCATACTTGGCATCATTTAGGATATGTTATTTCTCCGCTACCCTCCATTCCAAAATGGAAGCGTAATTTTTCTAAACCTAGGAACAGACATTCCCATTTCAATCATGTGATAGCTGGGAAAGAGCTAACCTCTCCTCCCAGAGGCGCTCTGCAAGCTAGCGTCCATAGTGGGATGCTTGCCAGGCCCTCTTTTCACTTCCCTGCTATGCTTTTGTCATTTTTGCAAAAACTTACATGGGTAAAAGCCCACCCTCTTGGACAATCTGGGACAAAACAAAGATTTAACTATGAGATTTAACAAGAGAACTACTCATTTTATCCAGATAATGGAACTATCTGTTTAAATAGCCCTTTCAAAGTAAGTTCAGCAGAGCACTAATTTCATGGGATGCCAGTGGGTGTTTACCAAAAAGGGTTCCAGGATCAAATAAATGTGGGCCATTCTGAAGTTTAACAGCGGCCACGTGTCTCAGATGGTGATATGCATTGTGAATCAAAGGGAGGAATAGCACAGGTTTGTTTCCCAAACTTACTTAGACCATGAATCCAGCCCAGTTTTTCATAAAACAACATGCTGGCATTGGAAAAGTGCTCCGTTAGAAAGTAAGGCTGCCTCTCACTTGAACCCTACAGGAGATACATGAGACAGAGAAATGTGTTAACCTATGCCACGGGGATACATTCAGCAAAAATCTGATTATGAGAGAACTTTACAGGACAAATGATTTGGTTTCATCGACAACAATTTGCAAAAACGAGAGGGATGTTCAACCTGGAATATCAATTTAGCATATTTATATTGATATTCCAGGTTGAATATCCCTAAATCAAAAATCGGAAACTCTTCTGGTCCTAAGCATTTCAAATAAGGGATACTCAACCTGAACTTTCATGAGTTCATTATCAATAACTGAGTCCATAACTAAGTTAAAATTTCCCTGCTTAGTCTAGGTTTTTTTCCAAGAGTTATATTCACCCCCTCCCTAACCCAGCCCCCAAAGACCAGGGTTTCTAAAGAGTGTAATCCTTGGATTCACAGATGTTATTTGTTGGAGAACAAAGCAGCTCATCGATGCCATTCGTCTGTATTTGGAGGAGTGTCCCATAGCCTCCCTTGTTCCTTTGCACTGTGAGGCGGATTATCCCGTGTGAGCAAGTGTGTCCTGGCCCCAGGAGATTGCTGGGTGTGCAGATAGAGGCTTGCGTGCCTGTGGAAGGCACCCGCTCTGCAACCTGGACCCCGCAGTCTTTCCACGGAGTATCTGATAGCAGATCCATCCTGTGCTACGTGCCCAGGAGCCAGTCGCACAAGGCAGTGACGGGCAGAGTGCGAAGCAATGAAAGTGGTGGTTCATTCTAACCAGAACGGAAGTCCTTATAAAAACATCTCTCCTAGTTGCTCCAGTTCCAACAGAGATGCAAAATCCATGTGTTTTTTAAAAAAAAGGCAATTTTGGGGGGACCAAACCATTTTAAGATACACGAAGAACCTCTTCTCTTTCCTTTTCTCATTCTACACCCTGCCTACCTCACTCCCTGCAGTCCCCAAGCCACTCGCACACCCAACCCCCCTTCAACTAGCTTCGTTCATTGCCAGCCATGGTGCTGTCTGCTCTGGAAAGTGGCAGGAAAAGCTGATAAGGTGCCGAGGACAGAATCTCTGGTCTTATCTCGCTCTAGCACATGGTGCCGAGAGTGCATCCTTTTCCTGTCCTAGGACAAGAGACATAAACTGGCCATCTCCCGGCAGCAAGGACTTCAAACGGGGCTTGGGCCTGCCTCTGCTTTCTAGAGGAGCCAGAAAGGAGAAAGTGGGTCCTGACTTTTTGAGAGTTGTTTTAGTACCAGTAAAAATTTATGTCGTCTTGTAGATCAGCAAACATAACTTCATAATAAGACACTCATAAAGAAGAAATGAGAAAGCAGTGAGGGTGAGGGCAGGGCCTGCCAACACACCCAAGGGTTGGAAGTTGCTGGGCTGTTTTGTTTGGTTAGAGCTTCACCAGGACACGTTCGGCCTGAAAGGATTAGATTTGGCTTTTTGTTTGTTGACAGATGAAGCAAGTGGTTTTAAGAGCTTTTGTGATAGTAAGAAACTGACATACATATGGTCTAGTGCAGGAGAAGAGGAGGAAAACACTGGCTTATTTTTCCTTCTGTCCTTCTCTCTTGCCAGGAAAGCAGAAATAACATTCCTCCCCAGATTTTCCTTCTGTGACATCATGAAAACAGGAAGAAGGGGGACCTTTCTTTGGGTTGCAGTGTGGGGGAAGGGTTGGCGGAGAAGGCAAAGCTCTGCGTCTCCAGCGTCTCCAGCCGTAGTCTGAAGGGAGCAGGGTGGCGACTCTGGTGACAGGTCTGGGCAGCACCATCCCATCCCTTGCTTCCCCTTCCTCGTGGTCCCTTCCTGACCTTACGACGCAGAGCTGGAAGAGTGGGCAGCCTGAGGTCATCATCAGCCGTTGTGAGCCTCAAGAGGACCCAGTTAGCAGCTTGAGGCGGGAGTTCAGTTTTGATTCTGTGTTACCATTTTTGGAAGAAATTGGTTGGCTGTACAATTCTGACAGCCAATTGCTGACATTCCAAAGGTTAATGACAGTGTTAAGAATTATATATATTATATAATGTTAAAGACCAATTTTTATTTGTTTGTTTGTTTGTTTGTTTATTTATTTATTTATTTATTTATTGAGCGGAGTCTCACTCTGTTACCCAGGCCGGAGTGCAGTGGCACGACTTCGGCTCACTGCAACCTCCGCTTCTCAGGTTCAGGAGATTCTCCTGTCTCAGCCTCCCAAGTAGCTGGGATTACAGGCTGCACCACCACACCCGGCTAATTTTTGTATTTTTAGTAGAGATGCGGTTTTGCCATGTTGGCCAGGCTGGTCTCGAACTCCTGATCTTAGGTGATCCACCTGCCTCGGCCTCCCAAAGTGCTGGGTTTACAGGTGTGAGCCAGCGCCCCCAGCCCAAGACCAATTTTATTCTCGAAAGCTTTTGCCTTCTCCTTTTACTGAGTGCTATGGACTTATCTAGGCTATAATGAATGCTAGAATTGTGATGGACCTTAAAAATGTAGCTGTTGATTTTCAAAGTGGATTCCATAGAGTTCTAGCATCCCCAGGGGCTTTTACAAGGGGATTTGAGGGGAGGGTTGGGACATGAGCTTTGGGTTGCCCCCACCCCGCTGCAGCCAAAGCTTCCTGAGATGTTGTACAGATTGGCCTTCTGTTTAAGATTGTGTTTGAAGAAAGTCATGTGAAAAAACTATGTTGAAAAAAGTTACTGAGGAGCCCTATTTCCCTGTCTTGCAAATGATTGCATTTGAGGCCTGGAAAGGCCGGTGACTTGTCCTAGATCACATGTTCTGTCAGTTGTGCTTCCAATCTTCTGACAGCCAGGTCATTGCCACTTATACTATCTTAAATTGAGTACCCGTTTTCTGTCCTTTGCTAGCTGATATTTTATAGCAGTGCCACTCAAATTATGGTCCATAGACAAGATAAAGACAGAAATTAAGAGTAAGCATTTAGAAGCTTTTCTAGTAGTTTGACAATATTTTAGGACTTGGGTTTTAGATGTCTTTTTTAAAACTTCATTTTTCTGCTAACTTTTTTAACTTTATAAAAATCTTGCCCTGTAATCCTGTAATGGATTCAAAATTTTTAAAGGCAAAAAAAAAAAAAAAAAAAAAAAAAAAAAACCACAAAACAGACAGAACTAATCCTTTACCCCTGATAGTTTGAGAAGCAGCATGCTGGAGGGCATTGAATTTCTGGTGGTTGGGTGGGTTCAGAACTGCAAACAATGCTTTGTTGCCAGCGAGGCAGGTCTTGCTTCAAGAACCTTTTTGGATTCTGAACATGCAGGGAGACAGTCTTTCTTGTACTTTTTCACTTAAGTTTTCAATATATTTTTTGTTTATAAAATAAAAACTTACAGCTTGTGTAAAACAAGAGAAGAGGTTATAGGATTATATATTTAATAGCAGTAACAATTTTTATTTTTTATGAGCTCCTTGGAATTACAGTCTCAGTGTAACTGGTTAGGGTTTTTCTTGAGTAGAATTGGCTTTGTAGTTGGTTTGTTGTTGTTTAGTTTTTGTCTATGCTAAAAATAAGTTGTGCCGGTATATTGCCTTTTTTTTATTGTGATAAGAACACTGTCTGATGTATTATTTTATATCATTTACTCTTTTAACATGACTAATTTCGGAATTTTATTTATTCTTACTAATTTCGGTATCTTTTAAACATAGAATGACTTTGCTTTGCCAAATTTACTCCTAAAAATATTTCTCAAATATTTTTATTTGCTACATTGATTTCTGGTGAAAGAAAGAGTATGTGAAAATATTAGCCTTATGTAGTTTATAAGAATTGAAAGACGAGACTTTTTTTGTTAGTCAACTATATTCACCTAATTTACCTTTCTTTTATAAACAATCATGACTACTTAATTATTCCATGTAACTATGCATACCCTATTCCTAGTTTCAAAATGAATATTTTATTCTCTAAAAAGACCTTATTCGGCTGGGCACGGTGGCTCACGCCTGTAATCCCAGCACTTTGGGTGGCCGAGGCGGGTGGATCACCTGAGGTCGGGAGTTCGAGACCAGCCTGACCAACATGGAGAAACCCTGTCTCTACTAAAAATACAAAATTAGCTGGGCGTGGTGGCACATGCCTGTAATCCCAGCTACTCGGGAGGCTGAGGCAGGAGAATCACTTGAACCCTGGAGGCGGAGGTTGCGGTGAGCCGAGATTGTGCCATTGCATTCCAGCCTGGGCAACAAGAGTGAAACTCCGTCTCAAAAAAAAAAAAAAGACCTTATTCTTTTTAGAAATTAGAAGATTTTACATTTAATAGAATCTTCAAGAACTGCTGTGCTTTCTATAGTAAGGAGCCTACATTTGAGTTGTCATGGTTCTTCAGCAATTTTCACCTCTTCCTGTGGAATAAAGATGGAAGAGACAGAACCCTCTGGAAGCTTCTGCTCTGTTCTGTGAGAGGCCAGTGCTGGGTCTCAGCTGTTTATCAAAGCTGTTTGTCCTGCCTCTGGAGAGCAGGGGAGAGAACGATTTGACCTGGAATTATAAAATGCAGTCAATTTGGATTATTTTTAGACATCATTCACAGAAGTTGAGGCCTGTGTCACATTGATCATCTCCAGCTCTGGAGGAGCCTCGTTTATCTTCCATGGCCAGTGTGTCGGGAAAGTTTGTCACTGCAGCTTTCCGAGCCTGAGGGCCTTTCAGGGAGGCAGGAAGCCTGCTCCTCTTTCTCTTTCCTCTTTTTCCACAGAGGCTGGATGACTCTTGTCAGTGATCCTGATGTTGATTACTTGAGAAGCTGTTGCCATAGAGAACCATCCTTTTAAAACATGTTTATGTCGGCTTTTCCTAATAAGTGGCAATCGGAATAGCTGGTTAGGCATATGGGAAAAAATAAAAATAAAAAGACATAAAATTAACAGCTCTGTTACCATTGGCCTTCATATGAGGAATTTGGCATTCTGTGTATTTCTCTACTAAAGTCCAGCCAAGCTATTCTGTCCCTTCTAGTTCGTATTATCTTCTCCAATGTCCGGTGTGTCTGAGTTTGTAACTTCCAAGCGGAGTTCTGATGCCTGATATTAGAAAGGTATCTCTGCATACTTACTGGGTTGCTGAGAGTGCTCTTTGATGTCACATCACTTTTTAAACAAATTTTTTCTTTACTGGCTTTTGCTACTCAAAAGCAGGCAGCAGTTAGCAGCCTCTCTGCTGCTTGCTGACACAGTTCAGAAAGGTAGGCATTCTGTCGTTGGCAGGAGACAGAGCTTGAGGACTTTGTCAAAGCCCAGCGTCCTCCAGTTCCATACGTGTATATATGTACATGTGTGTATATAAAGGTATATTGTGTGTGTGCACTGGAAAAGCACCTGCCACTTCCAAAAGTCAGCCGTATTGTATTCACAGTCACAGAGCCGATTTTATAATACATTTATTCAGTAAATATTTACTTAGCACCTATTGTATGTACTTGTATAATGAGAAAGAAAACAAATTTTTACAAGATTTTTACTGAGGAAATTCAAAACTTTAAGGACACTGGTATTTGAAATTCATGTAATTTTTACATGTCATAAAATAGTTTTTTGTTTCCTCCTAACCATTTAGAAATGGTAAAAAAAAAAAAAAATCATTAAAAACTAGGCCCACGGCCATAGTTCACCAGTCTCTGTTCTAGAGAGAACCCTCTGGAACCCCTGCAGAGTGGGCTTCTAATACATGCCACAGGTTCTTACACCTGTTTCACATGTGCACGCACACACAATTTCTGTGTTTTCCAATTGAGTTGCTGCATAATTCTCATTCTGTTATTGTATCTTTGCTTTTTAATACCACTTCAAATCACAACTCTCTTCAGTCAATGGGGTTTTATATTTGTTTTTGACTCTTGTGATACTTGCTAATGCTAAAACTGATTGTGTCTCCCAGGCAAATTCCCCGAGGCTGCTCATTGCCGAGACTTGGTGCGTTTAGCCTAATTCCAGATGTGAGCGATGAATGTCTTGAAAAATGTACAAGATTTCACACTTGAAAAGCTTTTTGTGAGTGTAAAAATAGCTGTTCATCAATAAAACACTGGGTGTTTTCAGTTACATGGAAACCACGAAGGAAAAGCATGAAACCACAGAGGTTCCATAGAGAGAAGAGCAGGGCCGCCCGCCATAGTGGCTCAGGGCAGGCTTTCCAACGAACGGCCGTGAATCACTGCCTAGCTCAGCCTTCAGTGGCAAACCCATTTCAATGACTCCCTAGAATCAGCTTGCCCAGGTTGTTTTCAGCTAAGATATAATGTAGGCTGTGCCTTCACAGCTTGCTACCAGAGGCTGCTGGTGGAACTTCCATCCCACTGCTGTTCTCCAAATGAGCTGCTTACCTTTGTATGTGGTATGCACGAGAACTCTCTTCTCTTTACCAAGAACAGTTCTCTTCTTTAGCAAGAACAGTTCAGTCTCTACTGGCATTGCTTGTGTTCAACTAATCCCACAAAAAGAACGTGGCAGTTCCCATACCACACAGTACCTTGCTTTTTTCCAATTGACTTGTCCCCTCCAAGGCAACTGTGGTAACATGTGGAATGACAGAGCAGAAGGAGAAATGGATGGATCACTGGACTGAGTTTCTATTTATTGCTAAGGGCCAGGAAGGAACTGGCTGACAGCAGACGACACTCAGATGTACTCTGCAGTAGTTAGAGAAGCAGTTTGCATCACGAGGCAAGGGAAGGTGCTATCTGATGAGAAGGGGGTGGTTTCATGTGGATGGGAGGAATCTGCACTCAAAATGCTGATTCTCTTCTTACCCTCCCACACCCCTTCTGGACATTAGACCTGCCTGATGTGCAGACAAGTTCGTACTGACAAACACAAAGCATTTGGGGCCAGTGGGTGGTGGTGGGAGCTCTTCACAGCCTTGGTCCAGCTGGGTTTGGTGTCTTTGTGCCTTTGTTGAGCACTTACTGTACCTTGTTCCTCATTAGGGAGGTTGTGGATTGTATGAATACAAATGCAACATAAATGGCCCCTGTCCTCAAGAAACTTGTTTCCTTGGGAAGATGCTAGCAAAGCAAATTAAACAAATACAGAAAATAGAAGCAACAAGTTGCTATTATGGGGAATAAACAAGAAAGGATGTTCACTTGGGATTGGACTTGTGGAAGGAAGCAGTCACACACTTGATCTTCAAGAAAGTGATGCACGGGACTGTGTACAGGGGATGTGGAAGAACATCGTAGGCCAGCATAGGGAGTGACTGGGTCAGTTCATCCTGCCCCTTCTGTTGGAGGAGTTTAAAGTACACACACAGCTGACGGTGGGGTCTCCACAATCCCTTTGTTTTGAGGAGTCACACACAGTCACTTCATACCTGAAGGGATACATGAAGACATAATTTGTGTTTGTCAGAACTGCCCCACTGAAAAGTTTGGAAAAGGTACAGAATGTTCTGTCAAACCACTCACTTGCCAAGCTTTCTTAACTTTTCACAGACTAACCCAGCACAGGCTGATGACAGACAGGCTGTGGTGGCAGTGAGCATTTGTTCATCACAGGCAATAGCCATCAGGGCTCACAACCCCAGTTGCTAAATACATTACCCTTGATCTCTGGGAGTCTACTTTGTTAACAAAGTTCATTGAAGGATTACTGTTGCAGCATGACCTCCGTGTCTTAATGTGGAAATAAGAAAGCTTCCATCATCCTGTCACTTAAGATCAGTAGTGATGTATGAGCAAGGCTGGCGAGCTGAAAGACTTGCCTTTGAAGCCCATTTCCTGGACTGGCATGTTGATCATAAGTAGGGGGATTCTGTAGTAAGGTGCATCTGCTTCTGGCACTTCACTAAGGTCTCTGTGCAAACTGCTTCATTTCCTTGCCCCAAAAGATTCTTTTGAGAATAATGGAGAATCCTCTCTATTTGGGCATTGTACTAATAATCCATCTCAGTATACATGTTTGAATGACACAAGAGCAAAGTCCTCCATGAGCCCAGAGGATCTTGCGCAGATACTCACTCATGTAGCTGCAGAGTCTCCAGATGGAGGATCCTAAAAGAAGCAGAACAGACTTTAATTCTGTAGACATCCGAGAAGAGTTGATACATGTAGCTTCAGGCATCTTTCAGGGACCGGAGAGGACTGTGGTGTATTGTAATTGATACCCGCAGGGACTCTCTGCAGGGTCAGCTTGCCTTTGTGCCCACTCTTTGTTTTCTCCTCAGTGATAATTCGGAATTGCCAGAGATGGCGTTAAGATTCTCCAGCTCTAATCGTGACACACAGTGTACGCCCATGAACCACCTGAATTGACCTGTTGCTGATGAGGAAACTGAGTCAGAGAACCACAGCAGCCACCTTTCCATATTGGCAGTGTCCAGGTGGAAGCTGTCCAGCATCTGCCCAAGAGGGCTTCTTGCCTGGGTGGAAGGTTTGGACTTGGGTTTTACTCTGTGCTTTAAAACAGTCAAACTTTTTCAAGTGAATGTACATGCTAGTTTGATAAATTATAAAACTCTTTTAAGCCTGGCTTCAGGCTGTTTTTTATTTATATGAATTGCAAACCAAAATGATGTAGTTTTTTTCTCTTTTGAAAGTACTATTTCTGTGGATATTTTTTCTGCATCAGTCAACTTAGGTGAGTGTAGACCTTAGTCTCTGGATTATGTGGTCAATTGATACATACTTTAGTTTTGGGGTGGCTTCTGAAGAGAGAGGAAAGGTGACAAGGCAGTCCATGAGGTGGGAGCTAGGAGTCGGGGTCCTGTGGTACAGGGAGCAAGGGCTTTGCACCTGGCAGCCTTAGGGCTGTCTCTCTCCTGCTGTGTTCCAGCTGTGAGACCTTCTGCGGATTAAGTGCTAGGAGTCTCACTCTCTGCCTGTGTGATGTGGAGAGGACGCCTCTCCTCAGGTTGCAGCAAGAGTTGGCTGAGATGCCACTTGATGTCAAGTGCCTGGCACGGTGGTGATAGCTGCCTTCCTCAGGACACCCAGGCCTGATCACTTTGGGTGAAGCTTCCTCAAATGATTGAGCAGGGTGATCCCATGGGCCTGGCTTTAAACTCTCAGGGCTCTGTGAACTGGGGAACAGGTGCTCCAGAGTCATCTCAGTTCAAAGCCACAAGTACTTATTGATTGGGTAGAAATTAAGGCCCACTTACCATTTGGGAAAGTCAGTCATCAAATGTTTTTGACACATGTGATGCACTCATTAGCGCTGAAGGAAGGGAGAGGACTGTGAGGCTTGCTGTGAACAGACTAGGCCAGTCCTGCTTATTTTATTAGGTTGGTGCAAAAGTAATCACGGTTTTTGCCATTAGTGGCAAAAACCTCCTTTAGCTGAACAGCAAGCATTGGAATTTGAAAAAGAGAGAGAGACATTTCCCGAATCCCTGAGCTTAAATCACATTTGGCAAGATGATTAACCATATTTCTTGGTAGTATTTTATATGGAACCAGAAGTTTTCAAGTTACTCTTAAATTTGTTTCATTAGGTTTTGGCACACAGTTAGCAAACAGACATTCTCAACGTTTATGAAGCAGTGAATGTCGCATTTAAATTTTTTTTTATTTTATTTTTTGAGGTGTATTGTGTGTTTAATGGAAATGTGGGAAAATGCAAGTTATTGTCATTTCAAAATGCTTAAAAGTAACTTGTTTTCTCAATACTTGTTTACTTTGATAGAGACCAGATGTAAAAGCATTAGTTTTCTTGAAAAGATGTATCTATTTTTATGTGATGCCATGGTCAAGAATGCAGAAGCAGGATTAGAATCTCTGC
The DNA here is from genome assembly GCF_000001405.40 of Homo sapiens. Lineage (NCBI taxonomy): Eukaryota > Metazoa > Chordata > Mammalia > Primates > Hominidae > Homo > Homo sapiens. The sequence goes on along the minus strand of NC_000008.11, from coordinate 10,768,786 downwards.
AGTGAAACTGAGTCTCCGACTTTGGTGTATAAAAGATGAGTCCTGGCCATTGCTCCTGCAGGAGTCAGATTTTCAATGTATTTTTCCTTTGAGTCCATGGTCTTGTAAAATAGGCACGTTTCTGTGATGTGGGAGGGTGGCTACCCCCGCATTAAGCAGCTCTCTCTAGCCAGTCATTGTGTGGCCAGCACTTTGCTGGGAAGAAGTAGGACTTGGGTGCTGGCCCCTCTCTAGCCTGTCTCCATGCCCTGCCAAGCCTGTGCAGTGACCCGTGCCTATTAAACTTACATCCCAGAAGTTGATGATGAGCATATGAGCATACTTACTTTCTGGAGTTACGAAGACCCGCTGAATTCAACAAGTGACTCAAAAATGGTCTTGTATTTCCTGATAATAAAAAATGTGATTAATACCAGCAATTAGTTCCGGTGATTAAAATCAGGAATTCACAAGGTAATAAATAGATGAGCAAGGTAAGGAGTCATAGGATTCGACTCAGATCTGAGTTCCAGCCTCAAAAATACATTCCAAAAGAGTGGCCCACAGACTGCAGGCTCCTGTAGTGCTGCGAAACTGTCAGTGAGACTTCTGTTGCATAAACGAGCCAGCCGTCGTCACCGAGTCTGTCTCTGTGTGGCTGTGAGGGTGCCTGGTCACCGAGCCTGTCTCTGTGTGGCTGTGAGGGTGTCTGGTCACCGAGCCTGTCTCTTTGTGGCTGTGAGGGTGCCTGGTCACCGAGCCTGTCTCTGTGTGGCTGTGAGGGTGCCTGGTCACCGAGCCTGTCTCTGTGTGGCTGTGAGGGTGCCTGGTCACCGAGCCTGTCTCTGTGTGGCTGTGAGGGTGCCTGGTCACCGAGCCTGTCTCTGTGTGGCTGTGAGGGTGCCTGGTCACCGAGCCTGTCTCTGTGTGGCTGAGGGTGCCTGGTCACCGAGCCTGTCTCTGTGTGGCTGTGAGGGTGCCTGGTCACCGAGCCTGTCTCTGTGTGGCTGTGAGGGTGCCTGGTCACCGAGCCTGTCTCTGTGTGGCTGTGAGGGTGCCTGGTCACCGAGCCTGTCTCTGTGGCTGTGAGGGTGCCCGTCTTTGGGAGGCAGGATCTTTCTTGTTCATGAGCCTGGGATTGGCTCGTGCCGGGAGAGCCTTGAGAAGATCCTTCACTCTGCTGTGCAGCATTTCAGCTCTTTTTCAACATTTGAAGAACAAAAAGACAAATCTCCTGAGGCAGATTTTTTTTATTTTTCTCAAAATCACCCTATGGAATTCCAGCACAAATTGAATAGTAATAGATAAAATTAAAACTGCTTCCCAAAACTCAGTTGATTTATTCTTCATGTTCTGCCTATTTTGAAATTCCAGAATTGACCACATGATTTTTTTTTTTAATGTACCCCTTGGTGAAAGCTGTCTGAGGCACTTGCCACTGAAGGCCCAATTGTCCATTGATACATATTAATATCGATTCTGCTGGAACTGCAACTGGGACATTATCTTGGATTCCACTGAGGTGGCTTTTGAGGACCACTGTGTCGAGACAATACAGGGTCTGTTTATAGGTGGTTTGTAATTCAGTTACCTGCACAAGCAGAACCTTGCCAGCCAAGTTTAGGATCATTAGTAGAATCCTGATTTGGAGATTTCTTTATTCAGGAGCCGTTTCCCACCCTCCCATCATGAAAGCGTAGAACACCCAGCCTCTTCTTGTGAGATAAATGAGTATGAAGGAAGAAGTTGGGTGACTATGAAAACCTAAGTTTAGCATGATTGCTTAATGACTTATTTCCAGAGTCTCTGTGGGCAGAGTTGCTGCAGACATTGATTTGACTCCGAGCATATTCCTTATAGTCTTCAACCCGAAAGCACTTCCTGCCTCACAGGCACTCCTCCTCACCTTACTGCCAGCCTCAGCCCAAATGGCGATTCCAGCATTTCATTCTTTATCCCAGCCTCTCCCCTTAGGAATTTTCTCTCGCTTCTCAAGCTTTACAGCAAAATGTACTTTTAGATATATACATTTTTCACATTTTTTCTTATAGCAGATATTACCTGACAATGAGATATACTCATTTAAAATTAAAATCCTAATCCCAGCTGTTATGTGTGAGTAACTCACATTTAAAAACAGCCCAAACACAGTCCCGAGTATACAGTTTTTGTTAGGGAAGGAGGGGGCATTTCTCTACTCCCCACCCCCAGCTGAGGGAAAGAAGCCCCCAAGCTGGCCTGTTGGTTCAGGGAGGAGGCTGAGACACGCGGAGTCTCCACTCTGCCCTCCCTTCAGGAGCAGCTGCCAGAGCGGCCACGCTCCACCTTTGGGGGAGAAAGGGTGCCCCTGGCAAGCCAGGTTCCAGGGTGGAATGCGGCTCCTGTCCTCATGGAAGGTTAACCTATCCAGATGGCGTCTAAGTTTCTAGATCAACACAGGGGCCCATGTAACCCATAATGAAGATGAAATCGGTGTCTAACAAAATCACCAAGCTCTGGAACACCAGTGTCCCTGTTTCTGATGGGAGATTCTGGGAGCTTAGTCACCACAACACTTGTTTCTAGGGAGACATTTACTCAGAATTCCATCGAGGCGGCTTGCCTGCTCCCTTCTGACATTAGCTTCTGCCTGTCATCTACCACCCCACCTGGTACCCAGCCGGAGTGTGTGGCCGCCTTGCTCCCGGCCTGCAGTTCAGGCCGACCAGAAGGGAGAGAGGCCAAAGGGAGCGTGTCACTCAGCCTTGTCTCCTAAGTGCCGGGTGTGGGTGCCGGGTGTGAGCGCCGGGTGTGGGTGCCAGGTGTGAGCGCCGGGTGTGGGTGCCTCCTGGGTGCGGTGAGGGATGAACAGTTGATGCTTACCTGCCTTTTAACTCTTCTGCCCACCATAGGGCGATGCCAGTCCCTCCACTCCAGAGGAGAACGAAACCACGACAACCAGCGCCTTCACCATCCAGGAGTACTTTGCCAAGCGGATGGCAGCACTGAAGAACAAGCCCCAGGTTCCAGTTCCAGGGTCTGACATTTCTGAGACGCAGGTGGAACGTAAAAGGGGGAAGAAAAGAAATAAAGAGGCCACAGGTAAAGATGTGGAAAGTTACCTCCAGCCTAAGGCCAAGAGGCACACGGAGGGAAAGCCCGAGAGGGCCGAGGCCCAGGAGCGAGTGGCCAAGAAGAAGAGCGCGCCAGCAGAAGAGCAGCTCAGAGGCCCCTGCTGGGACCAGAGTTCCAAGGCCTCTGCTCAGGATGCAGGGGACCATGTGCAGCCGCCTGAGGGCCGGGACTTCACCCTGAAGCCCAAAAAGAGGAGAGGGAAGAAAAAGCTGCAAAAACCAGTAGAGATAGCAGAGGACGCTACACTAGAAGAAACGCTAGTGAAAAAGAAGAAGAAGAAAGATTCCAAATGAATCCTTCCCAGCCGGGGCCTTCCGACCACTCAGCTGTCAGGGCACTGCGGGGGCAGACACCTCTGGCCTGAAGTCACAGCAGAGTTCACCCCAGAGCGCCTGGGCGCATCTTGTGGCATGCCCATGGGCTGCCGAGTCCTGCCCTCTCGCCACATTTCCCCCAAGTTACATTCCCAGGAGGACCTTTTTAATGTTCTCAATCGTGGCTCTCAGACACAAATAAATTTTTTTGTAAACTCTGAGCCCTTCAGCAAGAGAGTTTAATTATAATCATTACAAATACATGCATTCATGTAAGTGTGCACACGTGTGTGTGCATGTGCGCATCTGTGTGTGTGTGTGTGTGTCACTATCTCCGTTTGCTCTCGGTTCCCTTCAATAACAATGAATGGTGCTTTCTTCTGAAAGACTCAGCCTAATTAAAGGATTAAGAGGCAATAGCTTGGATTCAGATTGTTCTTTTTGTTCTATAGCCAACCAACATTTTTGCCAAGTAGAAATTATATGATTACATTCCCAAATCAGAGAGGTTTTTTGTTGTGTTTTGGTTTTGATGGGGAAACGCGTTAACGCCCTCCCCTCCACTAAGCAGTGGCAGCCGACTGTTCTGAGCGCTTCCCCCGCCTCTGCCAAGCTTCAGCAGTGGACAGACTCAGGGCCAATGTCATCTCTCAGCTCTCACAGGAGGACTCTTGCCGTTCCTGTGCCGAGTGTGGGTTCTCTCATATGTTTCCTTTTGGGGGTCCTTCAGAACAAATCACCTAATACTGATTTATCTGTCACATGGCTGTAAATAGTGACTTAATTGTCATGATCAGGAGGTCCTCAGAAGGCTTAAGAAACTGAGAGGCTAAGGCCGTGAAATTAAAGCCAGTCTTTGGATTGGGACTGCCTTATGAAAGTCCTTACAGCAAAAGACACCTTTCAGCCCTGCTCCCAGCAGTGGTGTCGCAGCGCCATGCTTGTGCCGCCCTCGCCCGCCGCGCCTTGGCCCGTCTCCCCGTGTGCCAGCCAAACTCTCCCTTTGGGTTCACTCGGATGCCTGTAGACACTTCACACCATCCCTGGGACACAGGAGAAGAAAACGCTCAGCTGAGGTTCTGGAGTCCGGCCCTGCCACCTTCCCAGCCCTGTGTCTGCCGTTCTGCCCTGTGCGCCGCCTTCATCTCCTCCTGCTGTTCCTCTTCATCCGCGTACGCATTTATTCCCTCTTTCTCACGCTCCCCTCCTAGTTCCCAGTTTCCCTGCACCCCCTTTCCCCACGTCCCCATGTCCCCAGCCTACCATGGAGGCCTTGAGGCTGCCTGGCCCTGCTTCAGGCAAACCTGGCTGAGGCCCAGGTGGTGTGTTGTCCTCCATTTGATATAGAGATTGTGGCTGGTGACGGGAACTCAAACTTGCCCCCAATTCGGTGACCTTTTCCCCTTGATTTTAACTCTCAAGGTCACACATTAGATAGGAAGCATGGTCCCGAGATTCTTGAAATGTAGAGAAAATACATGAAGGACATTTGGCTGTAGTCTCTAAGGATGCTGCGCAGTGCTATTTGTTTGAAAAGAGACACACACACACACAGAGAAGAGTCTTATGAATATAGAGCCTGATGACTCGTCTCTTGAGTTTTTCATGTCCCCCCGAGTTTAGAATCCCAGGCTAATAGAGCCTCAGCGGTTTCTGAAGTCACTTTCTCCACAGAGGGCACATGCCCAGGTTCTCTCTGCCTGTCCCATCTTGCCTGTGAAACCAGAGATCCAGAAAGAAGTGGAATGCATGGAACCTAAGGGGAGCTAACTTTCAAAAATAAATAGATGCTGATTGGTTGTTTTTTTTGGCCTTTTGTTTTAACTTCCTTTACCAGTAAAAATGAGAGCCAGGAGAATATACCAAAATGTGTGCAGGCGCATTTAGGAGGCAGGTGGAATGCATTTAGGCCAGACATGGGTGCAGGAGCTGGGTGGGAAGGCCAGAGGAGGGAGGTGCGGAAGGGAGCTGGTAGTTCCTGGAGTTAGGAATTCCAAGGCAGCTGGACTGGAAGATTGTTCACATGCAAATGTTGGTTTTTTTTCTTTTTTTTTTTTTTTTTTCAGAGATAGGGTCTCTTTCTGTTGCCCAGGCTGGAATGCAGAGGCCTGGTCAAAGCTCACTGCAGCTTCGAACTCCTGGGCTCAAGCAGTCGTCCTGTCTCAGCCTCCCCAGCAGCTGGGACTGCAGGCATGTGCCACCACACCTGGCTAATGTTTTTATTTTTTCTAGAGACACGGTCTTGCTATGTTGCCCAGGCTGGTATTGAACTCCTGGCCTCAAGTGATCCTCCCGCCTTGGCTTCCCTAAGTGCTGGGATTACAGGTGTGAGCCACTACACCTGGCCCACATGCAGCTTTTACTGAGAGAATGTAGAATGTGGTGATGACTGTTTTCATAGGCCGGAGAAAGGCCTCCTGAATATTTTGTTTTTTGTTTGTTTGTTTGTTTTTGTTTTTGTTTTTAGGAGAGGGAGTCTCGTTCTATCACCCAGGAGGGAGTGCAGTGGTGCGACCTCAGCTCACTGCAACCTCCGCCTTCTGGATTCAACTGATTCTCCTGCCTCAGCCTCCTGAGTAGCTGGGATTACAGGCACGGGCCACCACACCTGGCTAATTTTTGTATTCTTAGTACAGATGGGGTTTTGCCATGTTGCCTAGGCTGGTCTCAAACTCCTGAGCTCAAAGTGATCTGCCCACCTCAGGCTCCCAAAGTCCTGGGATTACAGGTGTGAGCCACTGCTCCTGGCCCCTCCTGAATTATTTTAATAATTGAGTGGGCAGCCGGAGAAGGAGTCACATGCTCAGCAAAGAGCAGATTTGTTCCAAAGGAGGTGGAGACTCTCTTTTCTCTAGGTACCCTCAGCTTTCATTTTTCTGTGTCTGTTTTTCAGTCCACTTGGTTTTCTGGATCTAAGTGGAAATTAGAACAACAAAACAAATACTCTGCATTTTATGCTTGATACTTTAAGAATGAGTAGCATATGATCCCTGTTTTTGCCTTGAATTATTTCACCGGGTAAAAATACTTTAATTTTAGTATTATTCAGTGCTTTCCTTGGTTCTTTCAGTTTAAGGAGGAAAATTAGGCTCCCAAGAAAATATTTGTCCACTGAAGAGACTCTTCTGTGTTGTCCTGCAGCAACCTTCTCTCCTTTTCTGTTAATTTTAATGGATGATTATTATTATTGTATGAAGTCTTGGATGCCTGGCCTTATTCCAAATACTTCAAATAAGCCAACTCATTTAGTCCTCAAACAACCCAGGAGGTAACCATTATCATCATTCCCCTTTTACGGAAGGGCCTCGCAGCCTTTTATTTTATTTATTTATTATTATTATTATGTTTTTTTTTTTTTTTGAGACGGAGTCTCGCCCTGTCACCCAGGCTGGAGTGAAGTGGTGCGATCTTGGCTCACTGCAACCTCCACCTCCCAGGTTCAAGTGATTCTCCTGCCTCAGCCTCCCAAGTATCTGGGACTACAGACGTGCACCACCACGCCCAGCTAATTTTTGTATTTTTAATAGAGACAGGGTTTCGCCACGTTGGCCAAGCTGGTCTCAAACTCCTGACCTCAGATGACCTGCCCGCCTCGGCCTCCCAAAGTGCTGGGATTACAGGCGTGAGCCACTGCGCCCGTCTCTCAGCCTTTTTATAACTAGACTGATGCTCTTCCCAGAGGCCCCGCGATGCCCCAGCCCGCTGTCTACTGTAGTCACAAACCCGCGCCCCTTTTCCTCCATCCTTGCCACAGCCAGTTCCACCTGCAAGCCTCCCTATTGCAGATGCTCTTCACATGTCATTGTTACTCTTAACTGGGAATGGATTTGAAAGCAGCAGGCAAACTGCAGAGTTTCACAATTAATTTGAGTTAGTTATGATTCGGATGAGCTATAGAAAATACTTTTGAGTTATGCTGCACATTAGACATTCTCAGTGGATTTTCTTTTCCAACTTGGTCAAGAGGTGGGTGGGAAATTGGGTGAGTTGGTTTCTTAAACCCTGTTTGCAAGTCTGAAAAAGAATGTTTTCAACTTGTAGAAAATACTGATGCTTTTGAGAGATGAAATCCCAGTGAGCATCTCTTTCCTAGCGGAGGTCATCCCTCTGCCTCCCTCCTCCTCCACCTGTTCACTGACTGGCAGGCACACGCTGAGACCTGTTTATTAAGAAACAGTATCAGAGAAGGCTTTCGGCACAGTCTGTCCGAGTGATCTCAGCCCTTGGATCAGCAGGCAGCAGCTGTACGTTGATTGGAGTAAGAACCTCTTCGTCACCGCCCTGTTTATCTCGCTGGTTCTGCAGCTGCTGCGTTTCGGAGCCTGTTGTGCTGGAGGGCAGGGCAGGAGGTCAGGTCGGGTGCTCGGTGTGTGATTTTATAGTGCTTGGTTATTAATGAGCAAATTAGTACCGTGTCCTAGTAAAGTCGATGACTAAACTCCTTGCATAAAAGTGTCCGATCTATTTAGGAAATACTGAATATACTGCAGTGACATACACAAAGCCTTCATGGAACCAGTAAAAGGGAGGAATAAGCCAGACAAAGATGGCAGGTAAAGAAGGGTGGGTGGGGCCGGGCCTCTCCTGCTGTGGACGAGTGGGTCGGGGGCTGGTGCAGGGTGCGTGAGGCGCACTTCCTCCCACCTCAGCTGCCTGTTGTGCAGGCATTAGCAGTGAACTTTTAAGGAAAGCAGCAGTGAAGTCTTTAGCTAGGGGGGAGAATTTTGTAATCAGTTATAGCTGAAATTTTCTGTTTGTATGTTCTGTGTTGAGTTTCCTTAGAAAAAGGTGCGTGGGTGCTGAAAGCAGTTATTTGTTCTGAAAACATTTATTGAACACCGACTCTGGGCTCCAGGCCAGTTGACAGCAGAGTGACTGACGCATTACAGAGCCTACCCACTTTCAAGTTCTACAAATGTGTGTCATTTAGAAGGTACTGCCGTGTCCTGGATTAATCTCAGTACATTTATGCCCGGGACGCAGCCTCCTCCACCGTGGCTAGCAAGCGTCCTCTCCTCTTTGGCATTCATGGATGAGCTGTGAGAAGCTCTTTGCCAGCTCATTTGACTTGAACCTGAGGAGGAACTGTGTACACTTAACAACATTTCTAACTCTGTGATAAATTCGCCAAATTATAGTATGTGCCTTCCTCCACATAGAATGCATTAGAAATGTGTTTTGCCTACGTGGAATGGCTCTTAACAGGTCAGTCTGAAGATAAAGCCCAGCTTCCTCCCGCCTCTCCTGTCTCTAGAGGATCTGCTGAGTGTGCAGATGGGGTGCATAGAGATGGGAGAGGAGAGGTGGCCTCCAGGTGGCCTCCAGGTAGCCTCCACCCACTAACTGGGGACGCCCCTCGAACCTGGATGGAACAAAAACAGGTATCAACACACATTTGTTACATGGAAAACTGCTGAAGGCAAACTCCGACTCCGGCCTTCAAACCTTAGAGAATCAAGGTCTTGAGCAATCTAGAGTGACCCCAGCACCTTGACGGAAGGAAGCACCCTCATCTTCACCTTTGTGAGGTACGTCGCTGCCCCGGTGAGTAACTGCATCTCAGACCGTTTAGTCTCCTTCTCCAACTATGTCGACTCCATGCAACTCCTAAGCCTCCGCCTTTTCTGAATACTCCTTGGCTCTTGCTCCTTCTGCGGTCAGCTAAGTGTGGGAAGATGGGACACCCTTGAGTGTTTCTGAGCCGTGGGTTCTGTCCTCTCACTATCCATTTTCTGTATACATCTGCATGGCCGGCGTTTCTGCTGCTTTCTGTGTGATTCTCAGGTCAGCATCTCTGTCCCCACTAGTCTCAAGCTTTAGTCCTGCGTCTCCAGCCGACCGTCCAGAGGGCCTATCACATTCAGTGGGTCTAAGAGGAACCCATCCTCTCCAGGTTGCCTCCTGCCCCCCGTTATTATTATGGGCACCCCACGCTCTCGTTCAGTCTCACCCCAACATCAAGAGGCGTTATCAGCAGTCCAACCTAATCAAGTGTCTGCCACCACTGTACACTAGGTAGGTCCTCACCTTCAGGAAGCTCCCAGCTCGACACCCCACTGTCTGACTCCTATCTGGACAGTGCTGCCCTGCACCTCCCATCGTTCCCTCGGTAATGCCGCTCCCCCGGACCTGCACTCCCGGCTCTGCCTCCTGCCTGCAGTCCCGCCCCTAGTGCATATCTGTGGCTCCGACCAGGCTTCCCTTCTCCACCCACTGGCTTCAAGACCCGCCACAGGTGTCATCCACTTCTCCAGCCTGTCCTGATCCGGCCCCCAGAAGCAATCTCTCCATTTTCTGAATTTTCGTAGCATTCTCTGTGCTCATCAAAGTCTACTTGTGTTTTGGGGTATGTCACTTTCCCCATTCAACCCTAGGACCTCTGAAGGGAACCTTCATGTTTGTATTCCTATAGCACCAGGACAGTGCCAGGCACAAGGAAGGTACAGCTTGCTCGCTCGCTCGCTCTCTCTCTCTCTCTCTATCTCTATCCCCCTCTTTCTCTCTCTCCTCTTTTTAAAGTGGAGACAGGGTCTTGCTTTGTCACCCAGGATGGAGTACAGTGGCACAATGAAAGCTCACTGCAGCCTTGACCTCCTGGGCTGAAGTGATCCTCCTGCCTCAGACTCCTGAGTAGCTAGGACTGCAGGTCCATATCACCATGCTCAGCTAACAGGATTCTTAAATGAATACAAATGAGCAGACCACACCCAGGCAAGAACCCGTGTTCTGAAGGCCTCAGGTATATCCCAGGACGAAGGTGTCTGAACAGGGATGCTCTCCTGTGGCTATACCCCACCCCCTGCACTTGTGGTTCCCTTGACTCCCTGCACTGCATTCAGTAGATGAGACCTCATCACCCACCTAGCTTGAAAGCTTGATTCTGAATTCGTCTGCATGTCTCCCTAGGTCTTCCTTGTAACTGTCCCCTGGCCACTGGGATCTCAGCGGACTCATTCCCAGGGCCTTGTTTTCAAGTCTTCCTTGACCAAAGGGTGGTTGTAGGATTAAATGAACTGTGGCTCAGCAAAATACCTGACAGCAGGCGTGCAATGCATTTTTCTTCTCTCCCTCCACACGTACAAGAGGAGAAAATGAAAAGGAAGTGCTGCGGAGGATTTTTAGGGCAAGGAAATTATGATCCTAGAATGCTGGACACATGGCGTCGTATATCTGTCCAAACCCATAGAATGTGCATGTGAACCGTAACATAACTGTGGCTGTGGGGATGATAATGTGGCGATGTAGCTTGATCCATTGTCACAAATGTACCACTCTGGTGGGGGGTGTTGGTAGTGGAGGAGGCTGTGCCTGAGTGTAGGAGAGGTGGTACATGGGCATTCTCTGTACCTTTTAATTTTGCTGTGAACCTAAAGTGGTTCTAAGAAAATAAAGTCAATGCTGGACACGTTGGCTCATATCTGTAATCCCAGCTGTATTCATTTTCATGCTGCTGATGAACACATATCCGAGACTGGGAAATTTACTAGAGAAATTTAATTGGACTTAGAGTTCCATGTGGTTGGGGAAGCCTCACAATCATGGTGGAAGACAAGGAGGAGCAAGTCCTGTCTGACATGGATGGCAGCAGGCAAAAAGAGAGCTTGTGCAGGGGAACTCCCCTTTTTAAAACCATCAGATCTTGTGAGATCCATTCGCCATCACAAGAACAGCACAAGAAAGACCCGACCCCATGATTCAATCACCTCCCACCTGGCCCCCCCCCGCCCCAACACGTGGGAATTGTGAGAGTTACAAGATGAAATTTGAGTGGGGACACAGAACCAAACTATATCATCAGCACTTTGGGAGACCAAGGCAGGAGGATAGCTTGAGGCCAGGAGTTCAAGAGTGGCCTGGGCAATAAAGTGTGACCTCCAACCTGGGCAATGTGGTGAGACCCCATCTGTTACAAAAAATAAAAATTAGCTAGGCGTGGTGGCACACACCTGTGGTCTCAGCTACTTGGGAGGCTGAGGTGGGAGGATCACTTGAGCCCAGGAGGTCGAGACTGCAGTGAGCCATGTTTGTGCCATTGCACTCCAGCCTGGGTGACAGAGCAAGACCCTGCTTCAGAAAAAAGAAAGTCTTTTTCAAAAATGCCAAGTGCTCCTCACGTGATACTAGGGAACCCAGTCCTGGTCAGGAGGGTAGCTTCCATCCTCTCTCCGATGAGGGACTGGCACCAGCAGGCCCCGTCCTCTGAAGAGCCATCCCTAAGGCTCCTGAGCCACTTTTTACCTGCTCCTGTGACTGTCACCCAGGACCAACAGGCTCCAGGATGTGCCACAGGAAGGTGTGTCCAGGTCATCCTGGAGACAGCAGAGTCCCAGGGAGGTTCAGGGCTTGCCACTGGAAGTGGTAACCTGTGCAGGCCCTGGGGCAGGACTGAGGTGTGGGCACAGTGACTCAGACTGCTCAGGTGACAGGCTTCAGGTCCTGCCCTTGCCCAGGACTCCTAGGCAGCCCCAATAGAGCAAGTTAATTGCAATTTAGCCTGGAGGGATTGCAAAATCCTGCTGCGATGGGCAAGGCCCTTGCAATCTGCGATGAACAATTGATGTTAACTGAACTGGAAGAGGGACAATCGGAGTGTATTCGGGAGACATGAGCCAGTAGGTCTTCCAAATCAGGGGACCCTTCCCAGCATTCATCCCTGAAACAAGCAGTCCTGCTCAGCACAGCCCCGTAAGAGCCGCATTCTTACGCTCCTCATTTTGTAGGTGGAGAGACAGACTCAGAGTCAGTAAGTACCTTGGCCAGGCTCACCAGTTCATAAAGGGGTGGCAGAAGGGTGTAACCTCCATCACCCCAGGCTGTCCCCCGCCCCAGGACTAACCCCTTTTCATCCTAAAGATGTGATGGGGACTATGTTTGATTTTTGTTTTTAATAATTGAATTTCTTCTTCGTGTTATTTAGTCCATTTTGGCATGTAGTGTACCTTTGTGCCAACTGCAGTGTAATTCATGAGTTAGAGGAGAGATATAGAAAATGCTGCGGGAAAACACCATCAGATGTGTTCATTCAGCCATTCGTTCCACAAGCTTCAGTGGTGAAGGCTCTGTGCTAGGGGCTGGGAATACAGGTGTGAAAAGACATGGTCCCAGTCCTCAAGAGCTCACCATTTAGCTAACTGTGTCACTAAAGTTGGAAAAACAAAGCCATGTGCCTCCTTTGGATAGTCACAATTTTATGTATCCAAATTCAAAAGGACGCTCTCAGCCTTAAGAGGGTTTTCAAGCCAAGGAATGCTCATTTGGTGTCCAAGGGCAGTGAAACCTCTGTGCGTGGATGCACGGGTGTGAAAGCTCGGAGTTTAGAAGAAGCTTGTGCCCGAGTACATTTTTATCCTCACAGTGAAGTTCAGGAATGATGACTTTGAACCCCTTTGCTGGGGTTTGACTTTTGTGTTTTGTCTTTTGAGTTTTGCTTCATGGACCTTGGATTTTAGAACTGAAAGGAAGCTTAGAAATTTCACCAGAGAGGTGCAAAACAAGGCAATGATTTGATGCAGAACAACCGCAGACAGAAGAAAAGGGGTGGGTGGCATCTTGTGACCTCTCCCTGGGCTGGGGTCTTCTTCTGGCTCGTTGCTGAGGGGTGCCAGGCAGCAAAGACCACTTGGCTGCAACTCTACTGACTGTGACACTATGTGAGTCTTGAGTTTCGGGAACCCCAGTCCCTGCATTTTTCATTCCTAGTGTTTGACCAGGATGGTGGGAAGAGGTTATGGTAACCAAAGAGGCTACCTGATATGTATGTCTCGTTATCATTACTAATCCTTTATTGCGCTAGATGTTTTAGAAGTATTTTCTAGACCCGGTGCAGTGGCTCACACCTGTAATCCCAGCACTTTGGGAGGCTGAGGCGGGCGGATCACGAGGTCAAGAGATGAAGACCATCCTGGCCAACATGGTGAAACCCCATCTCTACTAAAAATACAAAAATTAGCTGGGCATGGTGGTGCGTGCCTGTAATCCCACCTACTCAGGAGGCTAAGGCAGGAGAATTATGTGAACCGAGGAGGCAGAGGTTGCGGTGAGCTGAGATCACACCACTGCACTCCAGCCTGGTGACAGAGCAACCCTCCATCTTAAAAAAAAAAAAAAAAAGAGAAATATTTTCTAATTTGTTTTCAGAGCAATGTATAGGTAATTATGATTACTCTGATTCTGGGTATGAAAAAAAATGGGACTCTGGTTGATTGACATTTTCTCAAGGTTACACAGCTGGCAAACAGCCAGGTCAGGACTGGAGCCCACACCTGCGTGACTCTAAAGTGCCCACTCTTCTGTGCTGCAAGAGCCTCCCAACTATTCCTTAGGGTCATTATGTGAACATGTTGTGGGGGAAAGCACAACGTATTCATCATTCAGGGCTTAGTTCAGCAGCCACCCGCTTCCCTGACACCCTGGTCTGGGCTGGATGTCCCTCTTCTGCACTCCTGGAGTGCTGGGTGCATGCTTATCCCAGGAGCAGCTTTCCCCGCTCTGTATCCCAACACCTGCTACTGTCTGTCCCCTAATTCATGTGTAAGAAACATTTTTAACAAATAAATTTGACAAATAAATGATGAAATGAATAAGTGAGTAAATGAAATTATTTCCTCTTATTTCTCTATTTTTAGGCACGTGGGGCCTTTCAGGGTGGTAAGTGGGCACCTGCAGGCCATAGGAATCTGTCTACTGCTCAAGATTGCATTTATAAAATCAGACTTATTAAAGTATAATTTACAAACAATAAAATGCACCACTATTAAGTGTGCGATTTGATCACTTTTGAGAAGCATATGCAGGTGTGTAATGACCACAACTACCGCGATATGGAACATTTCCATCCACCAGTAGGTTTCCTCAAGCCCCTTTACAGTCAGTCCTCTCTCCCACATGCCCTTGCCCCTTGCAACCACTGATCTGCTCTTTACCATTATAACTTTATTGTTTCTAGAATCTCATATACATAGAATCACTCCCACTTAGCATAATGCTCTTGAGATTCAGCAATGTCCACGGTTTTTATTGCTAGCTAGCTTCCATTATGTGGATAGATAACAGTTTATTTACCAGTTGATGAACTTTCGGATTTTTTTGCAGTTTTGGACTCTTGTGCATAAAACTTCTACGAACATTGAAATACAAGTCCTTCTTTGGGCATACACTTTCATTTCCCCTGGAAAATGCCTATGAGTGAACAGGTTGGGTCATATGATAAACGTTTGTTTAATTTAGAAACTGTCAAACAGTTTTCTAAAAGGTACCACTTTCCATCCCTGCAAGAAGTTCGTGAAAGTTCTGTGTGCTCTGCAACCTCCCCAGCACTCGATATTCTCAATCTTTGAAGTTTTAGTCATTCTAAAGCATAGCGGTATCTCATTTTGCTTTTGGTTTGTATTTTCTTCTGGATAGCTAATGATGCTGAACAGTTTTTAAATACGCTTATTGGCTCTTCTTGTATCTTCTTTTGTCAAGTGTCCAAATCTTCTGCCCACATTTCATTGCATTTTTCTCTTATTATTGAGTTTTAAGATGATTGTTCTATAAAGAAACCTCTAGAATCTACCTAAATCACCTCCTTGAACTAATAATGGATTTAGCGTGCTTACAAGATACAAGAACAACACACAATTTTTTATACTTTAGTGAACTGTTGAAAATAAAAACTAAAAGCACAATATTTGCCTGGCAAGGTAGCTCACTCCTGTAATCCCAGCACTTTGGGAGGCCAAAGGAGAAGGATCAATTTGAGGCCATGAGTTTGAGACCAGCCTGAGCAACATAGTGACACGCCGTCTCTACAGAAAAGTTTTAAAAATAGCCAGGCAAAGTGGCATGCACCTGTACTCCTAGCTGCTCAGGAAGCTGAGGTGGGAGCATCACTTGTGTCCAGAAATTTGGGGTTACAGTGAGCTGATTGCACCACTGCACTCCAACGTAGACAACAGAAAGAGACCCTGTCTCAAAAGAAAAAAAAAGCACAATACCGTGTACAGTCACTTTTTAAAAGATTAAAATACTGAGGACATCAACAAAATGGGAGACCAGGAAGCTCCAGGCCCTTATTCTCCCATAAAATGTCAAATAAACAACTACAGACTGACTAAAATCACTTTATAGGAGCTCTAGAAACCAACCAAAGATCTGTAGCAACCAAGCGAATGCCAATCAGGAAAAAGCCACACTCAGAACGGTAGGAAATTCAGTGTTGTTTTTACTTGCCCATGCCTCACCCATGCAGTGAAGGCCAGAGGAACAGGACCAATTTTTGACTCTGTCCCTTGGGCCAGAAAGAGCAGGGTGGAAATTGTTTGTATAATTCTCGCCTATCTGTGGGATGTCCAAGAAACCAGCATCTGTCTCTCCTGCCTCAGATGGAAGGGTAGCATAGTTTGGAGCTTAGGCTGGAAGCATCAGAAGGAAGTGGGGTGTACCATGATGTGTGAAAACTGTAGGGGGACTGTAGATCTGAAGACAACTGTGAGCAAGAGATGATGGGCAGAGGAATACAATAGGCCATCTAAGGCTCTGAGAAGAAGCTGAGGTGGGACGCTTTGGAAAATTAAGACATTTGAAAGCAGCCAGAAGAAATGGGGAAATACACACACATAGGCCCAGGTAGGATGCATGCCCAGAAGACCTGAGCAGCCCTTAAGCCTTTACCCTGGGCTGATCTCTAGGTTCAGGGGCTTGAGAGTAAATAACTCTAGTCTTCAACAAGTGGAAGAGGTGTGCTTCAAACGTCCATCTGATTACAAGGCATACAGAGACACAGGCAAACATGGCCTATTCAAAGGAACAAAATAAACCTCCAGAAATAGTCACTGAGGAAACACACAGAGTACTTACTAGAAAAAGGCTTTAAATGACCATCTTAAAAGTGCTGAAAGAGTTAAAGCATGGGCAAAAAACTAAAGGAAATCAGGAAAACTATATATATAGCCATATATAGTTATATATATAGTAATATATATATAGTGGTGA
The DNA here is from genome assembly GCF_000001405.40 of Homo sapiens. NCBI lineage: Eukaryota > Metazoa > Chordata > Mammalia > Primates > Hominidae > Homo > Homo sapiens. The sequence goes on along the minus strand of NC_000008.11, from coordinate 10,752,404 downwards.
AAATAAAAATTAAAAAGCACAATACTTGCCAGGCAAGGTAGTATATATATATATATATATAGAGAGAGAGAGAGAGATATATATATATAGAGAGAGAGAGAGAGAGAATATATATATATATATATATACATACACACACACACTATATATATAGAGAATATATACATACTATATATAGAGAGAATATATATATATACTATATATATAAACAAAATTAGAATATAAACAGGGAGATAGAAATTATATATTTAAAAAAGAATTAAATTCAGGAGCTGAAAAATACTTAAGGGAATTCAAAAATTCACCAAAGAGGCTTAACTGTAGCCTAGAACAGAGGGGAAAGAAAGCAGACATTGAGTTTGAACACCAGTTATTTGAAATTATCAAGTCTGAAAACAAAAAGGAAAGAAAAAAGATGATAAAAAATAAAAAAATGAGCCTAAGGGACTTAAGGGACCTGAAGAAGTAGACCAATATACACATTATAGGAATTCAAAATGGAGAAGAGAGAAGGGGATAGATTATTTGAAGAAATAATGGCTGAAAACTTCCCAATTTTAAGGTAATACATGGAGATAAAAATCCAAGAAGCTCAAAGATTTTCAAGTAGGATAAACCCAAAGAGACCCACACCAGGATACATTATAATCAAACTGTTAAAAGTCAACAAATTTTGAAAGCAGCAAGAGAGCAATAACTTATAATGTACAAGGGATCCTCAATAAGACTACCTGTGGATTTCTTAGTGAAAAAAACCTTACAAGCCAAAAGGCAGTGGGATTATATATTTTAAGTTATGAAGTGGTGGGGGGAACTTATCAACTAAGAATTTAATCTCTCGCAAAACTATCCTTCAAAAATGCAGGTGAAATTAAAACATTTCTTGATAAACAAAAGCTGAGGGAGTTTATTACCACTAGACCTACCCTACAATAAACACTAAAGGGAGTCCTACAAGTTGAAATATAAGGATGCTAGACAGTAACTTGAAGCCATATGAAGTATAAAGTATAAGGGTAATACATGGAAAAATATAAAAAAGTTTAAATTATTTTAATTTTGGTTTTTAATTCTTTTTATTTTTTACAGGATTTGTAAGGCAACTTTATTAAAATAAATACAAATCTATAATAATGGATTTAGACTGGCCACAGTGGCTCACACCTGTAATCCCAGCACTTTGGAAGGGTGAGGCAGGTGGATCACCTGAGGTCAGGAGTTTGAGATCAGCCTGTCCAATGTGGTGAAACCCCATCTCTACTAAAAATACAGAAATTAGCTGAGCATGGTGGTGTGCACCTGTAATCCCAGCTACTCAGGAAGCTGAGACAAGAGAATTGCTTGAACCCAGAAGTTGCAAGTTGCAGTAGGCTAAGATCGTGCCACTGCACTCCAGCCTGGGTGACAGAGTGAGACTCCATCTCAAAAAAAAAAAAAAAAAAAAGGATATGTAGTATATACAAATGTAAGTTGTGACACCAGTAACACAAAGCGGGGAGTGGAGGGAGGATCTATAAAGGAGTAGAGTTTTTTTAATGTTACCGAAGTCAAGTTGGTATCAATTTAAGGTGCCATAACTCTAAATGTTATATTTAATGTCCACAATAACCACAAAGAAAATATCTAAGCTAGGTGCAGTAGTTCATTCCTGTAATTCCAACACTTAGGGAGGCTGAGGCAGGAGGATTGCTTGAGCCCAGAGTTCAAGATCAGTCTGTAGAAAAAAAAAATTATCCATGCATAGTGGTACATGCCTGTAGTCCCAGCTACTTGGGAGGCTGAGGTGGGAGGATTGCTTGAGCCCAGGAGGTTGAGGCTGCAGTGAGACATGACTGCACCACTGCACTATAGTCTGGGCAAAGAGTGAGACTCTGTGTATGCAAAAAAAGAAAATGAGAAGGGAATCAATATGTGCCACTACAAAAAGTCAACTAAACACAAAGTAAAGCAGTAATGGAAACGTGAGGGGCAAGAAAGCTGTAAGATATACAGAAAACAACAAAATGTCGAAAGTAGTGCTTTCTTATCACAAATTGCTTTAAATGTAAATGGATTAAATTCTCTAATCAAAAGACATAGAATGGCAGAATGGATTTTAAAAAAATAGAATCCAACTATGTGCTGTCCTCAAGAGGCACACTTTAGATCTCATGACAGAGACTGAATGTAAAAGGATGGAAAATGATATTCCATGCAAATAGCCAAAAGAGGGGAAAAGTTGGCTATAATTTTAAATACAATAGACCTTAAGTCAAGACACTGTTACATGAGACAAATAGGGACATTAAATAATAAAAGGGTCAGTTCACTAAAAAGATAGCAAAAACATAAAAAGTTAAATTATGTTTTTGGATTATGTTCTTAGATTATGTTCAGTTAGAACATAGGAAGTTCTAATGTTTGTACACAAACATTAGACCTCCAAATATATATGAAGCAAACATTGACAGAATTGAATGGAGAAATAGCCCTGCAATAATAGTAGGAAAATTCAGTACCCACTTTCAATAATGTGTAGAATATTGAAGATCAGTAAGGAAACAGATGACTTGAACAACAGTATAGACCAATTAGACATGAAAGACATATACAGATCACTCCATCCAACAACAGCAAACAGATTTTCCTCAAGTATGTATGGAACATTCTCCAGGAAAGACTGTATTTTAAGCCACATAACAAGCCTTAATGAATTTTCAAAGATTGAAATTATACAAAGTATTTTTTCTGAACACAGTGGAGTGAAACTAGGCAACAACTGCAAAAGGAAAACTGAAAAATTCACAAATTTGGGGAAATTAAACAACACATTCTTAAATGACTATTGGGTCAAAGAGGGAACACAAGGGAAACTATGAAAGATCTTAAGACAAAGATGAAAATACAACAACAAAAACTTACACAGTAAAAACAGTATTAAGAGGGAAATTGATGGTATAAATGCTTACACTAAAAAAGAAAAAAGGTCTCAGATCAGCAACCTAATTCTACACCTTACAGATCTAGAAAAAGGAGAGCAAACAAAACCCAAAATAAGAAGAAAGAAGAAAATAAAAAAGACTGGAACAGATACAAATAAAATAGAGAATAGAAAAACAGTAGATAAAATCAACAAAACCAGGTGTTGGTTCTTAGAAAAGGTCAATAAAATTGACAAATCTTTAGGTAGATTGACTAAGGAAAAAGAGAAAACACAAATCAGAAATGAAAGCAGGGACGTTCCACCAATTTTACAGAAATAAAAAAGGTTTATAAGAGAATAGTATGAACAAATGTATGGCAACAAAATGAATAACCAAGATGAAAAGGCACAATTCCTAGAAATACACAGCCTACCAGTACTGAATATGAAGAAATAGGAAATTTGAATAGAGCTACAACTAGTAAGGAGATTGATTTCATAACCAAACACCTCCCAATAAAGCCTGGGATCAGATGGCTTCACAGATGAATTCTGCAAGGTATTTAAAGAAGAATTAACACCAATTCTTCTTAAACTCCTCTGAAGGTTGAAAAGGGGGAAACACTTCCAAATTCATTCTATGAGTTTGGCGTTGCCTGATACCCAAGCCAGATTAGAACATAAAAAACTACACAATTGCATCCCCTTTGAATATAGATTTTAAAATGCTCAACTAGCAAACAAAATTCACCAGAATTTAAAATACTGCTGGGTATGATGTCACATGTCTGTAGTCCCTAGCTACTTGAGAGGCTGAGATGGGAGGATTCCTTGAGTCTAGGAATTTGACACTGTAGTGTGCGATGATCACACCTGTGAATAGCCACCATACCCCAGCTTGGGCAACAACATAGTGAGACCTCATCTCTAAAAAATAAAAAATAAAATACTAGCAGACTGAATTCAACAGGCTATTACAAGGATTCTACACCATGATCAGGTATGATTTATTCCTGAAATACAAAGAATGTTCAACATGTAAAAATCAAGGTAATTCACACATTAAAAGAATTAAGGAGGCCGGGCGCAGTGGCTCACGCCTGTAATCCCAGCACTTTGGGAGGCCGAGGTGGGCGGATCACGAGGTCAGGAGATCAAGACCACCCTGGCTAACACGGTGAAACCCCGTCTCTACTAAAAATACAAAAATTTAGCCGGGTGTAGTGGTGGGTGCCTGTAGTCCCAGCTACTCAGGAGGCTGAGGCAGGAGAATGGTGTGAACCCGGAAGGCGGAGCTTGCAGTGAGCCGAGATCATGCCACTGCACTCCAGCCTGGGCGACAGAGCGAGAGAGACTCCGTCTCAAAAAAAAAAAAAAAAAAAAAAAAAAAAAAAAAAGAAGGAGAAAAATGTAATCATCTCAACTGATGCAGAAAGAGCATCTGATACAAATCAACATTCTTGATTTAAAAACAATTAACTGGAAATAAAAGGAAACTACCTTAATATACTAAAAGCCAAATATTTATATAAGCCCCATAGCCAACATCATACTCAGTGGTAAGAGACTAAAAGCTTTTTCTCTAAAATCAGGAGCAAGACAAGGATGACCACGCTCACCTCTTCTACTCAACATAGTACTATAAGTTGTACCCAGAGCAATTAGGCAAGAATTGGGGGAATAGAAAGCATTCAAATAGGAAAGGAAGACATAAAGCTATCTCTATTCACAGGTGACATGACCTTATAGTGTAGAAACCCCTAAAGATTACACACACACACACACAATAAGAAATCTTCTGCAACTAAGAATTCAGCAAAGTTGTAGGACACAAAATCGACATGCAAAAATCAGTTGCATTTCTATTCACTAACAAGCAACAACCTGGAGAAGAAATTTAAAAAATTTCCCTTTACAGTAGCATCAAAGGGGTAAAATACTTAGGAATAAACTTAACCATGTAGATGAAAGACTTGCACAATGGAATCTACAAAATGTTACTGGAGAAAATTAAACACACAAATGCATGGAAAGACATCCCACATTCATGGCCTGGAAGACGATATTGTTAAGCTGTCACTACTACCCAAAGCAATCTACAGATTCAATGCAGTCCCTGTCAAAATCCCAATGTCAGTTTTTTATAGAGATAGAAAAATCCATGCTGAAATTTTTATGGGACGTCAACAGTCCTTGAATAGCTAAAACAATCTTGAAAAAGGAGAACAAAATTAGAGGTCTTACACATTCTTTTCAAAATGTACTACAAGCTATGGTGATCAAAACAATGTGGAAATGGCTCGAAGAGAGACATAGAGCCCAATGGTATAGGAATAGTCCATAAAGAAATCCTTACATTTATGGTCAAATGATTTTCAACAAGGGTGCCAAGATGGTTCTATGGAGAAAGGACAGTCTTTTCAACAAATGTTGGGAAAACTGGTGCTAGGGTTTAAATGTGTCCCCAGAAGTTTATTTGTTGAGATTGTAATTGCCAGTGTAACAATATTAAACGGTAGGACCTTTAAGAGGTGGTTGGGTTCTGAGGGTGGAGCCCTCAAGAATGAATTAATTCTTATGAGAGCAGATTCTTATAAAAGTAAGCTTTACTTGATCTTGTGATCTGTCTTGTGCTTGCTTTTGCCCTCTGCCTTTCTGCCATAAGATAACCCTCACCAGATGCCAGTGCAATGCTCTTGGATTTCCCAGCCTCTAGAACTGTAAGGAATAAATTTATTTTCTTTAAAAGTACCCAACATGTGGTATTCTTTTATAGCAACAAAAAAATGAACTAAAACCACTGGCTATCCACATGCAAAAAAATAAATTTGGACCTTTGCCTTACACCATATACAAAAGTTAACTCAAAATGGATGAAAGATCTAAATGTAAGAGCTGAAACTACAATACTCTTAGAAGAAAACACAGGGGGAAAATTTATGACATCAGATCTGGCAGTGTTTTATTGGACAGGACACCAAAAGCACAGGCAAAAAAAGAGAAAATACATAATAAGTTGGAGTTGTCAAAATTAAGGATTTTTTTTTTTTTGAGACAAGGTCTCGCTCTGTTGCCCAGACTGGAGTGCAGTGGCACAATCTCAACCTCCTGAGCTCAAGCAGTTCTCTCACCTCAGCCTCTGAAGTAGCTGGGACTGCAGGCACATGCCATCACACCCAGCTAGTTAAAATTAAGAACCTTTGTGTATCAAAGGGCATTATCAAGAGAGAGAAAAGACAACCCCTGGGATGGGGGGAACTATTTGTAAATCATATATCCAATAAGGGATTGATATTGAGAATATATACAGAACTCCTACACCTCAACGACAACAACAAAAAATGATTTAAAAATGGGCAAAGTACTTTAATAGACATTTCTCTAGAGAAGATACACAAATGTCCAATAAGCATGTGAAAGGATGTTCTACATCACTAGTCATTAAATGCAAATCAAAAGATACCATTTCACACCTACTAGAATGGCTACTATCAATAAAAGTGTTGCCAAGGATGTGGACAAATTGGAACCCTTGTGTATTACTGGTGGGAATGTAACGTGGTGCAGCCACTATGAAAAACAGTATGACAATTCCTCCCAAATTAATTACCATATGATTCCACTTTTAGGTATATGCACAAAAGAAGTGAATGCAGGGACTTGAATAGATATTTGTACGCCTATGTTCCATAGCAACATTTTTCACAATAGCCAAAAGGAGGAAGCAACGTATGCCTCTATGGACTGATGAATAAATTAACAGTGTGGCATATACATACAATAGAATATTATTCAGCCTTCAAAAGGAAGGATATTCTGACAAGTCACACAAGAATGAGTCTTGAAGACACTATGTTAAATAAATAAACCAATAAAAAAAGACAAATCCTGTATGACTCCACATATATATATATTCCCTAGAGTGGTCAAATTCATAGAGGCAGAAAGAATGGTAGTTGCCAGGGTCTGGGAGGACAGAGAATTGAAGAATTATTCAATGGGTGCAGAGTTTCAGTTTGAGAAGATGAAAGAGTTCTGGAGGTAGATGGTGGTGATGGTTGCACAACAGTGTGATTGTACTTGATGCCACGGAACTGTACATTTTTAAATTGTTAAAATGATAAATTTTGTGTATTTTGCCACAATAAAAAAATTAAATACTTAGGTTTACACCTAATACGACATGAATAGGATATGTATGTGGAAAACTAAACAATGCCTTTCACATGCTTACCTGCCATCTATATATCTTCTTTGGTGAGATGGCTTTTGACCATTTTAAAATCAGTAGTTTATTTTCTTATTGGATTTTAAGAGTTGAGTTTTAAGAGTTCTTTGTTTATTTTGGATAACAGTCCTTTATCAGCCATGTCTTTTGCAAATATTTCCTCCCAGTCTGTGGTTTGTCTTCTCGTGCTCTTGATGCTATTTTTCTCAGAACAGACGTTTTTAATTTTAATGAAGCCCAGCTTATCAAGTTGTTCATTTATGGATCATGCTTTTGGTGTTGTATCTAAAATGTCATTGCCAAACCCAAAGTCATCTAGATTGTCTCCTATGTTATCTTCTACAAGTTTTATAATTTTGTGTTTTACATTTATGGTGGATCTTAGCTCACTGTAACCTCCACCTGCCAGACTCAAGCGATCCTCCCACCTCAGCCTCCAAGTAGCTGGGACTACAAGCACAAGCCACCACATCCAGCTAATTTTTTGTAGAGACAGAGTTTCACCATGCTTGTGTTTTACATTTAGATCTATGATACGTTTTGTGTTAATTTTTGTGAAGGGTATAAGTGTCTGTGTCTGGATTCATTTTTTGATTGTTTGTTTGTTTTGCATGGGGAGGTTCACTTGTTTTAGAATTATTGAAAAATCTCTTCTTTCTCCGTTAAATTGTCTTCACTTCTTTGTCAAAGATCAGTTGACTATATTTCCATAGGTCTGTTTCTGGGTTTCCTATTCCATTCCACTGATACATGTGTCTGTTCTTTCACCAATACCACACTGTCCTGATTACTATAGCTATGAAGTTAGTAAGTCTTAAAGTTGGATAGTATCAGGCCTTCACTTTGTTCTTCTTCAATATTTTGTTGGCTATTCTAGATCTCTTGCCTCTTCAAATAAACTTTAGAATTAGTTTGTCAATATCCACAAAGTAACTTACTAAGATTTTGATTGAGATTGCAGTGAATCTAAAAAACAAGTTGGAAGAAACTGACATCTTAATAATATTATCTTCCTATCCATGAAATGAGAATAGCTCTCCATTTGCTGAATTCTTCTTCGATTTCTTTCATTACAATGTTGTAATTTTCCTCATATAAATCTTGTATAATTTATTTTGTTAGATTTATAATTAAGTATTATGGTGGGTTTTTTGGTGCTGATGTAAATAGTGTTGTGTTTTTAATATCAAATGCAAATTGTTTATTGCTGCATACGGGAATACAATGGAATTTTGTATATTAACCTTGTATCTTGCAATCTTGCTATAATTGCTTGTGAGTTCCAGGTGGTTTTTTTGTCGATTCTTTGGGATTTTCTACATAGGCGATCATGTCATTTATGAACAAAGACAATTTTATCTTTTACTTCTCAATCTGTATACCTTTTATTTTATTTTCTTGTTTTGTTGCATTAGCCATCTTCTAACACAATGTTGAAAATAGTAGTGAAAAGGATTACCCTTGCCTTGTTTCTGATATTGACAGGAAGGCATCTAGGTTTTCACCATTAAGTGTAATGTTAGCTGTATCATTTTTGTAGATGTTCTTTGTCAAATTGTGAGTGTTCTTCTGTTTCTTGTTTCCTGAGATTTGTTATCATGAATGGGTACTGGATTTTGTCAAATGCTTTCTCTGTATCAATTGGTTCAGTTTATCTAGGTTATCAAATTTGGGGACATAGAGTTGTTTATAATTTTTTATTATGTTTTAATGTCTATGGAGTCAATAGCTATTTCTTCTTTTATTTCTGATATTAGCAATTTCTGTCTTCTCTCCCTCTTTCTTAGTTAGCCTGGGTAGAAATTTAGCAATTTTATTGATCTTTTCAAAGAACCAGCTTTCCGTTTCAATGATTTTTTTCTATTGATATTTTGTATTTAATTTTATTGACTTATGATCTAGTTTTTAATATTTTATTTTATTTTGCTTACTTTGAGTTTAATTCACTCCTCCTTTTCTCATCTCCTAAGGTGTAGGCTTACACTATTGACTTTAGTTATTTCTTCTTTTCTAAAGTACGCATTCAATATTATAAATTTCATTCTATGTACTGTTTTCTGTACTTTCCATGAACCTGGATAAGTTGCGTTTTCATTTTTGTTTAGTACAAAATATTTTAAAATTTTTCTTGAGATTTATTTTTTTGACCCATGTGTTATTTAGAAGCATGGTGTTTAATATCCAAGTGTTTGGGGGATTTTCCAGCTATCCTTCTGTTATTGGTTTCTAGTTTTACTTCATTGTAGTCTGAGAGCATACATTGCATGGCTTCTCTTCTCCTAAATTTGTTTAAGTGTATTTTATGGCCCAGAATGTACTCTATCTTGGTGAATGTTCCATGTGAACTTGAGAAAAATGTGTATTCTTCTGTTTTTACGTGAAGTAATAGATAGATGCCAAGTATAGCTAGTTGATTGAAGGTGCTATTGAGTTCAGCTATGTCCTTACTGATTTTCTGCCTGCTGAGTCTGTCCATTACGGAGAGAGAATGTTGAAGTCTTCAACAATAATCCTGGATTCATCTATTTCTCCTGGACATCTATCAGTTCACTGCATGTAGTTTGATACTTTGTTGTTAGGTACATATACATTAAGGATTGTTATGTCTATTTGGAGAAATGACCCATTTATTATTATGTAATGCTTGTCTTTATAGCTGGTAATTTTTCTTGCTCTGAAGTCCATCTGAAATTAATATAGCTACTCTAGATTTCTTTTGCTTAGTGTTAGCGTAGTATATCTTTCTCTTTTTACTCTATCTGTATCTATATATTTAAAGTGGGTTTTTTCCAGACAAGTTATAGTTAGGTCTCATTTTGTTTTGTGACAAGTCTCTTACATTCTCTGTCTTCTAGTTGGTGTATTATATAGTTTGGATATTTATACCCACCCAAATCTCACATCGAGATGTAATCCCTAATGTTGGAGGTAGTGCCTGGTGGAAGGTGATTGGATCATGGGGGTAGATTTCTTGTGAATGGTTTAGCACCATCCACTTGGTGCTGTCCTCATAATAGTGAGTGAAGTCTCCTGAGACCTGGTTGTTTAAAAGTACGTGGCACTTCCCCTCCTTCTCTCTCTCTTGCTCCTGCTTTTGCCATGTCATGTGCCTACACCCACTTTGCCTTCCACCATGATTGGAAGCTTCTTGAAGCCTCCCCAGAAGCTGATGCTGCTATGCTTTCTGTACAGCTTGTAGAACCGTGAACCAAATGAACTTATTTTCTTATTAATTACCCAGTCTCAAGTATTTCTTTACAGCAATGTGAAAATGGCCTAATACAGTGTATTTGGAACATTGACACTTAATATGATTATTGATATAGGTGAATTAATATGTACTATATTTGTTACTGTTTTTCATTCGTTGCCCCTATTCTTTGTTTCTATTTTTGTCTTTCACTCTTTTTATGCCTTTTGGGGTTTTAATTAAGCGTTTTTTAGATTTCATTTTTCCTCCATCCTTTAATTACCTTTTTTTTTTTTTTACTTTCTTAATGGTTGCCCTAGAGTTTGTAATATACATTTTACAATTAATTCAAGTGTACCTTCAAGTAACACTGTACTGCTTCACAGATAGTGTAAGTACTTTATAATAAAGTATTTCTGACTTCTGCCTCCTGTCTATCATTGCTGTCATTCATTTCACTTATCCATAAGCTATAATAATCACTGCAATACATTGTTATTTTCATTACTTTGAACGAACTGATTATCTGTTGGCCAGGTGTGGTGCCTCTTGCCTGTAATCCCAGCACATTGGGAGGCTGAGATGGGAGATCACTTGAGCCTAGCAGTTTAAGACCAGCCTGGGCAACATAACGAGACCCTGTCTTTGCAAAAAATAAAAAAATTAACCAGGCGTGGTATTGTACACCTGTGGCCCCAGCTACTTGGGCTGCTCAGGTAGGAAGATCACTTGAGCCCAAGAGATTGAGGCTGCAGTGAGTCATGAATGCACCGCTGCACTCCAGACAGGGTGACAGAGTGAGACCCTGTCTCAACGGAAAAAAAACAAAAAAAGAAGAAGAAGAAAAATAAAAATACGTTTTAATTTTGCCTTCACTTATTCCTTCTTTAATTGTCTTTCTCCATGCAGATCTGAGTTTCTAACCTATATAATTTTCCTTCACTTTGAAGAACTTCTTTTAACATTTCTTGCAGGGCATATCTACTAGTGACAAATTCCCCCGATGTTTTATTGATCTGAGAAAATTTTTATCCTCTACTTTTAAAGGATAATTTTGCTAGATACAGAATTCTAGGTTGGTGGGGTTCTCTTTGGACGCTTAAATTTTTTCATTCTACTCTCTTCTTGCTTGTATGGCTTTGAAGAGATCCAATGTAATGATTATCCTTATAGGATAGTTAGGAAGATGATTTTTTTCCTCTGGTTTCTTTCCAGATTTTTTTCTTTGTCTTTATTTTCCATGACTTGGATACAATATGCCTACATGTCATTTTTGGCATTCATGCTATTTGGTGTTTTCTGACTTTCCTGAATATGTGGTTTGGGAAGTTCTCCGTCATTATTGCGTCAAATATTTCTTCTGTTCCTTTTGCTCTTTGGTCTCCTTCTGGTATTCCCATTGTGTGTATGTGATGTGTAATTGTCCCACAGTCGGTGGATATTCTGTTCCATTTTTTTCTCAGTCTTCTTTGTTTTTCAGTTTGGAAAGTTTCTACTGGCATATTTTAAAGATCATTGATTCTTTTTCAGCCATGTCTAGACTACTAATAAGCCCATCAATGGCATTCTTCATTTCTGTTACAGTGCTTTTTATTTCTAGCACATCTTTTGGATCCTTTCTTAGAATTCTCGTCTCTCTACTTGCATTACCAATATGTTATTTCATGTTGTCTACCTTTCCATTAGAACCCTTAGCATGTTAATCATAGTTATTTTAAATTTCCAGTCTAATAATTCCAACATCCCTGACATATCTGAGTTTGATTCTCATTCTCTGTTTCTCTAAACTGTGCTGTTAGCCATTTAATATGCCTTGTCATTTTTTGTCATAAGAGGAACCTGGTACTGACTCCTGTGGACGTTTCTGCTCACGGGTTTGTTGTGATTCTCGGTATCCACCTTTTTGTCTCTTCAATCATAGGGTGGTGGCTTGCTTTATGACCTGAATTATTTGATGGAGCTAAGAAGACTTGTCAATTTTCAGTTTGTTCAACTTTTTCTCTTGTTGTTAGGATGGGATTAACGATCTCCAGTCTCCATACATGCTGGACTGGGTATAAAAAATCTCATCCTTTTACCTTTAGCTAATCTGTGTCTTGTATTTAAAGTGGATTTCTTTAAACCATCATATAACCATATAGTTCTATCCTGCTTTTTCTTAAAATCCAATCTGACAATCCCTGCTTTTAAATGGAATATTTAGGCCATAAACATTTAGTGTGGTCATAATTATGGTTGTGTTTTAATCCAACATCTTACTATTTGTTTTTTATTTGTCTCGTCTATTCTTTGCTTCCTTTTCATCTTTTTCTGTCTTGGATAGATTTGATTAATTGAGAATTTTATTATTCCATTGTATATACCTCAATGGCATATTAGCTCTTTTTAAAAAGTGGTTGCTCTAACGTTTACAGTATACATCTTAAATGGTCAACCTATCATCAAATTATGTTATACCACTTCACATATATATACAAGAACCTAACAAAAATATATTTTCATTTCCCTCCTCCTGATCTTTGTGCTATTGTTGTCATAAAATTTTACTTCTATATATGCTGTAAATTCAAAAATATATTATTTCTGCTTTAACAACCAATTATATTTTTAACAGATTTTAAAAATATAAAAAAAGTATTTTATGTTCACCAATTCCCTTGTGTGTATCCAAATTTCCATCTATATCACTATCCGTTGCCTCAAGGACTTCCTTCAACATTTTCCATGATGTTGGTCTGCTAATGAATTCACTCAGCTTTTGTGTGTTTGAAAAGTCCTATTTGGCTTTTATTTTATAAAATAATTTTGCTAGGTGTAGAATTCTAGGTTGAGTGGTTTTTAAAATTTTTTCTTTCTGTACTTTAAAAAATGTTATTCCATTGTCTTCTGGATTGCATAGTTTCAAGCATGAAGTCTGTTTTAGTTTTTATTTTTTCCTTCTGTATGTAATGTGTCCTTTTCCCTCTAGTTGCTTTCAAGATTTTCAGCAATTTCATTATGATGTGCCTTAGTATGGTTTCCTTTCGTTATTTTTTTTCTTTTTTTGTTTTTTTTTGTTTTTTTTTTGGTGGGGGATTGTTGGGCTTTTTGAATCTGTGAATTTATAGTTTCCATTAAATTCAAAAAACATTAAGCCATTATTTTCCCAGATATGTTTTTCTAATCTCTCCCTTTTCTTCTGAGCCTAACTACTTTTATGTTAGGCCACTTAATATTGTCTCACAAGTTGTTACTTCTATGTTAATTTTCAGTCTTTTTTCTGTTTTTCCTTTTGGATTGTTTATATTGGCATGTTTCTTGTTTACTAATATTTTATTTTGCAATGTCTTATCTACTATTAATCCTCTGTAGGGTATTTTGTATCTCAAATATTCTACCTTTCAAATTTTGATTTGGCTCTTTTTTTTTTAGATCTTTTACATCTTGTTTTCAAGAACTGTGATCTTGTTTTCCTCTACCTTCTTGAACACAAGGAGTATATTTAAAATAACTTTTTTAACATCCGTATCTGCCAATTCCATCATCTTTGTCATTTCTGGTGCTGTTTCTATTGACTGATTTTCATCCTGGTTGTGGATTGTATTTTCCTATTTCTTTTTCCATCAGACAGTAGTCTTCTGAGGATACTACCTGATGTCCCATGTATTAGGAGGTCTTTCCACCTTGTCTTGTGGGAACAGAAACTCTTTCTGTCCTGGTATGAGCTCAGGAAATTAGTCCACCTAATTTTTTTCCAGTGATTCTTTCCATAGCCTTCGGATTTTTTTCACATACATGTGCAGATCATTGTCAGGCAAAAATTCAAGGAGACCTCTCTTTAGATCTCTGAAGCCTTCTGTCTATGCAGACTCTTCTCTGCTTCATCCTCTCTCAGCTCAGAACTTTGACTTTTCAACTCAGCAACACCCTGGTTTCTGTTTTAGTTCCCCTTCCCTGCATCATGGCCTGGAGACCTTCTCCAGACAATGATCAGGGGCACGTATTGGGTTCACCTCATTTGTTTCTCTTTTCCAGAATTACTGTGTGCACTGTCTGTTGTGCAGTGTCTGAAAACTCAGACATTGCTTAGTTTTGTATTGGTTTAAGGTGGGGCGTTAATCTGATCCCTGTTACTCCATCATAAGCAGAAGTGGAAGTTTTTATAATTTAAAACTTACTTTCTTATATGTGATGTTGTTTGTTTGGATCCAACTTCATTTCAGTCAAGCCCTAAATCCCATGGATTATGGGCTTAATTAAGCAATGAATGATATTTTGGAGAGAGCCTTGAATGGAGTCATTTTGCCAGGTCTGTCACTCGCCACCTGTCATTTCATTTCTATGAGCCTCAGTTTCTCATCTACACAATTAGGGTGATAATCAAATACCTTCCCAGCTTACCTTATAAGGTGTTTGAAAATGAAATGAGATGGTATGTGTAAGAGCACCTTAAAACTTATATTTACACAGGTAAACAAGACTGTGATTAGTACTGCTCCACATAATATGTGAACTAGATCCAGTGTCAGAAACGTAGGGGATGACGGCTATTAAGAAGCCAGTTGAAGAAGGGCTTAGAACCCATTTTCTCTACCTGCACTGAAATTCTTTTCAAAATATCCTTGACAAATCCCTCTGATCAAACCCTAAAAATTCGAGTTCCAAATATAGACACATCACTCATTAAGCTTTTTTTCAAATAGAACTTCAATGCCCAGCTCCGGCTCTATCCTTTAAATTGCTTTATATTTCTAAGTACATCTTGTGCCTCAACATTCTCCGTCTCAAAAATGAAATTACTATACTCCTATTTCTATTAGTTTCTTTTGAGGAACTTTGAAAAACCTTTCAAAGGTATGGCATTGTGTAAGACTTCGTTTAAGTGTGTGGAAAAAGAAGGTGCACTTCTTTGCCCTGACATTGGCCTTGGGGTGGGAAAGAGCGTTATGAGTTACAAAGGTAGCTACTTTGTCTGTTATAAACCTCTGGTGTTCTCACTTCCACCATCTCACACATACACATACCTCATGGTTTTAAAACACAGCCACAATTCTGTGACACTCCCCACTTTAAGAGGTGGAGGGCTATATTTCCTCTGGTTAAATCTAGACATGCTTGTGACTGCTTTGACCGACAAATATGGGTTAGAGGTGATGTTATGTGACTTCTGAGCCTAAGTCTTAGAAGGCCATTTAGGCTTTGGCTTGTTTATGGGAACACTCATTCTTGGCATCCCAAGTTGACATATCAGATTTACTCTGAGGCCACCATGCTAAAAAGGAAGCCAAAAATATATGGAGAAGCCATGTGTAGACATGCCACAACTTAGCCCAGCCTTTGAGTCACCCCTCCTCTGATGCAAGACTTGTGGGTGAAGAAGCCTCCAGATAATTCTAGCTTCTGGCCATTCAGGTGACTTCTAGTTGTTCACGTCTTTCCAGACTCAGACACAGTGAAGCAGACACAAGCCATACTCAAATTTTCCATTAATGTACTATATTTTAAACCAGAATGGTACTCAGTCCCTGCTCTTAGGGAGCTTACAACTTAGTGGTAGGGAGCCTTAGAAATATCAGGACTCGCAAAGCCTGTTACTCGATCTGAGTGCTGCTTATGTGGTGTGTTCACCTGGCTAAAACTCCATGCACTTCTCTGTAGATACACATTTTATCTTACAAACAAAACTTCTCTTCAACACACATTTTATCTTACAAACAAAACATAGTAGTTTGAAATCCACACATTAAAGCAATCTCATAATCTAAACAAATACGAAGTATCTTCAACTTCTCACACTGGAATTGTTGGCTGATGACAGAATTCTCTGTCATGACATCTCTATTTAGGCTGTCTCATCATTAGCCTGATCCTATTTACCCAGAAGTCAGACGTGTGTACAGAGGTCCTAAGAAAAAGCTTATTTTCCATGTTGTATTATTATGGGTGGTTTCTAATCAGTTTCACTTCTTCATCTTAGACATTTGGAAAAGAAGAGGCAATAGGATAAAAAGAAATAAATATCCCCTTAAACCAACTGCTAATTTATCTTGTAGTTTGTTAATTTTTCTATTGAAATTTGTCTGAAAGTCTAGCTTCTGACCCATTAAATAAAGATCATTTCTATGCAGTAATCTGACACACCTACCCCCTTAAAGGAAACCTGATAATTGTTCAGAGTGGAGTGGAAGAAAGTTATTGTAGAAAAAGGGTGTTCTTGGCTTGGGACTCACGTCCCTCAGTGCTAGGGAGAAGCAAACACAAATCACAGACTGAGCATTAGATTATCTCGGTGCTATCCAAGTGGACAAAACGTGACAAGTCCTTCATCTCTCGGGGCCTCACTGAGGCTCCGGATCCTGTGAGTTAACCAGTGAAGTGACTTGCTAAAATGTGCGCAGACAGTAGTGGCAGGTTGGACTGGCCTTGTGGCTTCTGGTTCCAAGTCAGTGTTCCTCCCACCACGGAAGTTTTAGGTATTATCCGCTGGAAACATGATTCATCAGAGACAAGTGGTGGGTTAGGGGTGCTCACAAGCGTGTGTGTACAGGGGGGCCGCTGTAGTAACCAGGAATGCCTGACCCGGGGAAACTGTACCTTAGTAATTTAAGCAACTACAAAAAGGTTTTGATATTATAAGGGGTCTACACTACCCACATCCAGGAGCATTCTAGTCTGAAAACAATATTCCTTGTTCCCTAGGTTCATATGGAAAAGCTACTGGACCTTAGATTCTGTGAAACTGACCTAATGTCCTTGTGTTCTGCCTGCTTCAGTCAGCGCAGTGAAACTGCAGGTGTACATCTTAAATACCTGCTCGGTGTGTGTGTGTGTGTGTGTGTGTGTGTGTGTGTGTGTGTGTGTGACAGAGTTTTGCTCTTGTTGCCCAGGCTGGAGTGCAGTGACACGATCTTGGCTCACTGAAACCTCCGCCTCCCGGGTTCAAGCAGTTCTCCTCCCTAGCCTCCTGAGTAGCTGGGATTACATGCGCGCGCCACCACACCTGGCTAATTTTTGTATTTTTAGTAGAGGCGGGGTTTTACCGTGTTGGCCAGGCTGGTCTCGGACTCCTGACCTCAGGTGATCCGACCGCCTCGGCCTCCCAAAGTGCTGGGATTACAGGCGTGAGCCACCGTGCCCGGCCAATCCCTGCTGTTTTAATCACAGTTATTCTGAATTAGGAACTTGGTGGGTTTCTCTTCGATGACTATGGAGAGATTTCCGTGGGTTGAACAAGGAACTCCACTACAGCGTCTTGTAGAAAACCCGAGCTGCAGATTCCTGGACCCCGCACGGCGCGGGAGGCGGGGCTGGCAGGCCTGGCCGGGTCTCCCCTCTCTGCAGCCCGCACCTCGGCCGTGGCCAGCAGGGTTTGGCCCCTTGCTTTTCACGTTACCTTGTTCAGGACACGCCTTAAACTGAAGGCACCCTGTGGATGAGGAAAGGCGCAGTGGAACTTCCAGAGACCAGGCTAGAGGGGGCGCAAAGCCAGGAGGCGTCGCAGCGGCTGGTTAGAAGCACTTCCCTCGAGCTGGGGCACTACCGGGGCGCACAGGAACCTGGTAGTCCAGGCGTGAGGTCAGGAGCCGTGCGCTGGGGTCTGTGCTCTGGCCTTTGTAGCCGCAGCCTCACCCGCCTTGTATGGGAAATGGCTCAGTCCTAAAACTCTGGGCCTTCTGCTTCGAGGGTTGTGTGGAGGCGGGGATGAGCCAGTGAATGGGAACCTGCTTTGCAAAGACTGCCAATCAAGTACAGACAAATCAGCGTGATCAAAGATGGTGATGATAATGACTTCAACCTCTAGCCTGGTGTGAGGAACTAAAAGCAACCACAGAACACTTGCACCCAACGCCTGCGGGCGCTGCCGCGGGCCTCCGGAGCATGCGCGGTGGCTCCGCCCAAGGCAGGCCGTGGGCCCGGGACGCGCCTGGTCCGGTTCAGAGCTCCGGGTTCGCGGCGGGTTCGGAGCAGGTGCCAGGGGTACCGTGGCGGGATTGCCCTCTCCCTCCCCCTCCTTCTCCCCCTCCCCCTCTTCCTCCCTCTTCTCCTCCCCCTCCCTCTCCCCTTCCCCCCAGGGCAGCTGAAATTCCTCCGTTTGGAATAGAATAAGAACAGCTCCTGGAGAGGAAAGTTGTGGAGGCCCGACTTTTTTTTTTTTTTTTTTTTTTTTTTGGTTTTCGCCCACTCACGATTTCATATTTCACAACTCAGAAAAGTCTACTAGGAGCTTTTACAAACACTGTGTCAGCCACCTTGTATTATCCCCATTTTACCGGTGAAGAAACTGAGGCCGATAGTAGTTAAGTCAGTTATCAAAATACAAGTGAATTGCAGGAAATTGGAATTGGGGATTTCTGGCTTCGGGCCCTGTGTCCTTGGAAACCAGTGTTCACAGAACTACCGAGCTAAACGGACAGAGAAGGGGGTCGGGGAGAAAGGAGGGAAGGAAAAGAAAAGAAAGAAGGAAGAAAGAGAACATCTTTTAAGAGAGTGCAGTTCAGGTGACTCACGCGGGAGGAGTGAGCTGTGGTGGTGCCGCCAGGCCGGCTGCGTGGAGCACGCGCGGTGTCCAGTGCGCCCCGCGTCACCACACCCGGCCCTGCCTCTCCGCCTCTGCTTGGCGGCCCCTGCAGGAACCCCCAACCGGTCCTGCTGCGGGTCAGAGCCCCGCAAGATCCGGCCCGGTAGCCCTGGGCCTCGACCTTTCTCCTCCAGGTCTTCCAGGGTCCGCGCCGTGATGATTCGCCGCACCTAGCCTCGACCCAAGAGCCGCTGGACCCACCGCTGGCCGCGGCCCCGAACCCAGCGCTGGCGACAGCAAGTGTCGGGATGCCAGGGCTGGCGCCCTCCCCCTCTAGCTCAGCCCTCCGAACTCCAGGCTTTGGGGTCGCGTAGGGTCGGCGCGGAGCTCTAGGACTGAAGGTCGCAGTGACCAGAGAATCGGCGAGGTTATGGAGACCCCGCGTCCCTTGGCGTCGCCTGCACCAGGGCGCGCTCGCTTACAGTTGCCAAGGTGCATAAATGCGTCGACGCAAGGGAATGAAGGAATGGAGCGAGCGAGCCCGGCTACCGCGGTGCTGACAATTTCCAAGCCCCGGGCGGCGCCCGCGTCAGCGCTGGGAAGGTTAATGTTCACCTCCTGGACAGCCCAGGCTTGCAAGCTCGCTGCAGAGGAAAAGCAAGAAACTAAACAAGTGCAGACAATAATCACAGCACGTATTCTCTGGCCCCGTCCCCGTTGTTTTCTCTGTTGTTGCCATCGGTGTCTGGGATCTAACTTGACCATTCCGTGTTCCCTGGGGAGGGCGCATCTTCCTAACCTGGTGCCCGGGCGCGGCCCCACGGCTTTCGCGCTCTGCTCTGGGGCCTTGCAGGGAGGGTGCTACGGGCTGCGGCCGGGAGTGGGGACGCCCGTCGTCGGGAAGGGGGCGCTGTCCCCTCGTGGCCTCCGACCCTGCAGAGCACTGCCACCGCCCTGGAGCTCAGTAGGGTCAGAAAGTGTCGGGGACGAGCTCTTCCCGGGATCCTCCGCCGCCGCTCAATCCCCCCGTGGGACCCTCTTTCTCCCCTTTCTCAAATAGCTCCCTTCTCCTGGCCGGGCGCGGCCCTGGATCCCACGAGGCGCACTCTGGCCTAAGGGTTTTGCTGGAGGCATATGCGGGAAAGGGGTTGGCCAGTGGAAATGGCCTGGGCTTTGCAGGGTTGGGAAGTCCGCCTAGATGGAGGACGCACTCTCTGCAAACGGCCCCAGGTGGGTCCCCCGCCGCTTCGCCTCTGGTTCCAGGATGCTGCCCCAGCGGTGGGCACCCTGTTCTCTGCTCGAGCTGCGCAGCGCGCGCCCCGCCCCACACCCTTGTATTCCCGGCCCACCAGTGCAGCGGTTGGGGCGCACCGGCCTAGGGTGCTGCTACTGAATCCTGGCTGGAAAAGAGGGGCAAACCCAGCCATCTCTTTTGTGCGGAAAGCTAATTCTCGGATGAAAATTGTCCCCGGCTCTAGAGGTAAAAATTAGGACGTGAACACAGAGACGCTGCAGTTCACCTTACACTTGCCGGGTCTTAGCCGTCGGGCCCGTTGCATGTTGCATGCAAGGCATCGGTCGCTGCGCGCGGGGACATTGAAATCCGGACTCAGGCTCACGGGCTTCATGCCTAGAGTTATATTAACATCAAGCATCACAGGCAGGGTTGGAGCTTTCTCTGCATTTATCTCACCGAATCTTCACAACAGCCCCGGAAAGTCAGTCTTATCATTGTCCCGTGTTAGGATTAGGAAAAGAGATCCAGAGAGATGTGACTTGTCCAGAGTCGCGCGTTCAGTCACCTGAACACTAAGGTTCTGACTCCGGACCCCACGGCACCCCCGCACCCCCACAACGCTGCCTCCTTCCAGGATCACCTCTGTGGAGCCCCGCACATGGGTGGCGCTCAGTAAATTTTAAATTCCAGGATCTAGTCAAACCTGCCGACTTTCATTCAGTAGGTGTCTGAGCTATATTTGCTCACTCATTCTGCAGGCCTTGAGCGCCTACTGTGTGCCGGCGCTTATATGAGAGCGCGGGAACAGAGCTCCTCACAGGGGGCCGGGTGACAGGGGAGCTGCGGTGAGCGCGGCCGAGAGATGGCCGTGAGCTCCCAGCCTGCAGTCCCCAGGCTGCACGTGGGCCCGGCGCGCACGGTCGGTCTACACCAGGGTGTGCAGATGAGGGAAACTGGGGGAGTTCGCAGGTCGCAGCGCAGCCAGGGGGGGACGCGAGAGGGCGGGAGCGACTCCACTCGGAGAAGCGGGACTGCCAATCGGAGGAAGAAAGAAAAAATATAAGGAGAAAATTCAGGGTGAGAAGAGCCAGAAGTGAGGGAGCTGGAGGCCTGGACCCGGAGACTGGGTGCGGGTGGAGTGAGAGGAGAAATCAATCAGGTGGCTGAGAACCAGAACGACGGCCTCGCCCTCCTGAGAGCCAGGGGCGGCGGGGGCGTCGAGGGGTCTTGGGTGAGCACTGCACAGAACCCGAGGCGGGATGCGGCCCCCAGCCCCGGCTCCGGCCGGCCTCTGTGGCGGCCCAAGTTGACTGGGGCTGCGGTGGCCGAAGCCCGGTCATTTTCGAAAGGAATGGCAGTCGGAGTATTAAGAACGGCTGCTCTGAGGGGTTCATGGTCAATGTCTCTCACACCCAGGCGGGCTCGGCGAAACCTGGTTGGGTTGATTTTCTGAGGCCACACGCGCAGGGAGGGCGGTGGAGTCTGGCCCGGGCAGGCAGGGGCTGGAGCGGGCCTCCAGCGCCTGCCTTGCGTCTCTGCGGCACCTGCGGGTCCAGGGCAGGGGGCGGGAGGCGGCCCGGGGCAGCCGGGCGCAGATCCCCGGGCGGGCCCTGGCGGCGGAGGGGCGGGCCGGGGGCAGGCGCGGGGAGGAGGCCCTCCCTCACTCCCTCCCTCCGTCCTCCTCCCGGCAGGTCGGAGCGGGGACCCGGCGGCGGCCCGGGACGCAGGGAGGGGACCCGCGCCGACACCGAGGGAGGGGCCGCGCCGCCTTGGAGAGTCATTGGAGGACGCGGCCGCCCGAAGCTGATAAATCAGGGGCCGGGTCGCGGCTGCGGGCCAAGTTGGACGCCCCGACCCGTGCGAGGGCCAGGTCCGCGCCTGCCCCGCCAGGCGAAGCGAGGCGACCCGCGTGCGGCCATGGCTTCGCTGCTGGGAGCCTACCCTTGGCCCGAGGGTCTCGAGTGCCCGGCCCTGGACGCCGAGCTGTCGGATGGACAATCGCCGCCGGCCGTCCCCCGGCCCCCGGGGGACAAGGGCTCCGAGAGCCGTATCCGGCGGCCCATGAACGCCTTCATGGTTTGGGCCAAGGACGAGAGGAAACGGCTGGCAGTGCAGAACCCGGACCTGCACAACGCCGAGCTCAGCAAGATGCTGGGTGAGTGAGCGCGCGGCCGAGCGGGCTGGGGGCCGGGGGCGGGCGGCGGGCGGCTGGCGGCACTGCAGGGCGGGTGCGAGCGCGGAGCCTGGGGAAGACCCGGCACGCGGGACGAGGGCCCTCTTCGTGCCCGCGTGGCTGGCCATCTGCGCGAGCGTGGGTGCTCGCGGTGCCCAGGATTCAGAGCGGGGGCACTTGGCGCGGTCCAAAGTGAAACCGCGCGGCGGGCAGGGAGGCTCCTCTGCTGGGACAGGAGCGGAGATCGGCGCCCCAGGGGGCGGGGAGACGGGGCAGCGGCCAGGCCAGGACGCCTGGCGACAGGGACCGGCGTGCATGGACAGGGCAGGGACGGAAACGTTTGAGGCTGGGTGGAACAGGCGTTTACTAGGAATACCGAAGCGGGAAAAGCCAGCATTCCCTGGACCTTACAATTGGGCCATCTCAGAGGAAGGCTGTCACAGATGAAATTATAATTAACGAATATTCCCGAAGAGAGACCCTGAGGAACGAATCCTTGCTTTAACTAAACAATTAAGAGGAAAACAAAACAAAAGAAAAAGCTTACCCAAATAGACTCGATTCGTTCATCTATTGCTCAGTCTCGAAGGTGTAGATAACTTGATTCGGATGCTTGGGCTGTCCTGGAACCCGCTCTCTTCCTGAGCTGTCCCCGCAGGGACTGGGGACACGGACTCACCAGGTCCAAGAGGTCCAGAGTGAGGCTGTTAGGACACACCCGAACAACCGGAGTTCCTATGGGGGTTTCTTTTTTCTCCGGTGTCGAGCTGAGTACTTTTCAACCCTGCCTTCTTTGCCTTTCGACGAGGTTTTTATTCGTTTTAATCCGCGAAAAACTTTCAAAGCACTTGGTGCACGCAGCGGGAGACAGGCCCTGTAAGAAGGGCACCCGAGGCCGGCTCTACCCTTCCCAAACCCCACCCGGTCCGGAACAGAGCCCTTCCTTTTTTCGTCGGAGTTCAGAGCTCAGGGCTCTTTCCCGAGGCGGAACTTTGGGGATAGGACTGACGCCCCTCTTTCTGCTGGCTAAAGCCGCAGGCCCGCAGAGGGGGTCCCAGGCCGAGCCCTCCTGCGGTTTAGCTGCTGTGCAAAGCAGTTGATGGAGTGCTGGTTGCCAAGGGCCCAGCCTGGTGGCCGGCTGCACCAACTCGCCTTAGTGGTCTGGGGCCTTCTGGGGCCTTTTCCCTCAACAAAAATAGTAACATTTGTATTTTACACAGTGTTGGCATAAAGACAAATGTGTTAATATGTACAATAATAAAACATTTTATTTAACCTGTAAGTTTATATTTTTCTTCAGATTTTAAAAGAAGTGAAAATATGTTTGTTGTGGATCCCCAAACTTTTTTTTCCACGGACCGTGGGCACTGTGCCTGTTGACCCTGCCAACAGGGGGAAGCAAGCCCCTGCTGTGACCGTGACAGAGGAGGAATTCTGTGCAGGCCTGGGCCAGGGAATGGGGAGGAGAGAGGAGCATGGCTCTGCAGAGTTGGGGAAGCCTGCTCCCAGGAAAGGGGCAGGGACAGGGACACAGGAGACAGATGCTTCCTGCGAGTTGGTCCCCATCGGGGCCTGCACTTCAGCTTCAGGAGGTTACAGTTCATTCTGCAGAAAAGACACAGATTCCTTCCTGCTGAGCCATGTAGCTCCTGGCACTGGGTGAGGGAAACCGCAACACTGGTGCTTTTCACAATATGGACTTGTGCACCTGTTAGTAGGGGGCAGCAGGATGATCCCCTCCACCTGTGTGACATTTCCTTCTCAGCTCTTTCCTTTCTGACCTGAGAGGAAAAGGCTGGATATGCGAGTCTCAACTTTTTCCACTATAAACCTTCCAAACCTTAACATTAAAAATGTGACCTAGTCACACTGGTATTTAAAATATATTATGAATGAGAAAGTGCATAAAGAGCAGTAGACCTTTGGTAGCATTTTTAAATGAACACGTATTTTATTAGTTATATAACATCCAGGTACATTTAAAAGCTACGGCCACATTTTATATTGAGACCACAGACAGAGTATGGGGTGCACCTGCATCTTGGGTCACTTGCCACAGCTTTGTAGCCTCAGCCACAGGCTGGGAACTGACGACCAGCCCTGAATCTGCAGCTCCTAACACTTTCAAGTTGCCCTTTTGAGTGACAGCTAATGATGTTAATTGAAAGCTCCATGGAATTTCTATAAATTTTCTCCCAATTGGTACAATGCCCTTAATCATTGCCCTCCCCTGGCTCTGAGCCCCTGGCCCAAGGAGCCAGTCAACGGAGGCACTGAGGGCTGCTGTGTGCACGGCTCTGCACCTGGCCCTGTGCAGAATGTGCTGAGTGGAACACAGGGCCCTTTCCTTAGGCCTTAACCTCTAGGCTAGCGGGTCTCAAACTTCAGGACACATTAGCATCATGGTAGAACATGTTAAAGTTGTAGAATCCTGAGCCCACCTTAGGAGGTAGCAAAGCAACCCAAGGGGTCCAGAAGCCCCCCACCCCTAGAAACCACTGCAGAAGGGTGTGCAGTGCACACTGATAGATGAGGGAAGATGCTCCGGGAACTTGAAAAGCAACAGACAAGCAAGCAATGGTGAATAGAAGATCAAGCGCAGCCAGCATATTAGCACCAGTGGGTTGCAAGCATGGAATAATTTTTAAAGAGAGAGTTTGGAGCTGGAGAGTGTCACAATATCTTTATTTTATACTGAAGAAAATAGAGACTCTGGAAAGTGCAGGGAATGGCTTCTGCATGGAGATCTGTGGCTAAGCAGGTGCCCTGGCACCGTCAAGGGTCCCCAAAAGATGGCTGGCTGGAAGTGACGGTTTGCATGTATATGTGTGTGCATGCATGTGTCTGGGTGTGCGTATATGTGTTGCAAGCAGATGCTAGCATTCTGGCCTCAGTCATCCAGCAGGGTTCTATTCGACCTTCAGAGGTAAGGAATAGGTATTTGTTAACCTAAGTGAGAATCTCTGATTTACTGACATCTGTGAAAGTATTGACTGAGCCTGGGTTCCCTCCCAGAAAGGGCTGTGAGATTTATGCCATAGGTAAATATGATAGTATCTCTTTAGCCTGCACTAATCAATGAAGGCAGAGATTTTCATGAGAATACACAAATGTTTAGAATGGACCCTGGAAGGGTAAAAAGAGCCCCAATCAATATCGTGATCATTAGATATTTTCTTCCCGTAGCTGACATATGGTCAGGTGGGCTTTTCACTGGGGACCCCGCATTGTAGTGTGGGCACGCTCTGGCGGCTTTTATATGAGAGGTGATGCTTTCTGTGTGCACCGTGCACGATCTGGCTTTCTGGATGCAAGCAGAGGGGTTGATTTCGCTTCACTGTGCCTGCAGGATCTGGGCTGGGAAGAGGGTGCAAGAGATGCCCGTGTCCTCTGTGGCTGGGAGGGGGAAGGGAGGTGTGTGTGCATGTGCACGTGTGTGTGCACGCGTGTGCATGTGCGATGCCTGCGGGGCACAGCACTGAGCATGGCCTCCTCTGCCTTGTGTGAGCAGGAAAGTCGTGGAAGGCGCTGACGCTGTCCCAGAAGAGGCCGTACGTGGACGAGGCGGAGCGGCTGCGCCTGCAGCACATGCAGGACTACCCCAACTACAAGTACCGGCCGCGCAGGAAGAAGCAGGCCAAGCGGCTGTGCAAGCGCGTGGACCCGGGCTTCCTTCTGAGCTCCCTCTCCCGGGACCAGAACGCCCTGCCGGAGAAGAGAAGCGGCAGCCGGGGGGCGCTGGGGGAGAAGGAGGACAGGGGTGAGTACTCCCCCGGCACTGCCCTGCCCAGCCTCCGGGGCTGCTACCACGAGGGGCCGGCTGGTGGTGGCGGCGGCGGCACCCCGAGCAGTGTGGACACGTACCCGTACGGGCTGCCCACACCTCCTGAAATGTCTCCCCTGGACGTGCTGGAGCCGGAGCAGACCTTCTTCTCCTCCCCCTGCCAGGAGGAGCATGGCCATCCCCGCCGCATCCCCCACCTGCCAGGGCACCCGTACTCACCGGAGTACGCCCCAAGCCCTCTCCACTGTAGCCACCCCCTGGGCTCCCTGGCCCTTGGCCAGTCCCCCGGCGTCTCCATGATGTCCCCTGTACCCGGCTGTCCCCCATCTCCTGCCTATTACTCCCCGGCCACCTACCACCCACTCCACTCCAACCTCCAAGCCCACCTGGGCCAGCTTTCCCCGCCTCCTGAGCACCCTGGCTTCGACGCCCTGGATCAACTGAGCCAGGTGGAACTCCTGGGGGACATGGATCGCAATGAATTCGACCAGTATTTGAACACTCCTGGCCACCCAGACTCCGCCACAGGGGCCATGGCCCTCAGTGGGCATGTTCCGGTCTCCCAGGTGACACCAACGGGTCCCACAGAGACCAGCCTCATCTCCGTCCTGGCTGATGCCACGGCCACGTACTACAACAGCTACAGTGTGTCATAGAGCTGGAGGCGCCCCGTCCGGTCAGCCCTCGCGCCCTCTCCTTCTTGTGCCTTGAGTGGCAGAGGAGCCGTCCAGCCACACCAGCTTTCCTCCCACCGCTCAGGGCAGGGAGGTCTGAACTGCGGCCCCAGAGCCTTTGGCCTAAGCTGGACTCTCCTTATCCGAGTGCCGCCTCTATCCCCTTCCCCACGTTCCAGCCCCTGCAGCCCACATTTTAAGTATATTCCTTCAAGTGAGTTTTCCTCCAGCCCCTGAGAGTTGCTGTCTCCCAGTGGAATGTTCACTGACGTCTTTTCTTGGTAGCCATCATCGAAACTAATGGGGGGACAGACTTGATAGCCAAGGTCCCTTCTGGTCCAGTTTTCTGATTTAGGGTTCTCTCAAGATTAATAAAGGAAGATGGGGAAATTTGACTCATTAATGAGCTCGCTAACCTACGATCTGGTGATAATTTTGTGTGCACAGCCCAAGGACCACGAGGCTTTCTGCACTTTCTGCACCCCCTTCCAAAGTGACCACAAAATTTCAAAGGGACTCATACAATTTGAGAAAAAACAGTCAACCTGATTTGAGAAATTAACCAGTATGGCTAACTATATCACAGAAAATGGGATTGAGTTAAAACTATTTTATTTTAAATATACATTTTAAAGCAGTTCTTTTTTTTTGTTAATTTGTTTATTATACACACACTTCAAGAGAATATGCACAGTCTAGGCCGGGCACGGTGGCTCACGCCTGTAATCCCAGCACTTTGGGAGGCCGAGGCATGTGGATCACCTGAGGTCAGGAGTTTGAGACCAGCCTAGACAACATGGTGAAACCTTGTCTCTATGAAAAATACAAAATTTGCTGGGAGTGGTGGTGCATGCCTGTAATCCCAGCTACTTGGAAGGCTGAGGCAGGAGAATGTCTTGAACCTAGGAGGTGGAGGTTGCAGTGAGCTGAGATTGCACCATTGCACTCCAGCCTGTGCAACAAGAGTGAAACTCCATTTCAAGAAAAAAAAAAAAAAAAGAATATGCACAGTCTGAATGTATACCAGGAGTGTGAGAGACACATGCCCACTTCATGCAACTCCTAAACTCAAAGTCTAAATCAGATATTTTTATTAACAATGACAACTTGTTGCCAACTCCCTGTTTCTAATGACCAAAGACCCAGGGTACCTAAAAGGACTTTGCAACCAAGCAAAGTCACTGTCTTCAAATCTGGATACACACTTTCCCCTCTGTAGATTCAAAAGGTGCTTCCTTCCCGGCTGTCTCCAGCTTCCTTACTCTCTTTTCTGGGATTTCTTTTTCTCTTCTTTCTGCTCTTCCTCCACTGCTGAACTGGTCCCTAACTGAAACAGCCCCTGACTTATCCCAAGCATGCTTCCTTTAGCTGCTGTGAGAATTTGTCTTCCTCACCAGCCAGGTCCTCAGGCAAAGTCCTCAGCCAGTGCTTTAGAGCAACTTCCCGCAAATCAGAAACTCACTGTGATTCCAAAAATGTTTCTGAGCCCTGGACCCCTGCCCCCAAAATATTTTCATCTTTCCCCCAAACCTCCTTTAAAGGAGCATGCATAACAGTGTGCTGAAAGACAGTTGTTGGTTTTTTGATTTTAGCATATTATTTCCTGTATGAAATATGTTTTATATAATCTCCTATTATTTTTATCTTATGTTTTGTATTGTTGATAAATCCTTTTTGTCCTTCTAAGATGTCCTATTGTAAAATCACTTATAAGGTATGATTACTCTTTATGCTATTACTTTATATGCCATTTGGTAATAAATAGTAAATTGTTGATGATATGATTGACTGATGCGCAGTCCAGAGCATGTATGAATAATCTCATAAAACAGTATCACAGACATTAAGCTAAACTGTTTCGTTTTTTTGAAAGAACAACTCATACTTTGGAACAGTTGTCAATATTAATTTGTTGCAAATATTTAATTTAAATAAACATTTTTGTACCATGACTGTTCTATCTTTTGAAATATAGTTTTGCAAAAAGAAAAGGTTTCCAAGCAAGACATAAATGTTACATCGGGTGCTACTTGTGGTATTGATCAACATGTTTTCTACATCGACTTTTTTATTTTAAAAAGTTGTTATCTGGTAGGGATGGTTTATTTTATTTTATGAGTTATGCTAAAGAGATAAATCCAAATTTTACGCATTGGAATCTGCTGTTTTTATTGACAATGAAAGAAAATGTCAACTCATGACCTACATGTAGAACAATTTTCTCCTTGTGACGACTTTACACTCGTAAAGTGGAATGAGGTGACTATGAGGCTGTCTGAAGAAGGAAAGTAAGTTTTGTCTACTCGTTTGCTTACTTAAAACTGTCACAGCTATTTTTTTTTTTTTTTTGTATTTTTAGTAGAGACGGGGTTTCGCCATGTTGGCCAGCCTGGTCTCGAACTCCTGACCTCAGGTAATCCACCCGCCTCAGCCTCCCAAAGTGCTGGGATTATAGGCGTGAGTGTGGTGGCAGGTGCCTGTAATCTCAGCTACTTGGGAGGCTGAGGCAGGAGAATTGCTTGAACCCAGGAGGCGGAGATTGCAGTGAGCTGAGATGGCACCACTGCATTCCAGCCTGGGCGATGGAGTGAGACTCTGTCAAAAAAACAAACAAAAAACTGTCACATTTTTTTTCTTCTTTTTGAAATAATCTCGAAACACACCTGTGTTTATGGATGTCCTGTGGAAATATGTCACAGGCTCTCAGAACTCAATGGGACATTGTGGAGAAGGCAGGAGAGCACACAGAGTAATAATGAAAGGATGCAAATCTAGTGAGGGTTAGGAGCAACATCCCAGCCAAAAAGCACTGGAAGAAACTGAGGATGACTCAGTCCCTGTGCAGGTCACCTCTGTCTGGCTTTTGTCCATGGGCAAGCAGTTGTAACTTGCTGGAGTTAAGGGCAGCTGTGTGTTTTCCCAGGCCCTCTGGGCCAAGGAGTGAGTCTTGGGAGAGCCCAAATGGGCATGCGTGTTCCCTTCAGTTCTGATCCTAATCTGTAGTCATTACTTTAATAGCACTTTATAGGTGTGCAGAGCTTTACGGAAAGTTTTATGGGCTGTTTCTCATCCACAGCCCCAGGTGGGGCCCGTCATCCACCCACCACGTTGTGCAGGAGGGGACACAGAGGCCCGGGGTGGGCGTTGGCGAAGGGTGGCTGGCTCGTGTGCCATGTTACCTGTGTTTTAGCATCGTCAGATGTGTGTTGGCAGCACTCGTCGGTCTCACTGCTGGAGTTGGTGCTGCCTGACTTTCCCCACTTTACTATGGCATGGAGTCATATGAGGTCCACTTCATACCCATCATGGCCCAGGGAAAGAAAGAAAGAGGAAAGGATATCATAGGCCAGAGTGAGATGACGCTGAAGACCTTGCTATCCAGGCCGGTGGCTGCAGCTACGGCCCGTGCATCTGCAGTGTCACCGGCTGCCTGGAGCTCCTGTCTACCAGTGCCTGCCTGCCACGTCAGCCCGCCACTGCCTCATGGGCATGTTTCATTCCAGGACACACTGTGGGGGCATGGTTTCTGTCTCTGGGAGGGCAGGAAGCAGGCTGACAACCAGGCCGCTCTTCCACTGTGCTCAGCTACGGGTGAGACAGTCGTGCCCAGGAGCCAGGGGCATCTTTGAGTTTTAGTTGCCCATTCTGGCACATCGCTGCCTCTGGTGCAAAGAACATGTCTTGCTTTAGCCAGTGGGAATCAATGGCAAGGCACAGTTAGAAGTTCCTTTTCTGAATCCTATGTGCTGCAGTTCCACACTTTTCCCTAAGGTCCCTCAGCGCCGGCTTGTTGCCCAGGGCACACAGGTAGCACCAGGGTGGGTTCACTGTGGCTCCTACTC
This sequence comes from Homo sapiens, assembly GCF_000001405.40. Taxonomy (NCBI): domain Eukaryota; kingdom Metazoa; phylum Chordata; class Mammalia; order Primates; family Hominidae; genus Homo; species Homo sapiens. The sequence goes on along the minus strand of NC_000008.11, from coordinate 10,721,877 downwards.
TGGGCCCCTAGCTGTGCAGGGTCCTGGGAGGGGCCTAGTCATGCGTTCACATGGCCACTGGTTTGTAAAAACTTTGCAAAAAGGAAAATGCTTTTGTATTCTTTAGGAGTTCCTCACCCCCTGCCCCAATTGTGCAAGCCTTAAACCTCATAACACTGGGCTCAGCCCCCGTGTGAGCACCCCTGTGATTGATCCCGTTCTTTCCAGAAGCTTCTCACGCAACCCTTGCCTGTTGCAGTGTACCCTACCACAGGGAAGCCTATGGGGCCAGGGAAATTCTCGCCTTCTCTCTGTTCCTGTGTTTTCACCAATGCTGATCCTTGATTCCCTGACCTGGGCGACCCTCACTTCTGTCACCATCTGGTGACATCACACTCACTGTCCTAGTCCAGCTCAGACATGCCCAACCTCACTCAGCAGAGCGGCCAGTCACTCTCCTCCCCAGGCGTCCTCCACAGGACTCGGGCAGACCTTGGTTACTTCGCTCACTGCTGGCCCTGGAACCGTCCGCCCTGTGCACTCTCTCCCGCGGGTGACCCACAGAGGCTGCTGGACAAACAAATGAATAAATATATAAATTAAAAAACCACCTGGGATGCCCTGTAGGTATGCTGTTAATCTTGGTGGTAAAGACCTGAATGAACCCTTCTGCGTCTCTAAGTTTAACTCCCATTTCCTTGGAAACCAAGACCTTGGGTTCTTTGTGTGTGTCCTTCTTGGGGCTCTGAGGCTGGGTCTGATGTGGCCATGACTATTCTCCTGCACCTGCTGGAGTGTAGCCTGGCAGAATTGGGGTGGGATATGGGCACGGAGACATAGGGAGAGCACTCCTCTCCTGCCCCAGCGTGGAGCAGCAGAAGAGGGCTGAGGGCAGAAGATTGCTGTCATCCATCTAGTCTGCCTTTCCTTTTGAGGAGGCTGTGCTCCTGGTTTCATCCCAGTGAAAGGAATTTGGAAGGGATGGCAGGGCAGGGGGCGGGGGCGTTGGGGGCGCGGGGAGGGGGGAAGGAGGGAGGAAGGAAGGAAAAGAAGAGAGAGACATCTATATGAATCTACTTAGCTGTCTGTCTATATATCTATCATCTATCCATCCGTCCATTCACCCCATCTCTCTCTCTGTCTTTCCTTCTTTAATTATCGTTCCATACACTCCTTAATCCATATACACCCATCCATCAATCCAGCCAGCCATTCAGCTGTTCATCCTACCTTTTTCTTTCTCTTTATTTCATTTCTTCCTTTCTCTCTTCTCTTTTCCTTTCTCTTTTTTCATTTTCTTTCTTTCTTTTCCTTTTTTCTTTTTTCCTTTCTTTCTCTCCTTTCTTCCTTCCTCCCTCCCTTTCTCTTCCTCCTTCCTTCCTTTCTTCCTTTCTTTCTCTCTCTCTTCCTTTCTTTTTCTTTCTTTCTCTTCTTCTCTATTCATCCATCAACCTACCCACTCATATATCTGTACATTCAGCCAGCCAGCCATATATCCTCCTACCCACCCACACCTCCATTCATCCATCCCATACCTTACCTGCCTTCTCACCCACCCATCTATTATCTATCCATCCATCCACTCTCCATCCATCCATTCATCCATCCATCCATTTACTCACTGATATTTCAATTCTTAAAAGGGACATATAATGTTTGTCAGAAGTATAGAAAAAAATAACATCATAAAGAAAAAAGTAAGTCATCTATTGTCCACAACTTAGAGACACTAATGGTAATACTTTGGTTATATATCTATCAAGCCCCTTTTTCTTTTTTTGATGTAGATATAATGCATATATACATGTCTTTTGTAATAGACATTTTATCCATTAATATTAAATGAACTTTTTTCTATGCCATTAAATTCCATTTTTCTGCAAAAGATGTTCTCTTCCTAGTTGAAAGATTAATATAAAAAAACTGTGGGGGGGGGGCGGAAAGAAAAACCACCCACTCCATGACCTTTTTTCAACACACTCATGTTTGTTCACTGAATTCCCTAGTCCCACATCCATGAACACATAATTGTACATGCTGTGAACATTGTGTAGCTATAGAGGCCACTTGCATTCAGCTTTCTCTGTTCAACATTCTGTTGTAGAAATTTTACCACATTCATATCCATCTTCATATTTATCATTTTTGATGACGCAGAATACCACACTTAATACAGGGGTCTTATTTTACTCGACCATCCCTTTGCTATCAGATCACTAAATTGTTCCTTTTTTGCCATTATCAACAGCACCGCAGTGAACATCTATTGGTTTGCACCCACAGCTGGATTCCCATCAGGGAATCACTGGGTCTAAGCACATGAGCATATTTGCAGGCTTTGCTTCAAATGGTTCGTTGGTTTCCCAGAGTCTGAACTGATAGTCGAAGGAAAAATGACTCCTTTCCATTCCCAGAATGAATTCACTTTTTCTTAACGGGAAGAATTAAAGTCTGAAGACTATTTATAAGACTGCCTTCAATCTGACCGGGCTCCGTTGCGTCACTTGTCCTGGCACCTCTGCCTTCTCCTGTGCTTCCTGACGGCTTCCAATAGCAAATCGGGAACATCCATTTCCCCAGACACCACCGTGAATGACACACTCTTCCTTGGCTTCTGACCCATTTCTACTGCTCTCAGCCCAAGACATGTGAAAGCGGTTTTTATCCTGAGTTTAAGCGTCAACCACTTATATGGGGCAAAGTATTGCTCTATGAGTTACCAAGGCAACTGGATTGGTCCTCCCAGGTGTCCCAGGTGCATGCGCCCATGCTGCTGGCAGCATCCGCAGGTTGCTCAGAGCTCCTGATACAGGGGGAGGATGCCCGAAAACAGTCGAGACCTGGGGGCATGGTCTGGCCCTACCCATCACTGGATTTTAATTGGGACTTGGGTAAATCCCTGGACCGGTTCTGTCATCTAAGGAGGTTATGAGTGGATTCATATGCATTTTAGAAATGGCAGAGCTGTATGTGAATGCATAGGAGGGCTATTGCCTATTTTGGAGTTCTTGAGACCATTTGGATGTTTTTAGGCCTGGAGGCAGATACTAGCTTGAAAAATCCAGAGCCACGTGTTCAGCGATTGTCACATGGTATGGATTGTGAGGGAGAAATGAGGGGAGAGGACCCCCCGAGTAAACTTAATGTAGACTATAGAGGAACACTGTCAGTTTCCTTCTTTGGGCGCAAAACTGGGATTGAAAGAGACCATTTGGGTCCTTTTTTAGCCTATTCTCCTTCCTCTAGTGAGGATGTCCTCTTTGCCATTCTTGGTAGATGGGCTTCTATTTGGCTGGAGAATCCTGAAAAGAAAGAGGAATTGCTGGCCGGGCGCGGTGGCTCACGCCTGTAATCCCAGCACTTTGGGAGGCCGAGGCGGGAGGATCATGAGGTCAGGAGATCGAGACCATCCTGGCTAACACAGTGAAACCCCATCTCTACTAAAAATACAAAAAAATTCTCTGGGCTTGGTGGTGGGCGCCTGTAGTCCCAGCTACTCCGGAGCCTGAGGCAGGAGAATGGCGTGAGCCCGAGAGGCGGAGCTTGCACTGAGCGGAGATTGCGCCACTGCACTCCAGCCTGGGGGACAGAGCGAGACTCCGTCTCAAAAAAAAAAAAAAAAGAAAGAGGAATTGCTTTCTATAAGTTAGTCTAACAAGCTTCATCATCCAAAAGTCCTTCCTTCCGTCTCACCTAAGTCCCTCCTGCTGCAGTCCAGGTCCATGTCTGCTGACGTCATCTGCAGAGGTTGGAGCAATCCTGGTCCCTGCTGGCTGGCTGCACCCTTCTTTCCCCTGGGGACTGTGTTTGAGCCTCGGGTAGGGCCTGTGGTTTCCTCTAGACCCCCTCTCTGGTGTGCGTTCCCCTTACTTAGAGGCCGAGTGTCGCGTGGATGTGGGGGTGGGAGGGAGGAGATAAGGCTCATTATACAAAGAATGGGAGAGGAAAGTGGGGTTTCAGCAGGGGATGAGACGGGGTGCTCTGCGGGTGCTTCTGGAATGTTCTGCATGTAGGTGTAGTGTGTAGTCATTTCTCAGAGGCTCATGCTCATTCCTGGCTCAAATGGTGTTTGGTTCCCCATCCCTGACCACTGTCCTTTCTTATGGTTACTCATCTCCATCTGTCTGAGTGGCTGTGGGGTGGCGTGGTTCTGGGACAAAGTTGGAGGGGGGACGATAAAACGTGGACAATATTCCACCCAGAAAAGTCACTGGCTTCTGATGAATGAAAGGTCTGCAGCCTCCAGGGGCCTCAGGGAGGCTGGTCATTGGGTTTTAGATGTTCCGATGTTGACACCTGTGAGGTAAGGCTGTGATTTCCAGGCCTGAGAGGTCGTGCAAAGTGGGTGGGTGGCCAGAGGCATCCCTGGCTTCCTGCTTTCTCAGCACAGTAGCTGGTGTTCCCATCCTATCAGAGAACCCGAGAGGGCTTCGTAGCTCCTCCATCCCCATCCCTGGGAGCCACAGAACTTTCTTTTTCTTCATTCCTTTCCCTGAAAAACAGCAGCACCGGCTCCCACAGCTCAGGGCACCGTGAAAGTCATGGAAAGCATGAAACATCATAAGATCTGCAGGAGACAGGAGACTGTAAGGGATCCATCCTGTCCTCCCATCAGGCCATTCGGAGGCATCCTGAGGTAAACAGCAGAGTTGCATTGGTGCCAAAAAGAACCGAGGCTTGAAATTAGAAGACTGTAATCCTTAATCAAGCTCTGTAAGCTTGAAAAATAAAATCACTGACTGTTTAGGCTGGCGGGAGTCACTGTCAAGCTCAGATTTGATGAAAGAGGAAGTGGAGGCCCAGACAGCGAATGGTGTCCTCCCCAGGGCACAAAGCAGAGAGAAGTCGGTGAAGGATTGTGGGGGGAGCGTGGGTGGTAGGGGGAGAGCTGGGGAAGTGGGATCTCCCGGAGCCAGGGTGAGGGCACAGGGCTGCGGAGAGAAGCCCCCAAGGCCGAGCTTTTGGAAGGGCTCTGCTGCATCAGGGTCTCAGCAGGGGGCAGGGGCTGGCAGCACAGCTCCAAAGGTGTAGGGTGAAGCGGGGAAGGGGCCGGGAGTGCAGGCGGGAGGGGATATCGAGGCTTAGGGCTTCCATGTATTTAGGAGTCTTCCCAAGGCCTTTGCTCTCATGCTGCTTGTCTCTGTGGGTACTGGCCCAGGACAGCAGGGCTGAGAAGAGGCTCCGGAGGAGGGGGCGTTCCAGTGTGCACCTGCAGGCCCACCGTGGGAGGGAACAGGTGGTGGCTTCCGACAGCCCGGGCTGGCATAGATGGGTCCAAGGAGCCCACCCCGACATCCCCAGCACCCTAGGCCCTTCTGTCGGTTTTCTGCCATACTGTGACCAGGCTGCAGGGCCCTAGTAGGCGGCGGGTGTCCCAGGGCGCCTGGCAAGGCAGGCAGAGCTAGGGGCAGCAGACCCAGCACACAGCACTCCAGTCTCCAAGGAGGAGGAAGGCTCGCAGGAGGGGCCGGAGAAGGCCGAGGAGCAGTGGCTGCTGAGTGTTTTCCTGCCCATGGGAGCTGCTGTGACCAGGAGCAGGAGGATGTGGCTGGAGCCCAGTGTTTCCTGCCTGATAAGCCGGCCCCTCCCTGCAGAGCCCCGGCCGCCCTACCTTCGCGCCTGCTGAGAGCCCTGCCCAGGGAAGGGCTGGCCCAGGAGGAAAATCACTTCTCCAGATTAGCTCGCTCCGGCCAGCCTTCCTTCCCCGCCCTGTCCCAGCAGCCACAGGAAGCCGGCAGGGGCCCAGCAGCCCAGAGGTCCCTGCCTCGGAGCACTCAGCCTCTCTGAGGGCCCCACCACCCCGGTCCCCCCAAGACTTTGGTCTTCTTGCTCCAAAGTCAACGATTTTCAAGGATAGCAGTGACTGCACATCATTTGTCTTTATCAGACCCCCTGCCTGGCATTTGGGCTTAGAAAATTGGTCACTTTATTCATGAAGACTCCATGGACCAGCCTTTTTCCACCTGGTCAGTTGCTGTCTCTGTGGTCACCTTGGAAGGACATCCTCTGAGCTGAGGTTGTGGGCTTTGGATGCAGGCTGGCACAGAGAAAAGGCAGGGGCTGGCATCCCAGGACCCCAACGCCACCCTGGCTCTGCCCTGAGCTGTGTGGCCTGGATGAGTTCCCACCCCTCCCTGAGCCTCGCTGCCCGTCTGTTACTGGAAGGGCTGAGCCACATGGGAGCTCAGGGTCTCCCTCCCTCCCAGAAGCATCAGGAATGATGAGGGGTGCTGGCCACTCCCAAGGGCAGCCCAGAGTCCCGATTCCCGCTGAGGAAGAGGGCGGCGGCTGGAGGGAGAACTCCCCCTTTTCAGTGTCATCTTGGGCTGACCCTCTGGTTTTTCCACTCTCTGTCCTGCCCCTCTAGGGCCAGTCTCCTGCCCTGGGGGATTGGGATGTGTGGCTCCAGCTTGGGGATGGGAGGTGCACAAGATGGAGGGACAAGAGAGGAGGTGGTCAGGAGGCCTGTGTCCGGGAGAGATGCCTGCAGCATCTGCCAAGTGCCCTAGCTGTGAAATAAGGACCGAGGTCCTGGGAGACTAGAAGCCTGCTCAGAGGCACTGTCGCAGATGTGAGCTTCCCCAGGCCTGCGCCAGCTCTCAGACAAGCCTCCTGCCGCAGCACAGCCTCCGATGCGCCCCGGGCCCAAGGGACTCCCCTCAACCTGTAGGTGGGCCCCACCTTCCCTACAGACCTGCCTCCCAAGCCCCACTGACACAGGCACTCCCGCCTTCCTCAGGGAGCTGGCTGTTGGTAACAAAAGGTTCATGAAGGGGGTGTTTACTGGCCAGAAAAGATGAACCTATGCTTGCCTTGGTGACAACACTGGCACGTGTGTCCCCGAGAGCTGACTGCACAGGCACGTTGGAGAACAGGCGGCAGCTCTGCCGTTCGAATCTGCGAGGTGCGGCGTCACTTCAGGATTTCATGCCACCCTCCCGGCAATCCTGACGCAGACATGCTTCTGTCCTTTCACAGGTGGCAAAGCTGATGCTAAGGCCGGGTGAAGTGCCGAGGGAGGCCACACAGCTGGGTGGGCCGGGTCTCCACCGATGGAGCAGCACACACGGCTGGGGAGTGGGAGCCTGGCCCCCAGCTCCCCTAGCCTCCCCAACTCTCCTGCCCCGGTTCAGGCCCAGGAGGGGCGGCCATCACTCGGGCTGCTCCTGGACGTGAGCCTCCCCCATCAGCAGCTAAGCCTGGGGTCCTGAAACAGCTGGTGGGTGGCCCAGAGGCAGGTGGGGAGTTCTCTGTGTAGTGAGACCATCTGCACCCAGGCGTCTGGCATTGGGCTGCCCCTGCTGCCTGTGTCTCCCGAGCATGGAGGGGCGGGTGAAGGAAGGTTGGGGTCTATTTAGGCCTTTTCATCTAATGCTCTGTGGGGCTTTCCACTGTGTGACCTTGGGCAAGTTGCTTCCCCTCTCTGGGGCTCAGTAAATTAAAAGGCAGGACTCGACAGTTTCCAAGAGCTGGAATATTCCTGGTTCTCTGAGTCTGTGAAAAGGGAGAAAGGAAAAGGGGAGGGTCCCCTCCTCTCTGACCCTGGCCTTGGCATGGGGTGGTCTCTAGGGAGGTGGCAGCGGGGGAGTGACCTGGGTGGGGGTCCCACTGCACACAGCCGTCGCAGGGTGAGCCTCAGGTGCTGTGCATGGCTGGGCTGGAGCCACAGTTACTGCATCCAGGCAGGGAACACCTCCCACGACACCATCTCCATCCTGCCTCAGCTGCCCTGGGCTGCTGCCACACCTTCTGTCACCAGGCCATGGCAAGGGGCCCCCAGACACCTGGCCTGGCCTTGTTCCCATGCATAACTGGCCGTGGCCCCGCCTCCTAGGAACTCTGCCCTGCCTTGCCCACATCACCCGATCCCTCCACCCCTCCACCCTGGGTGTTGGACTGGACGGGATGGGGCAAGAGGCCGCTGTCATCTGAGCCCAACCTTGTGGATCCTCATGTAACCCTGGCACTCAGGAGCGCCCTCCCTGCCAGGCTGGGCCTGGTGTGAGGCTGCTGCTGGTCTCCTGTGGGAGGCAGGGGCTCGGTGCCCCATGGACTCCCAAATTCCATGCTTTGAATCCTAACATGACTGTCCGCCCTAGACTGTCACCCCATCACTCACTGGCTATGACCCTGAGTCTCCCCTGTCCCATCCGGCTAGAGAGATGATGCTTCCAAAAGATCTAACGACGTTTCCTTTTTACTTAAAAAGTTTTATCTGTCCAATCCTGCCAATAAGATAAAGCTTAAACTTCACAGGGGGACATTCAAGGCCTTTTATAATCCAGTCCCAACTTACCTGGCCCTCGTCACCTTATGCAGTCCCGATGACACACTGTGTGTTCCAGGCATGGCCAATTTCCAAATAGGATATGTTGCCTCATACCCCAGTGCTTTTGCATAAGCTGTTCCCTCTGGAATACCTTTCCCCACACCTTTTCTCCGTGGGTTCCTGCTCCGGTCTCAGGACCCAGCACAGTGTTCCCCCTCTCAAAGAGCCTTTGCAACAGCCCTCCACCCACTCAAGCCTACCCACGCCCGGTCCCCAGCCATGTAGTTTGCAGGCCCATTTTCTGTACCTTCTCACAAGCCTCTCACATAGCTCTCACAGTGTCATGATGCAAGCTCTGTTTTTAAGTCTGTCTCCTCCCACTAGTCTGGAAATGTATTTATCTGGGAAAGGCATTTTATATATCTTTCACGCCATGGGGCCTGCCAGGCACATAGTAGGTGTCCAATCAATGCTTGTTGGAGGGTTGAATAGCTACCCAGGGTGCAAACACTGACTGGTCCACCCTCTGCTCAGCCTGTGATCTTAGACCATTTGTTTCATTTCTCTGTGGCTCAATTTTTCTGTCTGTAAATTGGTCCTGCTTTTGGCCAAGAGGTTTCAGATTACGGTGATAGAAGCAACAGGAATGGCTTAGGAGAGGGCCGAGGGTGAGATGTTAATTCCTAATACAATTGACTCTCGATGATCCCTGGAAAAGTTTAATTCTTCACTGGATCCCTGCCACTTCCTGGGCTGTGTCCGTACCCCACCCTTTCCATCAGTCAGGAATGCTATTTGTAACACTGTCCTCACCAAAGTGTGTGATTAGGAAGAAAATATGTGACACATATGGACACACACACACTTCACAAAATCTGGCTCTCCTGTTGACCCCATTGGGACAGGTCCTGGTGGGGCTGACACTGATGATTCATGTTAGGATTTATCTCAGTAAGGAGTAGGCTGCTCACTCTATAGTAATAAGGGTGCTAAGTTCTCTCTGGAAGTAAAGTGGCCCTTCGGTCAGTTATTCTTCCAAGCCCAATTACAAACCTTTTATTTTAAACATGTCGTGTAGGTACACGTAGGAGACTTGTAAGTACAGAGACACAACGAAGAGAAAGCGTGCAGCGGGAGATTCCCCTATCGTCTCACTGTGCAAAGGCATCTTTTGTCAGTATCTTGTTGTACTGCTTCTAGATTTTTTTTTCCAGATGTGTGTGCTCATGTAAATAACTTTCTTTTAGAATGTTGGGTTTGCATTGTTTTGGAAACTTACTTGCTTTTTTTTTTTTTTTTTTTTTTTTTTGAGGTGAGAGGGTGTGATGGTTATATTGAATGTCAACTTGATGGATTGAAGGATACAAAGTATTGTTCCTGGGTGTGTCTGTGAGGGTGTTGCCAAAGGAGATGAACATTTGAGTCAGTGGGCTGGGGAAGGCAGATCCATCCTTAATCTGGTGGGCACCATCTAATCAGCTGCCAGCACATATAAAGCAGGCAGAGAAACGTGAAAAGGAGAGATGGGCCTAGCCCCCCAGCCTACATCTTTCTCCCGTGCTGGATGCTTCCTGCCCTCAAACATCGGACTCCAAGTTCTTCAGTTTTGGGACTCGGACTGCCTCTCCTTACTCCTCAGCCTGCAGACAGCCTGTTGGGGACCTTGTGATTGTGTGAGTTAATACTTAAT